>NC_000001.11:116523531-116826562 GCF_000001405.40 Homo sapiens | reverse complement strand
ACCCCTTCCTGACGGCCCACCTTTGCTATGGGTTAATGTGCCTACTCTGTGACACTCTATTCTCTGTGCGTGTGCCTCACAGGCCCACATAGGAGGACCAGAAGATGCAAGGACCTGGGTGTTCGAGGACCAGGGTCTGAGAGGACCAGGGTGTGCAAGGGCCTGGGTGTGCGATGACCTGGGTGTGTGAGGATCTGCGTGTGTGAGGGCCTTGGTGTGTGAAGGCCAGGGTGTGTAGGGACCTGGGTGTGTGGGGTGTGTGAGGACCAGGATGTGTAGGGACCTGGGTATATGGGGTGTGTGAGGGCCAGGGTGTGTGGGGAGCTAAGTGTGCGGGGAGCTAGGTGTGTTGGGATCTGGGTATGTGATGGCCAGGGTGTGTGGGGATCCCAGGACACAGGAACCAAGTTTGAGGACCCAGGTCTGCTTCCCATTTGCCATTCAGCACGTCACCACCGCCTGCTGGTGACAGGAGCGGCAGAAGGGTGCTCTGTAATGAAGGGGCAGGCCTGGAGCCAGCAAGTCCCATCTGCCCTTTACCATAAACTGTCACACAGCACTCGGAACAGAGTTTATGGCCTTGGCTGTGTTCCCATCTTCTGAGTCTCAGGCTGTAAATTATACCAAAGCTGTAGGTCCTGCTGGCTGGGCCCTGGCCACCCTGAGAGGTGGGAGAAGAGGGGAGGACAGATCACACTGTGGACTCCGTCCCCCTCCTCTTCTTTGTGTCTGTCAAAATCAAATTAAGATCAACATCCTGAGTGGCCTTGACGGGGAAAGAAGCTACACAGTGGCTGCAGGATTTGAGGTTTGGAGAGACGGTAGGAATGGAGAAGGGAGGAAGAGGGTCCTAATCTGTGGAACATTTGGAGGAGGCCAGGTCTGTTTTTAGCCTGGGCTGGTGGAGCTGTCTCATTCCTCCCCTCCTACTCTTGGCTAAATCACTCAGCAGCTGAGCCGGGGCTGGGGGTGTTTTCCTGCCCCTCCGCCCGTCCATCTGTCCAAAGGAGTGTCCTGTGCTCACCACACCCAGCTGCCCCCACCGAGCTGGGAGTGGCTCTGAGGCAGTTTGGAATAAGATCTGCTAAAAACAGAGTTGAGGGAAAGGAAAACATTGAATATTAACATAGCAGGGAAGATGGCTGAGGACTGAGAGAAGCACTGCATAAATCTGCATGGCTAATGCAGTCAGGAAAGAGAAGCTGAAAGCCCTGGGACATCAGGTCGAAGACAATGGGGAGTTGTGAACTTGAGGGCAGGAATACACAACAAGGGGAAGATGCTGTCATTTTGGAGTAAGAGGCATTGGGAAAGGAGGAAAGGGGGTGGAGAAGGCAGATGTGATTTTCTAAGCAAGTGAAAAGACAATGAGGTAATTGTTAGCCAATCGGAGGCAAGGATGGAATTTGAACCCAGGAAAGGGAATATAAAAGACCTCTAGGGAATTGAGAGTGCCACTTTCCTGTCCCCTGATTGAGGGGACTACGGAGAACAGGAAGGCCGGTTGGAGGCCTGTGCTTCTCAGTGCTCATGTCTGTGTCCCAGATTTCTCTTTGTGCTGTTTCCAGTGTGGGAATTGTGCTTGGAAGAACATCTCCATGGGCAGGAGGACAGCTCTCCCTGGGAGGAGACCTCTCTTTCTCTAGAGGCCTTTGTCTCCCTGAATCCCCTTCCACAAGGGCAAGGTTCTTGGCCAAACCCCCTTCCCTCAGCAGGTGTCTTCTTCCCACACCTCAGCCTCCATTTCACAGAATGTTGACTCACAGTCAGGAGAGACTTCCGGGATCCTTCAGGAATCCCATCTTTCACATCCTTGACAGGTGGCCATCCGGCTTCAACATAAGCACTTCCACAAACAGGAGTGCAGTTCCTCACAATGCAGCCATTCTAATTTTGGGCAGCTCAAATTGTTAGCAACTTTTTCTTTTATATAAAGAAAATAAACACAACTCACTCTCTAACATTCACTGATTTTACTTAGAGTCATACCGAATATATTTAATCTGTTTCCAGTATGATAGGCCTGTCAATGTGTGTAGGATTACTCTCATTCCCCAATCAGTCTTCTGCTTTCTCAGTAGTTCCGGTTCCTTCAGCCACATCTCTAGGGAACAATTTCCTCATCACTTCTCTCCCCAGTTGCTCTCCTCTGAATATGCATCCATTTTTTACTTGGTTATTTTTGGTGTTTATTCATTCATATCCCCAATGTATCCCAAAGGAGACTTGAAGGAGCTTGCAAAAGCGTAAATGATACAGCAGGATTATAAAAGTAATGGAGGAAATATTAGCGTAGAGAAATAAGTGCAGGAAATATTAACCCAAGGTAAGTGTAGTGTACAAACACATGCCATACAGATCTCTAAACCTGGCTAGGTATTAGGCTCTAAATTTGCCTTTTGAACTTACTGGCAGCCAGAGCCAAAAGGGAAACAGGGGCAGTTGTACAATTCAGTCTTCATAAAAGCAAACAGGAAACGTAGCTATCCCTGGACATGAACAGAAAAGAAAATTTTCTCCTGGGTTCTCCCAGAGAAGAATGCATCTAACAATTTCCTTATGATAAATTCAATACCACATTTACTCAAATTGTTTCTTTTAAAGTCATCTCTCATTGTAGATCTAGGGCTTAACTCCAAAGCACAATTTCAATAAAAGCAGATGCTCCAGTTTGTTAATGTGCCTCTTAAAATGTGGCAAGAAGAGATTTCAAACTCTATCTGACCAAAGAACATTACCATGAGATATTTCTGCCTGTTTGGGGACACTATATTTCTATTAGCACAGCCTATAATTGCATTAGCTTTTGGGCAGTGACATGGCTATTGACTTCCTTAGCAGTCTACTCAAACCTGACAGGAACTGAATTTAAGCCAACTTGTCTTCATCTTTTACTTGGGCAATTGATTTTTTGAACTTAAGTGCAGGACTATACTGTTTATCACCACAAAATTCCATCTTGTTCAAGTCACTCCTATTTGTTCTATCCTGTTGATAGTCTTTGATTTGGATTACATCAACCAATATACCATATTTCATCAAATAGAAAACTCCTTTAACTGTAAGATGCATTTAAAAAAATTACCATAAAGAAGAAACAGTACTGCCCATTAAACTGTGGGATGCAACTGATTGTATGATGCATCTGATTTTAGAAGTTAAAATGTACATCTTAGAATTAGTGGAGTATGGTACTAATAAACTCACATCCTGTCATCTGCAATTTGAAAATCATATCTTCTCTAGCATCGTTTATGGGATATTCACATTGAACTGAATGGGGCCAAGGAGAGGCCAGTGGACTCCTATTGAGGAGATCCTTGAGGTTTTCCTGCTCATTTGCTTGTACAACCACTCATCGAATAAATATTAATTTATTGAGTGAATGCATGGAACATTCAGGCTACAAAAATGAACAAGACCCAGTCCCTTCAATACCAATCTGAACTCACAGAAGTGAGTTATTACTTCTCCTTTAAGGCACTAACTCTTTCACCTGTCCTTTAAAATAATCAATGAATCGGCCGGGCGCCGTGGCTCATGCCTATAATCCCAGCACTTTGGGAGGCCGAGACGGGCGGATCACGAGGTCGGGAGATGGAGATCATCCTGGCTAACACGGTGAAACCCTGTCTTTACTAAAATTACAAAAAAAAATTAGCCAGGCGTGGTGGTGGGCACCTGTAGTCTCCGCTTCTCAGGAGGCTGAGGCAGGAGAATGGCAGGAACCAAGGAGGCGGAGCTTGCAGTGAGCTGAGATCGCACCGCTGCACTCCAGCCTGGGCACAGAGCAAGACTCCGTCTCAAAAAAAGAAAAAAAAAAGATAATCAATGAATCATCAAATATTGCTCTATTAAGCACCTACCCTGAGTAAGGTGTAGGATTGTACAGCTGATGGACGTGACTTAACAACAGTCTCTGATTTAAGAATCTCAGTGTCTAATGAGGATGGTAAGAAGTGGACTCAATACTTTGGTCTTTAGAATTGCTATGGTCTGAAAGTTTGTGTCTTCCCAAAACTCATATGTTGAAATTTGATCCCCAATGTGGTGGTATTAAGATGTGGAGCCACCAGGCATGGTGGCTCACCCCTGTAATCCCAGCACTTTCGTAGACTGAGGCGGGCAGATCACCTGAGGTCGGGAGTTCGAGACCAGCCTGACCAACATGGAGAAGCCCTGCCTCTACTAAAAATACAACATTAGCTGGGTGTGGTGCATGCTTGTAATCCCAGCTGCTTGGGAGGCTGAGGCAGGAGAATCACTTGAACCCAGGAGGCAGAGGTTGCAGTGAGCCGAGATCACGCCATTGCACTCCAGCCTGGGCAACAAGAATGAAACTCTGTCTCAAACAATAATAATATAATAATAATAAAAAAAAGATGTGGGGCCTTTGGCAGCTGATTAGCTCACCCATGGGATTAGAGTCCATATAAAAGAGGCCTGAGGGTGCTTGTTTGCCCTTCCACCACGTGAGGAACAGATAGGAGGCACTGTCTGTGAGAAAGCAGGCCCTCACCAAATGCTAAATCTCCCAGTGCCTTGTCTTAGACTTTCCAGCCTCCAGAACTGTGAGTAATAAATTTCTGTTGTTCATGAGCCACTGAGTTTATGATATTTTGTTACAACAGTCCAAGTGAACTAAGACAAGGATTCAGTTTTATGTGGCTGTGACACAGAAGGTAACTCAGCAGTCTCTATGAAGGACTCCCATACCACATGGGACCACGGTGCAGTCTCTTTCAGTCCTAACATCATGGCCTTTCTACCAGATTGGCCTGCTGCTGTTACCTGTTCCTCCAGGACATCCTCCATGTCTGTGCTTGGAGATCTTAGTAACAGTTACATGTGGACCAGAAATGTATTGAGAGTCTATTATGTATTAGACCCCAGACCAAGAGCCAAGCAGGTAGAAGGATGTAATAGACATTATCATGGCCTACAGCAGCAGTCCCCAACCTTTTTGGCACCAGGAACCAGTTTCGTGGAAGATAATTATTCTGTGGACTGGGATGGGGGGATGGTTTTGGGATGAAACTGTTCCACGTCAGATCATCAGGCATTAGATAGATTCTCATAAGGAGCACACAACCTAGATCCCTTGCGTGTGCAGTTCACAATAGGGTTCACGTTCCTATGAGAATCTAATGCCACTGCTGATCTGACAGGAGGCGGGGCTCAGGTGGTAATGCTCGCTCGCCCACCGCTCACCTGCTGCTGTGTGGCCCTGTTCCTAACAGGACATGGACCTGGGGACTGGGGGCCCCTGGTCTACAGCATGTTTCAATAAGGTAGACTTCTTCCCATGTTTAAAGATGTTAAACCATCCTTAATGGGACAAAAAGGCTACTTTCTTTTCAGTAAGAGTTAAGAAAGGAAATTGTAACAGTGCCTTTAGAATAATTGCAAATCTAATGCAGAACATTGGTTTACTCTCATGTCAGAGTGAAATAGAAATATAAGAAATTCAGGCCAATTGCAACCGAATTCTGAATGAAGCAAGGTGTCCAGTGCTCCTGTGTTGGGATAACTTCACTGTTTTCACTATCCACTTAGATACTCTGCAGGTACACCTGTGATTTGGTAGTGTCCTCTCACTTTGAAGGAAGTCTTTTACAAACACCTTATCCTTCAGGTTTTGGGGTTTCACTTCTAAGAGAAAAAAAAGATGCAAGACCTAATTAAGGTGTAAATTTAGACACAAGTGTAAAGATTCTAATAATCACATTAAGGCTTTTCTATTATAAGATAAGCCTGAAACCCATGAAGCATTTTCTCTGCGAGCCAACCCTCAGACTGAAATGTGGAAACAGGCCTTGATCACCTATGTGGGATTTTGTATTTTTCTGTGAGGGCAGACATAGGCCTCAGCACTGGAAATTTTTCACAGGGACCTCACAAAACATGACGCAGACTGTGAAGATAATGGTAGCATTAGCAACAAGAATGGATTGCACCTCCCGGGGCCAGGCACTGTGCCAGACACTGGGAATGTGGGAATAAGTGTCAGCAACCCACGTTCGCCTGCCAGGTGCCATTCTAAGCACTCTACACGCAATGCTGCATTCAATCCTCACAACAACCCTGTGGGATAGGTGTGATTAACAGCCCTCTGTGACAGGGAGTCAAATAACTTGCCCAGATCCAGGCTCAAACTAGTAAATATGGCCAGCACTCACACCGGCTCCAGGGCCTCCATCCTCACCAGTGATGTTAGAGGCCTTGAAATTACCTTTTCCTTTACCAAATGTTCCTATTTCAACCCAGGCCTTCCATTGCAAGGTCAGTTAAGTAAGATGATAGCCTGATCCATATGTGAAAGGCTGATCCACCCCTCCATTTTGTAGCAGATATAAAAATCACCAGGGTGATCGTTATCATAGCTCACTCTAAGTAGTATCAATGAATGAGCTGGGAACAACAGGGGTGATTTGTGCCCAGGAATCTGGAAGGTGGAATGTCAACGGGTGCCACTGCACAGCAAGGAGAGGTGTACTGGTCCTGTTGAAATGTTCCTGGTTTCTTTTTTCTTTTCTTGTCTTTTTTTTTTTTTTTTTTTTTTTTTTTCAGACAGAGTCTTGCTCTGTCACCTGGAGTGCAATGGCACAATCTCAGCTCACTGCAAGCTCCGCCTCCTGGGTTCGAGCGATTCTCCTGCCACAGCCTCCCAAGTAGCTGGGATAACAGGCCCACACCACCACGCCCAGCTAATTTTTGTGTTTTTAGTAGAGACAGGGTTTCACCATGCTGGTCAGTCTGGTCTCGAACTCCTGACCTCAGGTGATCCACCGGCCTTGGCCTCCCAAAGTGCTGGGGTTATAGGCGTGAGCCACCACTCCTGGCCAAATGTTTCTGGTTTCTTTTGTTTTTCTTTTCTGATTTAGAGACCGTACTCATCTGAGGCCTGCCACACTAAAGACCCTGGAACAGCAAACTAAGACAGACATGGAGTCCATTGAACTTGTCCATTCCCTGCTCCTTCCCCAGGGGTTGTGTGTTTTGAGAGCCCTTAGATAAACTGGAGTTTAGAACCAGAGCGGCCAGCAACCCTGCCCTAACAGGAAATGAAGGGGGGTTGGACATAGGTGTTTACAGTGTGCCTTTCATGGGATACCCTTTACCTAGCAGATGGCCTAATGTCTAGTTACCCAACCCACGACCGCAAGGGTCCCTCATGTGGGAAACTTGTTTATACTGGCAGACGACTTCTGGCTTATGATCCAGTTTATGCCTCCATCACTCTAGCATTGGGATCCTGACCTTGTGTTCTCCCCAACATCATGGGAAAAACCCAGCCTGGGGCAGCCTGTCCCTGGGTCTCATGAGGCAGGAATGAAGAGTCAGATAGAAAGAAAGGGTTGGGAGAGAGGGAGAGAGCACACGTGCATGGCAATAAGCAGCATGTATAAAGGAATAGGATGTGGGTGACTCTCAGTTCTTGGGCAAACGCCTGAGTGGTTTTTTTAAAGGAAGCGGTGGGAAAGTGGGGAGTCCAGTCTGCTAGGTGGTAGAGAGGACTCTAAGTTCTTATTTCTGGCTACCAGCTTGAGCCATTTGGGTGTGGGTGTAGTGTAGGACTGAAACTTGTATCAAGGGTGTCTGAGACCTGATTTTGATTTTGGTATGAGACAGTTAAACTTGTATTCAAAATGGATGCCGAGATAACCTAAAATGGTAAAAAGTCACTATTTTGCAGCATTTGGAAACCATAATCCCTTGGCAAAAAAACAAAATAATAATTTTATAAAGGAACACACAAAATAGCAGTGACCTTATGTAATAAGACATGACTGGCTTAGTAAGAACTGAGCTTAGACACCACTGGGAAGAGTTAAATGCCATTTTTTTCCCAACGTATCCGTGGGCACTTGGGCCTCCCTTCTGTCTTTGCATCATTAACTTATGTAGTTATGGGATTTATTAAGTAAAGGAGGATCTTCTTTTGGGAAAAGAGAATTAGGATCTTGACTTCTCCCGCCACTTGCCCCACTTTGAAGTTTAAGAACATAAATGTGTGTTGATGGACTGGGGTGGCTCTGATTGAGATCAGAGTGAAGGAGTTAACTATGGTACCTTCAAAAGGAGAGAGTCTGGACCCAGAAGCAACCTACTCCATCCAAGTAGGTCTTAGAGGAAATGAGTACAGTATATGCAAATAGAAAAAAATAGCCCCTTAACTGTGTAAAATGTAGGTGTTGAGGACTGACAGTCCTAAATTGGATTTGTGGTGGTGTGTCTTTTGGCATGTTGCCTACTTCTGTCTAAGTCTCATCTATGAAGAGGACATATAATAATAATATGCATAACTCCTAATATTTAAATGAGGAATAAATATGAAACAATTGATGTAAAGTACTGAGTGCTATATGTAGCACATAATAAATGCTCAACAAATGTTATATATAAAACTACTAATCACACATATATCACTAAAGAGCTGAATCACTTGGGATTTTGGCATTTTCAATATGGGACATTCCTAGATGACTTGAATACTGAGGTCTTTATTATATCTTGGAGGATTCATCTTCATCTGGGAGATCTGGTCAATTCTTGCAGCTGGCAGTGAAAACAAGAGAGTACTAGGAGAGTTAGAGAAAGGTGTCCAGCTGGGCTCCATCTCTGCAGCCCTGCAGAGCTTTGACGTGGTTGTCTAATCACCACCACCAGGTGTGAAATGGTGGAGTGGGAAGCCTAGGAGACCAGCAGGTGGGGCCATCCCAAGAAAGTGTGGGGAGGTCCCCAGATAGCCATGGAGTGCAGCCCCTCTAGTGTTGAGTGAGTTTCTGCTCTCCCAGCAGGGGGCAGCAAGTGACGAGGACAGCCATTTAACTCAGGGGAATCACAGTCACTTGGGAAGAGAAACCCTAGGTAAACAGCAAATTTCTTATTAATTTGTGATGTAGTGATTCAGAGTGATTTCAATATTAAAGTAAATGTGACTGTATTTTGCAGTCACATGCTGGCAGGGCCAGAGCCTGTGGGTAATAATAAACATATTATTGTCAATCAATGTTAACAAAAGACTTGGGCAAATCACAGCAGAATGAATGCAGATTGCAAAATAAACACATGAAAGTATTTCAGCCTCACCAGTACAAAAAATGTAAATTTAAACAAGGTAGCATTTTTAATCTGCCAAACTATCAAAACATTTTTAAAAATAATAACTTCTGACTAGTTTCGAAAAAATTTTATGCTTTGGATCCTGTTTGTACATCATCTTATTTAGTCCTAATAGTAGTAAGGACCAATCTCATTTTATGACTGAAGAAACAATCTCCAAGAACTTGAATGATATAAAGATGTCAATTTGAGGCCGGGCACGGTGGCTCACGCCTGTAATCCCAGCACTTTGGGAGGCCGAGGCGGATCCGCCTGAGGTTGGGAGTTTGAGACCAGCCTGGCCAGCATGGTGAAACCCCGTCTCTACTAAAGAAAAAAAAAAAAAAAGAAATTAGCCGGGCGTGGTGGCGGGCGCCTGTAATCCCAGCTACTCGGGAAGCTGAGGCGGGAGAATCGCTTGAACCTGGGAGGAGGAGGTTGCAGTGAGCTGAGATCTCGCCATTGCACTCCAGCCTGGGCAACAGGGCGAGACTCCGTCTCAAAAAAAAGATGTCAATTTGAATATACATGTTAACCTCTTCTTTATCCTGAGAAGCTACTGAAATGATAAATAATTATTTGTTGTTGAAGGCTGTCTTGTGTATCGCAGGACGCTTAGCAGCATCACTGGGCTTTACCCACTAGACACCAGTAGCAACCCCAACTCAGTTGTGGTAACCGAAAATTATCTGCAGTATGCCAGATGTTCCCTGGGGGACAAATTCACCATGAGTTGAGAATCACTGGGATATGGGCTATCTGAGAGTGAGAAATTTCAACAGAATTCTTGCAAACTGGTGTTTGAAAGAGTAGGCTGGAAGAAACCACAGCTTGATGTGCCCACAGAGCCACCGTAGGGTGCAGACAGGATGACAGCTGGCTGGCCCGCAGCACCTCAAGGCTCAGAAACTTCCGGCACCAAAAGGCAGAGTCAGAGAATTAAAAATTAGATTAATTAGAATTCTGTTTAGATAATAATTTGATTCCTGGTCCATCTTAAAACATGAGTATGAAGAACTTTGGCAGGAAGATCTTTAGGAAAATGGGAGACTTAAAAGAATACTTGATGTAATGGTGCCAAATGTGAACTATAAGGAGAACAATGCAAGAAGAAAAGCACAATTAAAAATGCCAGCCTAAAGAAAAAGAGACAGAGAAGTCAATGCATAATATTAATATACAACGTGTTGAATAATATTTGTGCAGTTACAACAATTATTATTTTGTTAATTATAACATAACAAATATATTAATGGTAATTATAACAAGATATTATTGTTATATTACTTAATAATTGTAGATTTATTATTGCTTTGCTTAAACACAGCGATATAAGTTTATTGGGAGGATGTGAGAAGAAAAGAGTGAGGAAGTGTGGAGTTGATGTAAATTAGCTAAGTCCTAATCTTTTGCAGCAGTAAATGAATAGATAATGTCTAAAATTTTGAAATTATGAAATAAACATATTATTGTAAATACCTAAAATAATCTAAAAACATTAAGAGTAGTGGCATCTGGGCTGTGAACAGGAGGGCAGAGCACGGTAGGCCAGGGGACTGGTGTCTTTTATTATGTCTTTTGAGAATACTGATTTTTAAAATAATCTATGTTATTTTGATAAAAAATTTATAATATCTAGAGCTGTTGAAACTGTAATGAGAGGAACACTCTCATTTGTTGCTAGTAGAAAAGAGTGTCTTGAAAGAACTTTTCTGAAAAATAGTGTAACAGCTTCTATCAAGAGCCTTAAAATATTCATAGCCTCCAGGAATGCATCCTTAGGAAAAAACTAGAAATGTGGGCCAAAACTTATATAAAAAGCTGAATATCATGTTATTTGTAACAGCAAAAAGTTGGAAACAACTTAAATATCCAGCAGTTGGGGAGTGGCCAAATGAATGGGTAGCTATACACCTTTAAATATGTGTACGAAGAACTTTATGTGGAGACAGGCTTACAAAATGAGAAGTAGAAAAAAAGCAGGGTATACAACTGCTTCAAAGTCCTTAACTGTGTTAAAACACGGATGTGCAGAAATAGAACTAGAAGGGAATGTACTACCATGTTAACACTGGCTATCTCTGGGATTTGGGTAAATTTTATTTTCTTCTCATTTTTTTCTCAGTTTTCTAATTTTTCATCAGTCAGTATGTATTAATTTTATAAGCAGAAAGAACATTAATGTTACTATTTTAAAAGAAAAAGTAATAATCTTGAGTACAAAATATTTTGCCACAAAACAAAACCTGTCGCTGTGTGGCCAAGGCCTGGAGGGTGAGGGGGGAAGGTTGCTGTTACCTTTTTCAGGCCTTCCTGGAACCCATAAAGGTTGATTTCCCACTTTACAGTCAGCTAGAGACTAGGACTGGAACAAAAGACTAATGGAGGGTTTCACTTTGCATAATTAGTTTAGTTCATCAAGGCCTTGGAACATGCATTCATTTTCACCCCCAGTCTAATGGAGGCAGTGACGTTTGTTGTCATTTTCATGTGTCTGAATCTGTGGAGCTGGAATTCTGAGACTCTTTCCTTAAGTTTCAGGTAGCAAAACAACAGATGACTGATGATGCTTTCTTTTATAGTGGTTTTGGCCAATAAGCGAGACTTAACAAGATATGGATAAAAAACTACAAATAAGACATTATTATTTGAGAGTCATTTTTGGGGGTTCTTTTCCTAATAAAATGTACTTTTTCACCAAAATGCCAAATCAAAAGATTCTATCACTTATTAATAGTACAAAATGGAACAGTGGTTCTTAGACTTCAGAGTTGTTAATCATCTGAGAAATGTGTTTAAGATGCAGAGTACTTAGCCCAATCCCCAAAGACTCTGATGCATACAGTCTAGGGTAAGCTCATGTTTTTGCATTTTCAACAAATACCATAAGTTGATTTTGATGCTTGTGTTTCTTGGACCAATCTTTGATAGTTATAGAGTAAGATTTGAAGAAGTCTGTACCCATGGAAGTAAATTAAATACCTTCCAAACTAAAAATGATTTGTTATTAATCACGGCTTAATCGAACTAGTTTTCTTTAATTTATGAATAAATACTTAAACTTTCAGTAAAAGATTGGTAGGTTAAACATGGGGAATTTAAGGAATAGTTATCTTTATCCCATCTGGAACTCCAATAAAATGACAATTTTTGTAAAAGTCATAAATCCACAAGAACAAAGAAAACATGAGAAAAGATGACCCTAGAAAAAGGATGTCAACAAAAGCTTGGAAGTCTTAAAGCGGGTAGACAAATGCTGAATGATATAGCAGCATGGAGGAAACTCCATGTGCAATAGGGGAAGCTATAATGGGAAGCCAATTTGCTCAAGTGAGCCTCATAGAGACTCACAGATTAGAGGCACCAGAAACTTAGGGATAAGAGGTGGAGATAAAAAGAGGAGCATCGATTCACAGTCCGTGTAAGCAGCAAACAGACCCCAGGTCCCTTCCTTCACCCCACTAGGAAACAAAAACTTATGCTTAAGAAATTGACAAAGAGACTCCAAACTCAGAGATAACAGGCCAAGGAAGGGTGAATGTGCCAGTTATCTGTTTATACTGGAGCTGGATCCTGTGAGGATTTTTCCCTTGCTGATTGGTTCAATGTTGGGCTTTGTTAATAGAATGTGTTTGATATAGTACAAAGGTTTGAAAATGGGGACCGAGTGAAAAAGTTTATATTTAAAGGTGACATCCAGTCTCCTTCCTTTCTCAATTCGCAGAACATTCGCTTCCAGAATTATATCTCCCAGGCAGAAGGATTCCTCTATGGAGAAACCAAGAGAAAAGACCTGACACTTTGAGGCTCCCCAGCAAAATGGCCAGGCTCCTACCTTATAGCACTGCAGTGAAGCCCATTGGATAGCAAGCTCCACCTGTGCACACAATCAGCTCTTTAGTTCCTTGTTGATAAATGTAAATGGATAACTAAGAATCACAAGGGATCTGAGGAAAGTGTTCGCCATGAAAGACAATTTTAGTAACAAAATTTTAGTAACAGAGAAGTGGAGCAGGGTGAATACCCTGGGCTTAGTATCATGTGAGACGTCAGAAGATGTTACATCCGTAAGACGAAACCAGAAAAATATAAAATAAACATTCAAAAAATTAAAAAATACTATGGGAAATGTAAAAATATCATGAAATAAAAATTCAGCAGAATATTGGAAAATGTTGAAGAAATCTTCAGAAAGTAACCAAAAAGATCAAGATATGAAAAAAAGCAGAAAAAATGCAAAACTTAGAGAATCAATGCAAGAAGTAAAACATTATACTAGTAGGCATTTTAGAAAAAGTTAACAGATAAAATGGAATAATAAATTTTTCAAGAAAGTAATACAAGAAAATCTTGACCTGAAAGATCTGAGTCTCCCAATTGAAAAGGACTTTCTGAGTTCCCAGAACTATAACACCAAGGCACATCATTGTGAAATTTTATAGTTGGAAAAAGAGAAGATCCTAAAATCAGAAATCCTATAGGCTAACAAGCAGCAAGCTCAGAATCTAGAGTAAAGTGGAGGAATGTCTTCACAATTCTAAGGAGAAATGATTGGCAAACTGGAATCGTATACCCAGCCAAACTGTCAATCAAGTGTAAGGGTAGTAGCATAAACACATTCCTAGATATGCAAGTCTCAAACATTTCACTCCCTTATAACATTTCTAGGAGGCCATTAGAGGATGTGCTCCATCAAATGAAGAAATGGCAGAATATGAGAGCTACAGAACAAGGCATTCAACACAGAAGCAAAGCAGAGATATTCCCAGGATGACACATTTATAGCAGAAGAGTCAGAGAACTCTGAAAGGTGTATCTTAAAAAAAAGAAATGAATATGATAAATTACCTTTTGTGTTTGTGTCACTGAGAGAAATTTTAAAAGTTTGACAGAGTTTAGAGGAAGAGTTGGTGACAGAACAAATAAAAATATAAAAAAATTATCTTCTGGACATTTTAAAAAGTAACTTAAGAAAGGAAATTAATCACGGTACATTTTGTGGCTCAGCTGTGAAGAGTAGGTGGGCAAAATAATGTAAACACTGAATGTTTATTTAACCAAAAATCATGCCAAAAACCACTGTGTGAGAATGGAGGAAGAGAAAAGTTCACATGGGTGTGTTGGGGGACTGGTTGTAAGATAGTTAAATCCTCATTTTTTATAGGAGAAACATGATAAATAATGTCAAAAGTTTAAGTAAAAGCATATGTATCAATATAAATAATATAAATATCAGAAGAAAAGTCTAAAAGTCATGAACATGGTTCTTTCTAGGGAGTAAAATTGAAGGTATGGGGAAGAGATAAACAAGAGGCTATCCTTTTTTATTGTAAGCCTTTGAGTACTTGCTGAATTTTAATACCCTGCACAAGTATTATGTGAATCAACAATTAAATATGAAAGAAAATGTCAATGACTTGAAATTCATCACTATTACGTTTGCTATTTTTGAGGCAGTGTACTGGGGCCCCCAAGACTACCCCCAGGTTTGATGATTTGCTACGAAGACTCAGCATATAGTTGTACTCATGCTATCATTTATTACAGCAAAAGGATGAAAAGTAAAATCAGCAGAGGGAAAAGGAGCAAAGTTCAGAGGAAAGCAGGCATGATCTTCTGAGAGTCTCCCAGTAGAGTCACACAAGGGACATCTAATTCCTCCAGCAGTGACTTGTAACAACACATGTGAAATGTTGTCTACTAGGGATGCTCATTAGAGACCCAGTGTTCAAGATTTTTACTGGAGGCTGGTCATGTAGACAGTCTATGCCTAACAAGTAGGAAAATTCCAGACTCCCAGAAGAAAATCAGATGTTCAGCATAGCAAACAGTTTAGGCACAGTGAGCCACTCTTGTCATTTAAGAAAAGTTTTATATCAGTCTAGGGAACTGTTTACAATTCAAATTCCCAGATGCCAACCAATGGCCAACCTTGCAAAGTAGGTCATTCCAAGGATGGCAGTCACGGGCCTTGCCCAGAGTATTAACATTCAGCAGGTACTCAGAGGCTTTCCACACAGGCATTGAAAGTCTTTGCAAATTTCCTTACAATGTATCAGAAAAGTGCTGAGTGACCTGGAAAGACCCTTGCCTGGACTTGCCATCAGTCATAAGATCTGAGTTCAAATCTCACAGGGGGTCCTTTACTCTTCATGTGACCCTGGCCAAGAAAAGGAGACTCTGAGACTTACTTTTCCTTAGGAGTAATGAAAAGTTTATTTTTATTTATTTATTTATTTATTTATTTACTTTTTCTGAGACGAAGTCTTGCTCTGTTGCCCAGACTGGAGTGCAGTGGCACGATCTCGGCTCACTGCAACCTCTGCCTCCTGGATTCAAACAATTCACCTGCCTCAGCCTCCCAAGTAACTGGGATTACGGGCCCACGCCACCAAGCGTGACTAATTTCTGTATTTTTTTTTTTTAGTAGAGATGGGGTTTCACCATGTTGGCCAGGCTGGTCTCGAACTCCTGACCTGGTGATCCTCCCACCTCAGCCTCCCAAAGTGCTGGGATTACAGGCATGAGCCACCACGCCCGGCAGAGTAGTGAAAAGCTTAAAGCATATTATATACCAAAGTGGGTGCTCAGGAAATGATTTTGTAGAAATCATTTAGTGATTTTTGCCTACTGAGTTTTCTCCCTTTTAGACTTCTGCCTTTACATCTCACTCAGCTTCCTGGGCACTGCTTTTGCATTAAAGTAAATTGTGTTCTACTCCAAGCAGTTTTTAAGCATTTCTTCACGTACTTTATCTTAGCCACATAGAAATTCCTGCTACTCTTCATGTGTGATTATCGGCAAGAGGCCATGCAGCTTCCCTGGCTCTGGGTAAAACCCTTTGATGGGTCCCTTACCAAGAGAAACCACATCAGTGTAATCAGCATTGAGTGGGTTCCCCAGTGGGTGACTCCCAGTGGCTTTACTCCATAGATATGCCTTTGGTTTGCTTTTGTTCACAGTGACACCGTCCAGGGCTGAAGGCTGAAGAATGATTCCCCTAGTTTCACCTTTCCTCACAATGCCTGCATTGCAGCCTCCATGAATAATTCTATACAAAATTAGGGAGGCTGTTTACTCAGTTATCATTGTTCACTCGTAACTCAAGACAAATCCTTGGCCCTGTGGCTTATGGCTCACGCTCCAACTAGTCCTAGAAGGCTGTTTACTATATCATAGAATTGTCCTGAATACAAAATTGTACTGAATAGAATAGAATTGAATTGAATTGTCCTGAATACAGAATTGTACTGAATACAACAGTGTCCTAGCTAAAGCAAATGTCATTTTATCATGCAGTTTTTGAACTCTGCAGATCTACAATTAATTACAATTATTTACACACAGAGAGAGTGCCCCCGCTACCATGATGATATCCTAGAATTCTAGAACCCCAAACACCTCATAACTAAAGTTTATTCCACTGGTTTTAACATTTTTTTCTTAGCAATAAATAAATTTTATCAACTCTAAAATCTTGGACAGATTCCCTAATATTTTACTGGTTTGTTATTTCAAGTGTATGCCATTTATTTATTTTGAAGTCTATCAGTTAAAAATGAGGCTGTTTTGATGAGCACAATAACTTTAAGTCAGAGGTTGTGGATAACAGTTTGAGTCTCATGTTAGCCAGTTGATTTCTGTGTTTGGTTTTGAAGGTATAACATTGAGAAAATCCTAATTATGATGAATAGAAGTTAACAAACACATGTTTTTAAAGGATAGCTTGCTTAAAAATCTAACAATTCTCTTATTAATTACTCTAGAGTCTCAAAAGGGGAATAGTAGAGTGTCTTCTGTTTCAAAGTCGAATCATTAGGAAACTCTAATAACTGCTGTCATTCCTTAATTGGTTAGCATTCTATGTGGAGAGTATGAATAAATTGATTTCTCAGATAATAAATCTCCACTATTTGGAAGAAAATACTTATCAGTTATCCAGTAAGTTTTTATATTAGGATATTTTGATCTATGACATTTTACAAAGTTTCATGTAACTTCTTGTTTCTGATAGAGGCATATTCAGTTTTAAAAACAGTAAATCTAACTTTGGTTTTCATTTCGATTTCACACGTTTCAGTTTTATCTCTGACACTAGCTGCTGTCGTTAGTCTGGTAACATCGTTGCTGTATGTTGCCACAATGATTTTATTGAATTTATTAAACTATTAGTAAAATATGCAAGTTTGCACAATCATAGTGCAGACATATTTAGCTAAAGGGATCTCTCTCTTTTTTTTTTTTTCGGAGACAGGGTCTTGCTCTGTCTCCTGGGTTTGAGTGCAGTGATGTGATCACGGCTCACTGTAGCTTCAACCTGCTGGGCTCAGGTCATCTTCCCACCGCATCCTCCCAAGTAGCTAGTACTGCAGGCACTCGCCACTGCGCCCGGGTAATTTTTTTATTTTTTGTAGAGACGTTGTCTCACTGTACTGCCCAGGCTGGTCTCAAACTCCTGGGCCCAAGCGATCCTCCTGCATTGGTCTCCCAAAGCGCTGAAATTACAGGCCTGAGCCTGCACTTCCAGCCTGAAGGGATGTGTTTATCAGCTTCCCCAAAGTGATTTCTTGTCTCATTTAAGTTATTGGTACGTACATCCTGTCTCAAATTTCGCTTTTGAAAACTAAGATTTGGAACTCAGTCCACAGCATTATAAAGAATTCTGAATAATCCACGGTTTACACCATGATCAGGGCAGACAATTTGTGTGGAATTACCCAATACTTGGAAGATTCTGGCATCTTCTTAGAAGTTCCTGCTTGTCCCTGCTGGGCACAGTGATTCACTGAACATGTTTTAGCATCAGCCGTTTGTATGTGCTGTGACTTGTATAGTTTTTTCTTTTACTTATTGTGCTCTCAGTACACATGGCACTGTTATTTTGCCAGTTTATTTGACGCAGTATTAAAATCGATCTCAACAATTAGAAACATCTTCTCCTGTTATGTAATGCATCTTTCTTGTTTGTACCTGCAAGATCCCGTTACATAAGAACAAGCAAAAAGGTGAGGCCTATGGCACGACTCCAAACTGTGACCATTTGCACTTAGAACTAGAAACAGATTGACAATACTCAAATATCACACTCCAGGATGTCTTTGAGTCTCAGGCTTATAATAATGGAGACATTGTCACTCTTGTAAGCATCTGAAAGGAGTGCTTGGTGGAGAAATTACTAAGAATGTTCTCGGAAATCTTGGGGTCTACTTCCTCCAAGAAGTCAGAAACAGGATGCAGTGGACTTTCAATGAGTCATTAATTTGACATTCATTGGCCCTTTTGTTGGCAGAATTTGGGGAAAAAAATGGGTTTATTTTCGTGGCGCCACTAGGACTAATTCTAGGGATGGCACAAAATGCGGGACAGCTGCTTAGGAGTGCGGGGCGGCGTAATCCTGCGCCCTCTGTTTACCAGTGTGAAAGGAGAAGGTGGTGCGCAACGGTGATGCCAATAGGCCCTCGAGGGATTTGAATTGACCCTCAGTCCTTGTGTCTGAAATCCATCATTCTACATAGACACAGGGACTTGAGCTGAATGAATAATTAGTATGGTTTAGGGAATTCAATGCAACAAGTATTTATTGAGTGCACTGTGAACACACAGTGTTCAGGACCAGGTGCTGGAAGAGGAGGGAAAGGAGGGGGGGAGAAAACATGCAACGTTTTGTGAAATGGTTCTCGTCCCCAGAAGCTTTCAGTAGTGGAAGAGAAACGAAATACACTTAGGAAATAGTGAGAAAATAGGACAATGTCTAAATTTTAAAACCACAGACTGAATATAGATCAGACTTGTGGCCTCAGCATGGGACATGGGTCGGATGGGTACTGGAGAGGCACAGAGACCATCAAAAGGCAGCTAGCTGGCCCAGGGAGAGATGATGAGGGTCTGCGTTAGGGCTGAGGCAGAGGAAAGGACAGAACAATGACGCTGATGCAGTGCCAGCAGGGGTAGTGACTGATATGTTAAAAGCAAACTCTTACTTTGACAGTATAGATTTCTCCAGATGTTTCTGAAAACATATTTTTGTAGGAGTGAAATGCTAAGGTCCTTTTCAGTTCTAAAACAACCTGTTTGTTCTAAGCCAATTTCAATGTCACCGACTCTACCAAACGTTCTGTAAGTAAAATCAAATATAGGACTTCTCATTAGGATAGTTCCAAAATGATGGTATTATCACAGAAAATAAATTTAAATCTTCCTGACATTTATACTTAAGCTGAATACACTTATGTGTACAGAATAGAAATATGGAGAAGAATAAGAATAAAGGAGATAATATTTTAGTGATTAAATTTATCTTCTCAACATAAACCCTATTTCTAAAAAATGTTTCAGGAAAACATTACTTGTGTTTTTAGGGGTCTCCTCCTAGTCCAGATGAAAGGAAGATTATGCATTCATACTCTTTGGAAGTTGGAGACATAGGATTATCTTTGAGCTATGCTGTGAGCCAAAGTGGCCTGTGTCACTTCCAGGAGGAGGCTTTTCAGAGCGGGCACATGATTCCCCAGCCTCCCCTTCTCCTGCCACACTCACCAAGGAGACCACAAGCTCAGATGGAGCCTCCACAGCCTGGATGGTGGACGCAGCTTGTGAGGACAGTTGCTCTGAAAGTCACCCCGGAACTCAATGGATGTTGCCTGAGTAAAAAGCAACTTTTGCTGTGTTAAGTCACGAGATTTTGGGGTTGTTTGTTACCACAGTGTAGTCTATCCTATCTTGATTAGATTGGATAGGTGGTTGATTTTTCCTTCAATTTTTAATGAAAATAATTTTGAATCTGGGTTAGTTAGTTCATTGGTTAGAGAATAGTTCTAAGAAGGCCAAAGCACAGGTTAATCTTAGGCAGATCAGTTAGCTCCACGGAGAGAAAAGCTGTTTCAGGAACCTATGAGTCTCAGACCTTGTGTCCCTTCTCAGAGCCCCTTGATTGCCTGCCACACTGATGGCAGCATCACCAGCCCCAAACTGCTGGCACTCTACCAAGATCCCCAGGCATGGTTTTCACATCTCACATACCAAGACTTATTTGCACCAAGTCTCATTTTCACTTCTGGAACTTGAATGAAATGATACACCATGAAGCTTGAACTTGCTTTCTGACAGCCTCTGAGCACCTGGTGATGCCACTCAGATGCAGTGGAATGATTTCTGCATGGGGTAAATCTTGACCATTGGGCAGCAGGAGATGGCCAGAGTGAAGAAGAAACAATTTTCTCTTCCTTTCTGCCTTCAATACAATACACAGAGGCCTGGATTTTTCTTGTAACATTTCCAGAGGACATCCTACCTGAGCAGTCTGCTGTTTTCTTTATGGCTTGAAAGATTTGCACACCTTGGTGATGCATCACATCATATGACTTCTCATTTTTTTGGTCTCATCTCCTTTTTCCTCACCCTTAACACCCTGGACTTGCACCTTCCAAAAAGGTGGCAGCACCTTCATCCTTCTTTGGGCTCTATAGAGATCCAGAATGAAGATGATGAATCACAGATTTCACCCCAAACTCTGAACAACGAGTTCACAAAATTAAGGCAGGGGATCTACACAAGGGACATAAATTAGAAAAGTTGGACAGTTGAAGAAGCCCCTTATATTTTGTTTCATCTTCCATCTCTGACTTCCACTTGTATATTTTTGCTTCTTTCTGAAATGAATGCATTTCAGAAGTTTCTATAGTAAGAAGTTCTCAGGGTTTTGTTTTTTTTTTCTGGTCAGAAGAATGTCTTCATTTTTTTCTTTTTTCTTAAAAAATAATTTTTTGCTGGGTACAGTTCTAAGTTGACAGCTATTTTCTGTTAGCAGTTTGAAGATCTTGTTCTATTGTCTTCTGGTTTACATTCTTGCTGTTGGTAAGTCCTCTGACAGTCGTTAACAGGTAACCTTCTTTTAGCCTCTCACTACTTTTACATTCTTTTTGTCTTTGGTGTTCTGCAGTTTTACTACAGGGTGTCTAGGTATAGATTATTTTTTATTTATCTTGCTAAGCATTTATTAACACTTCCTTGATCTAAGGAATTTGAAAATTCGTATGTACAATCTTTTTGAGTAATACCTCTCCTCTGATAGGAGGAGATTCTTTGCTGTTTTTTTTTTTTTTTGTCTTTAAGGAGCAGAATTTTGTTGATACATTATATTGGTACATATTTATGGGGCACAGGTAAGATTTTGTTACATTCATGGAATCTGTAATGACCAAGTCAGGGTATTTAGGGTATCAGTCACCCAAGTATTTATCATTTCTATATGTTGGGTACATTTCAAGTCTTCTAGCTATTTGAAAAATACAATACACTGTTGTTAACTTTAGTCACTCTGCTATCAGAGAGATTCATTAGAATTTATTCCTTCTCTCTAACTGTATCTTTGTACCCATTAAGCAGCTTCAGGAGGAGATCCTTTGAAACCAACACTCCTGGTCTCTCTCTGTCTATTCTCTCTCCTCCCTGGGGTGAGGAGATGACCTATTCAACAGTGAGGTTGGGGAGGGTATCTGAGCATGCTCAGCTAAGTCTGCGGTCCTCTTCCTCTTTGGGAGTTGGCTGCAGGGCGTACACTTTTCTCTGTGTTCCTCTTTGCTTAAGGTTTTCAGGGCACATCCTATGGAGGATGGGAGACAGGGGATGGGGCTTCAGTTGTCAAGTGCTGCCAGTGATGGGTTGGGGAAATTTGCTGAATTCTGAAGTTCAGTGTTAGGAAGGCTACAATTAATGCCTATTTATTCACTAGTTACATCAGTAATAAACCTGGCATTTTTATCTCCATCTGCCCAAATCTAAAGTACCTTTAAAAAAATAAGCTTTTAATTTTTTTTCTGAGACAGGATCTTCCTCTGCCACCCACACTGGAGTACAGTGGCACTATCACAGCTCACTGTGGCCTTGATCTCCCGAACTCAAGCGATCCTCCCACCTCAGCCTCCCAAGTAGCTGGAACTACAGGCCTGCACCATTATGCCTGGCTAATTTTTTTTTTTTTTTTTTTTTTTTTTTTACTTTTAGTAGAGACAATGTCTTGCTATGTTGCCCAGGCTGGTCTCAAAATCCTGAGCTCAAGCAATCCTTCAGCCTCAGCTGCCCAAAGAACTGGGATTATAGACGTGAGCCACTACACCTGGCCAATGTGCATTTTTAATAGGTTCCAAACATGGTGGAGAATGGAGTGTCATTTATTGACCATCCTCATAGACTCCAGTATCCCTGAGCCCTTCCAGTCTCTTATTTTGGAATTCTAATTAAGATGTCAGACATTCTGTTTCCCATGTCTGTTAACTTCCATTTTATATCTCTCATATTTCTGTCTCTACCTTTTTTCATTCTGGGCAAATGTATTTCAGTTTCCTAAATCTCTCTTTAGCCATGTAGAATCTATTGTATAATCCTTCCTTTTTTGATGATATCTGTTTTCTTGCTCATGTTTTCCATTTCTTTTTTCCCCTTTCTTTTAACACTTTAAACTATCTGATGTTGTAGATTAGCAGTCCCCAAACTTTTTGGCACCAGGGACTGGTTTTGTGGAAGACAATCTTTCCACAGACAGGGCAGTTGGGGCGGGGTGATGGTTTCAGGATGATTCAAGTGCGTTATATTTATTGTGCACCTTATTTCTATTATTATTACATTGTAATATATAATGAAACAAATTATACATCTCATCATAATGTAGAATCAGTGGGAGCCCTGAGCTTGTTTTTCTGCAATGAGACAGTCCCATCTGGGGGTGATGGGAGACAGTGACAGATCAACAGGCATTAGATTCTTATAAGGAGCAGACAGCCTAGATCCCTCGCGTTCACAGTTCACAACAGGGCTCGCCCTCCTATGAGAATCTAATGCTACTGCTGATCTGACAGGAGGCAGAACTCAGGTGGTAATGCTCATTCACCTGCTGGTTACCTCTTGCTGTGCAGTGGCCCAAGTGTTGGGGACCCCTATCATAGGTGACCTATTTTGATTTCTTTTTTTTGAGACAGAGTCTCACTCTGTCACCCAGGCTGGAGTGCAATGGCAACATGTTGGCTCACTGCAACCTTTTTCTCCTGGGCTCAAGCAATTCTCCTGCCTCAGCCTCCTGAGTGGCTGGGATTACAGGCACCCACCACCATGCCCAGCTAATTTTTGTATTTTTAGTAGAGATGGGGTTTCACCATGTTGGCCAGGATGGTCTCAAACTCCTGACCTCAGGTGATCTGCCCACCTCGGCCTCCCAAAGTGCTGGGATTACAGGCGTGAGCCACTGCACCTGACCATTTGATTATTTTTTTATTGACTCTTGCCTAGGGATGTCTTGTTTTCTTAGGCCTTTTACAATTTCATGAGGTGATCTTAAATTTGGCTGGACTTCATTTGTGGGATTCCTGAGAGACCTGGATTAAGAATATGCCTTCTAGAGGCAATTGATGTTTGCTTCTACCTGTCACCATGCATATTACAAACCTGGAGGCACCTCAGTAAAATTTTCAGCTTATACCCTCTTGAGCTACAAAGATAATGCAAAACCCAGCCACAAATTCAGTTTTTTTTTGTTTTTTTTTTTTGTTTTTTTTTTTTTTTAGATGGTGTCTCATTCTTGTTGCCCAGGCTGGAGTGCAGTCACATGATCTCAGCTCACTGCAACCTCTGCCTCCCGGGTTCAAGTGATTCTTCTGCCTCAGCCTCCCGAGTATCTGGGATTACAGGCACCAACCACCACGCCCGGGTAATTTTTTGTATTTTTAGTAGAGACAGGGTTTCGCCATGTTGGCCAGCCTCGTCTCGAACTTCCGACCTCAGGTGATCTGCCTGCCTCAGCCTCCCAAAGTGCTGGGATTACAGGCGTAAGCCACCACGCCTGGCCCACAAATTCAGTTTTAGGGGAGACTTTTTTTCTAGACAGCTTCAATGCACACTGACAAAAATTCCCTCAATGTGTCCCTTCGCTTTGAGCAGTTTTCCTGTAGATACTCTTTCACTGAGGCTTTTTGACTATGTCAACATTATATGAGGGTCTCTGTTCCAACTCCTACCTTTCTAAGGGCCTGAGGCTTTAACTTTACTCCTTACACCATTAAACCCCAAAGTCTGGGTTACAAACATTAGAACATTTCCAAAGGATGTCTACAGCTTCAGAGTCAGCTCTTCACTAAGTTTTCCAGCTTCAGTTTCATTTTGGTATCATTTCACTACCATTTTTGTGAAGATTTTGCCTTTCAGAGGAGTTTTGACATATTTTATTCAGCATTTCTAAATGTCTTACAGTGGGATATTTTCTCAGGCTCTTTTGTTCATGATATTGCCCAAAACAGAAATCTCCTATGTGCTAAACAAATTGAACACAGAAAAATAAAATGGATTGATGTAGCACCATGGCACCTGGTATAGTGGAGTTCTGTCAGGCTTTGTGGCCACCCTGCATTGTTTCAACATCTTATGTTTGGGCCTCTTCCCACATTACGGACTTGCACTTTCCAAGTCGGAAGTCAGGATTCATTTCTCCAGATTCCAGTGCAGATGTAGGGGGCAGGCATGCCTCCTAGACTCTGCCCATCGGGTGGACCAAGTACATTAGAGCTGATGTATCCAAGCCTTATATTGATAAGACTTACATTTGGAAAGAAGCAACAGGAAGAGCAGGAACACATGGGACCCATGTTTTGGCAGACAGAGTGACAGTGTGTCTGCTTTTCTAGAGAGCAGAGGCAGAGATTCTGATGTACAGTGCCCAGCATCACCAGTGGGCTCTGCAGTGCTGCTCTGTGTGGTCTTTGCAGATTCAGTCCTATGATGAGTGATACACTTGACTGTGTAGCTTCCAGTCCTGACCTTCTGGACTTCCCAGGGAGTGTGTGATACCTAACATCCCATAGTATAGTCTCTTTCTGCTTAACCTAGCTAAGCAGGTGACTGTGTTTTCAATTATGGACTCTGACTGATAGCCTGTGGATATAGCAATGTACAGAGGTTTAATTATGACAATTAATTCCACACACTACATGCAGAAATCAGTATCATTATATATAGCCCCAGCTCACTGAAATCTGTGTGCTAATAAGGAGGTTTACAAACTCAGATTACTGAATAAATTTGGTATTATATTTAGAACAGGAAAATAATTTAGGATTCAAAAATATACGTTTCTTATCAACAATTTTGTGTGTGTGTGTGTGTGTGTGTGTGTGTGTGTGTGTGTTTCGGGTTTGGTTTGATCTCATCTGTGGTTTAGTTAAAATAAGAAATGAATATTTGGTTCCAGTTGGGATTTTATGTAAGTTCCTGCCAATGTTATTATTACAAAGGTATAAAGAGGTCAGCATTGTAGAGATAAATAATCACACTGATTTTCCACATGATATCCCATGATGCCCATGATACATAAAGACAACACATCTCATTTCCATTCCCATTTCACCTCTGCTCCCTCTGCTTGGAATTTCCTCCCCTTATGTCTCCACGAACTTAAGATTACGGCTGTCCTTTAAAGCTCCCTTTTAATGCCACTTCCTCCATCAAACCTATCTTTCATCAAAGCAGAAAGAATTAACATCTCTTTACTCTGGACTTGCAAAGCACTTCATGGGTTCTACTTAATATTTCTGTGTATGTCTGGAACTTGAGCACCACCCTCTTCTTGTGGAAGGTGGTACAGTCGAACGAGAGTGCCCCTCCAGTTGTTGATCAGTCGGCTCCCAGAGTGGCTCTCTTCATTTCCTAGGCTCTGTCATCCAGGACTGTGCTGGTGAAGGAAGGTGGGAGGTGGGGTGGAGTGGGAAGACGATCTGATCCACGTCTTCTCAGGTCAAACACACAACCAGAATCATGAAGAATATAAAAACAGCTCTTCATTTCTGCTGATCATCCAAAGCCTTCTAATCCAAATGCTTATGATCCCAGTGGTTAGTCTACTTTGTCTTTTAATTTGCTCAAGGGCACAGGCCTTGGGATCTGCCACAGAGCAACAGCTTTGAGTGGCAGGGCCCCTTCCCTGGATCTTCCTCCTCTTCCCTCCCACTACACTTATTTTAATCCTTTCTCTCCATAGCACCCACCCGAAGTCCTGATTCTTCTTGTGTCTAAACGTCGTCAGGACACCTTATCAATTACTTTCTGTTTCAACTCTTTCTCCTCTTGAAATGTGAGGTGGAGAGGAGAACTTTGGGTGCTGAAGTAGAAGAAAGGAGAAGTCCCAGGAGACTGACCATCACTTGGAATATTTAAAATTATCATAAGATCTCTCAGAAAGCAGATGTTAACCTCCTACTGATGTATCTCCTGTTATCTTATGAGAAAAGGCTGGACCTTTCCAAGACCTAGGTGTCACAACCAAAAAACCCTTCCTCTATTATTGTAGCCTTGTGAGATTTACTCTTTGGAAAGAGGAAAGGATGGTGAGCAAGAAGGAAAAAAACTCATCCTTCCATATATCACCTCTCTGGCTAGAAATTAAGCATTTTGAGAGAATGAGCTGTTTTGTACACATTTCTTAGTTCTTTGCCACAGTAGATCAACATGTATTTATTTAGTGGACAGACAAACTATAGAGGGAATCTAGCAGGAAAAATTTCATGTTCTGATGTTTGGCAGTGTATATCTGATGTCTTAGACATCAGTCCCCTGTTGTCTAGGACTTTTTTTTTTTTTTTTTTTTTTTTGAGATGGAGTCTCGCTCTGTCGCCCAGGCTGGAGTGCAGTGGCGTGATCTTGGCTCACTGCAACCTCTGCCTCCCAGGTTCACACCATTCTCCTGCCTCAGCTTCCTGAGTAGCTCAGACCACAGGCACCCGCCACCAAGCCCGGCCAATTTTTTGTATTTTTTGTAGAGACGGGGTTTCACTGTGTTAGCCAGGATGGTCTCCATCTCCTGACCTTGTGATCCACCCACCTTGGCTGGGATTACAGGCATGAGCCACCATGCCCGGCCGTCTAGGACTTTTTTTTAAGCACAGGCAAGTTCTGGCATGTCATAAATCATCAAGAACTTTACACCCACCTAAGGCACCCACTATTGTTGCCTAACAGGACACAGAAGGCCCACAACCTTTATTTGTCTGCTGCAACCCAGCAGGGCCACCCCTGGTAAGGGTGTGAAGTAAGGAAGTTTGGTCTTGGCCCTCGGGCTCCTCTGTTTGGTCCTCCAATCCCCAGGAATCTCCCCTCCCCATCTTCCCCAGTCAGCACTTTCCTATGCTCTAATATTTTTGCAAAACAGGAAAAGGTCTCATATCATATATATTTTGACTGAAATTGCTCTAGGTAAAATAACTAAATGATTCAATAAATTGTAGGTGCTTTCTTTGAGACACTGAAAAAGAGTGACAGCCTAGATGAAAGGAGATTCTAGGGCCACAGGGCTTTCTCTGAGAATGTGGAAATCGCACTGGATGCAGGAGATTCAACAGAAACTGCTTCATAAGCCCACCCAAGGCTCCCAATGCAGAGACACTGTCCCTGGTTTTCCTGCTCAGGCAACAGCAGCAGCAGGGCTGTCTGGCACATGATGGTAATGATGTGGGAAAACCTCTGCAGCTTTTGGGAGTGTTTGCCTCTAGGACTCTCAGTGGGGCTTGGAGTTTAACAACTGCTTGTGGGTGTTCAGAGTTAAATACCATTGCACTTGTCACTCATGCCCTTGTTTACCCCCAAGGCTGATAAGACTTGGGAAATCAATGTGTGTGTACACCTTAAATGAATGGTGAGTTTTCAAGGCCAGCTAGCCTAATTTTCATCCTTCTGTTTTTATTTTTTTTTATTTATTTATTTTTTTTTTTTGAGACGGAGTCTTGCTCTGTCACCCAGGCTGGAGTGCAGTGGCTTGGTCTCAGCTCACTGCAACCTCTGCCTCCTTGGTTCAAGCAATTCTCCTGCCTCAGCCTCCCAAGTAGCTGGGACTACAGGTGCATGCCACTGCACCTGGTTAATTTTTGTATTTTTAATAGAGACGGGGTTTCGCCATGCTGGACAGGCTGGTCTTGAACTCCTGATCTCAGTTGATCCACCCCCCTAGGCCTCTGAATGTGCTGGAATTACAGGCATGAGCCACCATGCCCAGCCTCATAATTTTCACCCTTCTAAAGCCAGTGCCTAACACAGTGCCTGGCACCATAGATATTTGCAGTAAAAAATGACTGAAGGAATGTATGGATGAATGAATGAGTAAATAAATAGCACATCTTAGATTTTTCTGGTCCCCTGAAAGAAGAAGTAAACAAACAAAAAATAAAGTTGAGGGGGAAGGAGGCAAGATAGCTAATGAAGAGGGCTGAAAAATTTCCTGAACACTCTAAGTGATTTTATGTGCTCATTCATGCCAACAAAAATTCAGAATTGCCTCCTACAGCCCTCTTTTCCCACATTTCAAGGTCTGGTGGTATTCGTGTGGTCCTAGGGCTTTCTCTGCACCACCTCTGTGTGTTCTGTGAGGAGGCTTTATTCCCTGGAAGCCAGCTGGGAGTGGAAGCAGATCTTAGTGAAAGATGAACACTAACTCTCTCTAATCCCATTGCAGCCCTTCCGCCATTATACATTTACTGACCAATGTCTATGGGACAGAAAGCAAATGAGTTTCTCAAAGAGCCAATAGTCTGACTCATATATGTAGCAGATCCAAGGTAGTCTTCATGATTCATGAAGATCAGGATGGATCCTAGTAAGTACAGTGAAGTGGGGGAGGCGGAGGACACATGGAATGGAAATGCAGGGGACTCGCATCTGGAATGGATTTTATAACCGTACTGTATCTAGAGAATGTACACACCCAACATAACAATACCAGTTAAGTCTCCACCTGGCCCCCTACACTGGAGTCCATTCACCAGCCTTCTCTGACTTTCTGTGCCTCAGGAAGTTGACCCCTATGGGCTGAAACACCTGCACTCCCTGACCACCTGACTTCCAGTTGGGTTGGCCAATGGGAGGCGCCAACAAGGAGGAAAGAGAAGTTGGAGTTTTCCCACACCCTTTCCTGCTCTTGTGCTCTATCTTGACTGCAGCTGTTTTTCCATGGCTGCTGCTCTCTCCAGGGGACCCCTTCTCTACAGCTGCAGCTCTCATTGGACCCCTTGTCCCTTCTGGTCTAGGAGAGCAACAGCTTCCTGCAGTTCCTAGCCTCTAGGTGCCTCAACATCCCTATTGGCTTCCTTGACCTTGCCTACACTTCCTAAGTGGTCCCTCTATTGAAGTCTCTAGTTGAGCCATCTGAGTGACATCCTGCTTCCTGCCAGTTAACCGACTGGTAGAGAGGTGAACATACAGAAGTCATGTGAAGAGTCATTTTCCACTAAAAACAAGTTCTTACATCGTACTCGTTTTTTGTTATTCAACAAGATGTTCCTGACTTTTCAAAACCTTTCTGCCCAACTTGTTTCCATGAGCTTGTTTCATGGCAGCACCAGTGCTGACATCACATAGCACATGCCTGCCTCACGGTGGATGTTCTGAGAGCTCCTGCCAGCTCAGGGGGCTCAGATCCCTGGGCTGAAGGTACAATAATTGCATTGTGCAGGGGTCCAAGCCAGGTGCTCCCACATCTCAGGGCAGCACACAGAAGAGATGGCTTATTATTAATTCCCAGCCCTTCTCAGAGCTCCAGGTTGCACTCCAGGACCAGCCACAAGCATAGTACGATTTGGGGTGCAAAGAGACGGGTTCTCTGACTGTCCTTGGCATTTTCTTTACATACTTGCTGAAATTCCTAGAAGCCACTAGATTTTTTTTTCATAAGGTTCACATGGCCTAGCAAGGGAAAGCATCAGTGTTGATGGGGCTCAGGACATGCTAGTCCAAAATATTCTAAGCTGAAGGAATTTGAGAAAACAGCATGTGCAGGAAAGTCTCTCTAACCTTCCCCAATCTTCTCCATAAAACGTAGGAAGGATTTTCTCACCTTCCCCTGAAGCAGGTCATAAAACCTTCACATGAGAGGTGAACGGTTCCCTCCCTACACCCAGGGGAAAGGAGCATCCTTGTCCCTGGAGACACAGGGACATGGAGGGGAATCTGAACAACAAGGCTTGCTAAGTTTTCCCCAGTTTTGTCACCATTAATAGTTCCCTTTTGTCCTCCTCTCATATTTCTCCACGATTGTCCGTGCTTCATCAAACCTAGCATGAAAATATTCAGGCTTACCTGTTTCCTCATTTCCTGATGAGGGCTCCTGTGTCATGTAAAATTTATGTTAAATACATTGTTTTTGACCTTTCTTTTTTTTTAATCTGTTTTTTGTTACAGGGGCCTCAGCCATGAATCTAAGTTGGGTCAAGAAAAAGATATTTTTCCTCCCTTACAGTATGAGTGTGTGTGACTGCCTTTTCAGTGAGGGTGTAAATGGTGGTATCTGATCCTGCCCTGTAAGGAAGTGGGAGCACATATGGCTCTGAGACCCTGCCAGGTGGAAAGCACATAGAGGAAAGAAAGCTCCCTTTGAGGAATGGTCCCTGTGAAGACTTCCCCTTAAGAGAAGTTACCCCTGAGGAGAATTACTCCTGAGGAGTGCTCCCTCTGAGGAGAGACTCTGTCAAAAAAGAAAAAAAAAGAAAAAAAAAAAAGAAGAAGAACTTGACGTGTGAAGCATGCAGGAGCTGTGCTGAGTACAACATCCATGTGTCTTGTTTCGGTGGCTATCTTGGGTCTCAGTCCACCTGGAACAATGGACGGGTTGTTGACTAGCTGCCTTGCGGTAATCTCAAGGAGTGCTCCTCCTAAGGAGTGTTCCCCCCTGAGGAATGCTCCCCCTGAGGAGTGCTCCCCTGAGGAGTGTTTCCCTTGAGGAGAGTTACCCCTAAGAGTGTTCCCTCTGAGGAGAGTTCCCCTGAGATGTGCTCCCGCTGAGGAGTGCTCCCCTGAGAAGTGCCCCTGAGAAGTGCTTCCCTGAAGGGTATTCCCTCTGAGGAGAGGTCCCCCTGAGAAGTGTTTCCCCTGAGGAGTGCTCCCCCAAGGAGTGCTCCCACTGATCAAGACTCCGTTAGCCTTTCCAGCACAGATTCTCCTCTGAGCTCCAGGTTGAGGAAAGAGTCCCTTCTCTGGAAGGGGGGACTTTCTGGCTTTAAAAAGGACAGATTTCTCTTCTAACATCTAGGCAGCTCTTGGAGGCTACTAGTGGAGGGCTCCATGGGATTGACAGCTACTTAGGAGGGCACCAGGCCAGCTGCCCTGCATGCCACAGCCTCATTTCCTCTGCTATGGGGCTCTAAGGCCCAGTATATTCTGAGCAGGGCTGGCCACAGGCAGAGCTGTGTACGGGGTGGGTTGCCCCAACTCCCTTCCCCACATTAATCTCCTGCCCCTTTCTACCATTTCTATGCCTTCAGCACCCTTGCCAAAATGCTCTTCCTTCCATACAAAAAGGGCTGCACTCAGCTTTATTCATAATAACCAATTCTTAAAAGCAACCAAGATATCCTTCAGTAGGTGAATGTGTAACCGAGCACGGGTCTGGCTGCTTTGCCACTTGCAAGGTCCAATGACAAGAGTGAGATATGGTAGAAAGAAAGTGACTTTATTAACCAAAACTAGTAAAGCAGAAGTGAAAGTGACCAGATCCCCATCCAAAGTAATCACTTTAAATTTCTGGGGAGAAAACAAGAGTTTAAAAAAGGGAACTTGGCCAGGCATAGAGGCTCATGCCTGTAGTCCCAGCACTTTGGGAGGCCGAGGAGGGCAGATCACAAGGTCAAGAAATCAAGACCATCCTGGCCAACATGATGAAACCCCTCTCTACTAAAAATAAAAAAATTAGCTGGGTGTGGTGGCGCTTGCTTGTAACCCCAGCTACTCGGGAGGCTGAGGCAGGAGAATCACTTGAACCCAGGAGGTGGAGGCTGCAGTGAACCAACATCACGCCACTGCACTCCAGCCTGGCGACAGAACAAATTCTGTAAAAAAAAAAAAAAAAAAAATAAGAGGAACTTGACATGTGAAGCATGCAGGAGTTGTGCTGAGTACAAGATCCATGTGTCTTGTTTGGTTGCTATCTTGGGTCTCAGTCCACCTGGAACAATGGCCGGGTTGTTGACTAGCTGCCTTGAGGTAATCTCTGGAATTTTGCAGCTGGGTCTCCAGGCTTGGTCTTTCTGTCTCAAGATTAGCCCTTGGAAGGCAGCTTTTGATAATTTTTAGATCATACTATATTAAATCCCTGTGTATTCCATAAAAAAAAGATTAGCCCCTGGAACTTCTAAGTAAGAACATATTTAGATACTAGCATACAGTTAGATAAATGCAAAAGGAGTATATGGTGGGAAAGGGTGGGACATAGAGTCTACCTTAAGCTTACAGGAAAAGGCTTCTGCAGTTTGCTTCAAGGTTGTATTTAAAGACTAGGGAGAAAAGAGAAAGGGGACATTTAAAAAAAATGCATTTTGAAGTTAAGCTATTTGGTTACAAATGGATAAATAAACTATAGTAACATCCAGACAATGGAATATTATTCAATGTTAAAAACAAATGAGCCACCGCACCATGAAAAGACATGGAGAAATATTAAATCCGTATTACTAAGCAAAAGAAGCTAATATGAAAAAGTTACATACCATATGACATTCTGGAAAAGGCTAAACTATGGAGAAGTCGAAAAGATCAGTGGTTACCTGAGGTTAGGGGGAAGGAGGGATGAACAGGCAGAGCACAGAGGATTTTCAGGGCAGTGAAACTACTCTGTATGGTCTAATAGTGGATACATCTCATTATGTATTTGTCCAAACCCACAGAATGCACATAAAGAGTGAACCCTAATGTAAACTTTGGATGACAATGATGTGTCAGTGTGGGTTCATCATTGTAACGAATGTACCACTCTGGTGGGGGATGTGGATAATTCAGGAGGCTATGACTTTATGAAGGAAGTGGGTACATAGGAAATCTCTGTATCTTCCTCTCAATTTTGCTGTGAACCTAAAACTGCTCTAAAAAATAAAGTTGTTGTTGTTGTTGTTTTTAAGCTGCACTCTTCTGTGATGATTTGCATTTTAACAGTATTCAAACTCTTAAACCAGAGGTGAGCAGCCTTCTTTGCATACCATTTATTTTCCATGAAATGAAAATGCAAGGAAAACAACATAGATTCTCAAGACTTGGAATACTTGCTTTACTGAATAAAAGAAATGTCAATGAGGAAACTGTCATGGCTTTTTAGTCACTAACAAGTTAGTATCTGGACATTCATCCTGAAAATCATTCACCAGTCTGGTGGTTCTTCCATGTAGATCTCAGTCCTCAAGTTGCTCATCACTGCTTCATGCTGAAAAACATAATGTTTTTGTTTGTTTGTTTGTTTGTTCGTGACAGGGTCTGGCTCTGTTACTCAGGCCGGAGTGTGGTGGTATAATCATGGCTCACTGCAACCTCTGCCTCCTTGGCTCAAGCAATCCTCCCACCTCAGCCTCCTGAGTAGCTGGGACCACAGGTACATGCCACTACGCCCGTCTAATATTTTTGCATTTTTAGTAGAGATGGGGTTTCACCATGTTGCCCAGGCTGGTCTTGAACTCCTGGACTCAAGTGATCTGCCCTCCTCAGTCTCCCAAAGTGCTGGGATTACAGGCATGAGCCACGGCATCCAACGCAACATGAAGCTTTAATAGTGGCATTTCGGCTGGGCGCGGTGGCTCACGCCTCAGCACTTTGGGAGGCCGAGGCAGGCGGATCATGAGGTCAGGATATCGAGACCATCCTTGCTAACACGGTGAAACCCCATCTCTACTAAAAATACAAAAAAAAAAAAAAAAATTAGCCTGGTGTTGTGGCGGGCACCTGTAGTCCCAGCTACTCGGGAGGCTGAGGCAGGAGAATGGCGTGAACCTGGGAAGCGGAGCTTGCAGTGAGTCAAGATCGCGCCACTGCACTCCAGCCTGGGTGACAGAGCAAGACTCTGTCTCAAAAAAAAAAAAAAAATAGTGGAATTTCAGGCCAGGCACAGTAGCTCATGCCTGTAATCCCAGCACTTTGGGAGGCTGAGGTGGGCAGTTCAGGAGGTCACGAGATCGAGACCTTCCTGGCTAACACGGTGAAACCCCATCTCTACTAAAAATACAAAAATTAGCCAGATGTGGTGGTGTGCGCCTATAATGCCAGCTACTCAGGAGGCTGAGGCAGGAAAATCACTTGAACCCAGGAGGCAGAGGTTACAGTGAGCCGAGATCGCGCCACTGCACTCCAGACTGGGTGGCAGAGCGAGACTCCATCTAAAAATAATAATAATAATAATAAATAAATAAATAGTGGAATTTCAGTTATCAGCCAGTGGTATGGAGCCACTTAGGGGGCAGCAGGATTTACTAATCTCTCAGAAATCACACCAGTGGGCTCTCCTTGGACCTGGTCCTGAGACACAGATCTTTGTGAAGCATAGATGGAGATTTTCTTCCACATCCCTAACTAAAGCTTCTAAGAAAATCCTGCCCCTGAGAGGTAAGTGATATGACACACTGCTGACAAGTGCACTAGTCCCTAAGTAGCAGGAATTTCTGTTCTTTTGCTCCTCCTTGCTTTCTTAGAGAAATGTGTTTTTATGGTGTAACCAACAGTCACAGCTGAATCCCTTTATCAGCTCTGCAAGGGCAGGTGATGACACAGTGACCAATCTAGGTCACAGGCACCTTGTCTCTTCCTGTCCAGGTTTGCCTCTCCTAATGGACTTATTGGTGTGGGGTTCATTTATTCATTGGAACACTCACTGGGTCTGTAACAGTCTTACCTCAGGTAACTCTGGTGGCACTGGGCTATTGCTGATGTTAGTACTCTGTTTTATTTTTTTGTTGTTGTTGTTGTTTATTTATTTTGTTTTTGTATTTGTTTTTGTTTTTTTAGACAGTCTTGCTCTGTCATCCAGGCTGAAGTACAGTAGTATGATCTTGGCTCACTACAGCCTCAACCTCCCAGGCTCAAGTAGTCTTACCACCTCAGTCTCTCAAGTAGCTGGGACTAAAGGCATGGATGCACCACCATGCCCAGCTTATTTATTTATTTGTTTATTTTTTGTAGACACCAGGTCTCACTATGTTGCCTAGGCTGGTCTTGAACTCCTGGGCTCAAGTCATCCTCCTAGCCTGGCTTCCCAAAGTGTTGGGATTATAGGCATAAGCTACCACACCAATCTTAATGTTAGTACTATTTTTTTTTTAATTTCAGTTTATTTTGTTTATTTATTTATTTCTATAGGTTTTTGGGAAACAGGCAATATTTGGTTACATAAATAAATTCTTTAGTGGTGATTTCTGAGAATTTGGTGCACATATCACCCAAGCAGTGTACACCGCACCCAATGTGTAGTCTTTTATCCCTCACCCACCTCCCACGCTTTCCCCTGAGTCCCCAAAGTCCATTGTATTTTTCCTGTGCCTTTGTGTCCTCACAGCTCAGCTCCCACATATGAGCGAGAACATACAATGTTTGGTTTTCCATTCCTGAGTTATTTTACTTAGAATAATGGTCTCCAATTCCATCCAGGTTGCTACAAATGCCATTATTTCATTCCTTTTCATGGCTGAGCAGTATTCCATGGCATACATATATCTACTCGCTGATTGATGGGCATTTGGGCTGGTTCCATATTTTTGCAATTGCAAATTATGCTGCTATAAACATGTGTGTGCAAGTATCTTTTTTGTATAATGACTTATTTTCCTCTCAGCAGATACTCAGGAGTGGGACTGCTGAATCAAATGGTAGCTCTACCTTTAGTTCTTTAAGGAATCTCCACACTGTTCTCAATAGTGGTTGTACTAGTTTATACTCCCACCAACATTGTAAAAATGTCCCCTTTTCACTACATCTATGCCAACATCTATTACTTTTGGATTTTTTTATTATGGCCATTCTTGCAGGAGTGAGATGGTATCGCATTGTGGTTTTGATTTGCATGTCCCTGATAATTAGTGATATTGAGTACTTTTTCTTGTATTTGTTGGCCATTTGTATATCTTCTTTTGAGCATTGTCTATTCATGTCCTTAGCCCACTTTTTGATGGGATTGTTTTTTTCTTGCTGATTTGTTTAAGTTCCTTGTAGATTCTGGATATTAGTCCTTTGTTGGATATATAGATTGCAAAGATTTTCTCCTACTCTGTGGATTGTCTTTTTACTCTGCTGATTATTTCTGTTGCTGTGCAGAAGCTTTTTAGTTTAGTTAAGTCTCATCTGTTTATCTTTGTTTTTGTTGTGTTTGCTTTTGGGTTCTTGGTCATGAAGTCATTGCCTAAGCCAATATCTAGAAGAGTTTTTCCAACGTTACATTTTAGAACTTTTATGGTTTCAGGTCTTAGATTTAAGTCGTTGGTCCATCTTGAGTTGATTTTTGTATAAGATGAAAGATGAGGATCCAGTTTCATTCTTCTACATGTGGCTAGCCAATTATCACAGCATCATTTGTTGAATAGGGTGTCTTTTTCTCACTTTATGTTTTTGTTTCCTTTGTTGAAGATCAGTTGACTGTAAGTATTTGGCTTTATTTCTGAGTTCTCTATTCTGTTCCATTGGTCTATATGTCTGTTTTTATACCAGTGCCATGCTGTTTTGGTGACTATGGTCTCATAGTATAGTTTGAAGTCGGGTAATGTAATGCCTCCAGATTTGTTCTTTTTGCTTAGTCTTGCTTTGGCTATGAGTCTTTTTTGGGTCATGAATTTTAGGATTTTTTTTTCTAGTTCTGCAAAGAATGATGGTGGTATCTTGATGGGAATTGCATTGAATTTGTAGATTGCTTTTGGCAGTATGGCCATTTTCTTTTTTTCTTTCTTTTTCTTTTTTTTTTTTTTTTTTTTTGAGACAGAGTCTCGCTCTGTCACCCAGGCTGGAGTGCAGTGGCGTGATCTCGGCTCACTGCAAGCTCCGCCTCCCGGGTTCATGCCATTCTCCTGCCTCAGCCTCTGGAGTAGCTGGGACTACAGGCGCCCACCACCACGCCCGGCTAATTTTTTGTATTTTTAGCAGAAACAGGGTTTCACCATGTTAGCCAGGAGGGTCTCGATCTCCTGACCTCGTGATCTGCCCGCCTCGGCCTCCCAAAGTGCTGGGATTACAGGTGTGAGCCACCACGCCCAGCCCATGAGCCACCAAGCCCGGCTGGGTCTATGATTTCTTTAAGCATTGTTTTGTAGTTTTCCTTGTAGAGGTATTTTACCTCCTTGGTTAAGTATATTCCTAAGTATTTTTTTTTTCTTCAGTTATTGTAAAAGAGATTAAGTACTTGATTTGACTTTCAGCTTGGTCGCTGTTGGTGTATAACAGGGCTACTGAGTTGTGTACATTAATTTTGTATCCAGAAACTTTACTGAATTCATTCACCAGTTCTAGAAGCTTTTTGGATGAGTCTTTAGAATTTTCTAGGTATACGATCATGTCACAATCAAACAGTAACAGTTTGACTTCCTCTTTAACAATTTGAATGCCCTTTATTTCTTTCTCTGGTCTGATTGCTCTGGCTAGGACTTCCAGTACTATGTTGAATAGAAGTGGTAAATGTGGGCATCCTTGTCTTGTTCCAGTTCCCAGGGGAAATGCTTTCAACTTTTCTCCATTCAGTATAATGTTGGCTGTGGGTCTGTCATAGATGGTTTTTATTACCTTAAGGTGTATCCCTTCTATGCTGATTTTGCTGAGGGTTTTAATCATAAAGTGATGCTGGATTTTGTCAAATGCTTTTTCTGCATCTATTGAGATTATTGTGTGAATTTTGGTTTTAATTCTGTTTATATGGTATATTACATTTATTGACTTGTGGATGTTAAATCATCCCTGTGTCCCTGTATGAAACCCACTTGATCATGGTGGATCATCTTTTTGATAGGCTGTTGGATTAGGTTAGCTAGTATTTAGTTGAGAATTTTTGCATCTATGTTCATCAGGGATATTGGTCTGTAGTTTTCTTTTTTTGTTATATCCTTTCCTGGTTTTGATATTAGGGTGATAGTGGCTTCATAGGATGATTCAGAGAGGACTCCCTCTTTCTCCATCTTTTGGAGTAGTGTCAGTAGGCTTGGTAGCAATTCTTTGAAAGTCTGATATAATTCAGCCATGAACCGGTCTGGTCCTGGACTTTTTTTTGTTGGTAACTTTTTAATTACCATTTCAATCTCACTGCTTGTGTCTGTTCAGAGTTTCTATTTCTTCCTGATTTAATCTAGGAGGATTGTATATTTCCAGGAATTTATCCATCTCCTCTAGGTTTTCTAGTTTATGCATGTAAAAGTGTTCATAGTAGCCTTGAATAATCTTGTATTTCTGTGGTATCAGTCGTAATATCTCCTGTTTTGTTTCTAATTGAGCTTATTTGGATCTTCTCTCTTCTTTTCTTGGTTAATCTCACTAACGGCCTATCAATTCTATTTATCATTTCAAAGAACCAGATTTTGTTCTATTGATCTTTTGTATTATTTCTTGTTTCAATTTCATTTAGTTCTGCTCTGATCTAGATTATTACTTTTCCTCTACTGGGTTTGGATTTGTTTTGTTCTTGTTTCTCTAGCTCCTTGAGGTGTGACCTTAGATTGTCTATTTGTGCTCTTTCAGACTTTTTGATGTAGGCATTTAATACTATGAACTTTTCTCTTAGCACTACCTTTGCTGCATCCCACAGGTTTTTATAGGTTGTGTCACTATTATTATTCAGTTCAAAGAATTTTTTAATTTCCATCTTGGTTTCGTTGTTGACCCAATGATCATTCAGGAGCTGGTTATTTAATTTCCAAGTATTTGCATGGTTTTGAGGCTTCCTTTTGGAGTTGATTTCTGATTTTATTACACTCCAGTCTGAGAGAGTACTTGCTATAATTTCTTTTTTTTTTTTAATTTGTTGAGACTTGTTTTGTGGCCTTCCATATGGTCTATCTTGGAGAATGTTCCATGTGCTGATGAATAGAATGCATTATGATGAATAGAATATATTTTGGAGTTGTTGGGTAGAATGTTCTGTAAATAATCTCTTAAGTCCATGTGTTCTAGAGTATAGTTTAAGTCCATTGTTTCTTTGTTGACTTTCTGTCTTGATGACCTGTCTAGTGCTGTCAGTGGAGTACTGAAGTTCCCCACTACTATTGTGTTGCTGTCTATCTCATTTCTTAGGTCTAGAAGTAATTGTTTTATAAATTTGGGAGTTCCAGTGTCAGGTGCATACATATTTCGGATTGTGATATTCTCCTGTTGGACTAGTACTTTTATGATTACATAATGTCCCTCTTTTTCTTTTTTAACTGCTGTTGCTTTAAAGTTTGTTTGTTTGTTTGTTTGATATAAGAATAGCTACTCCTGCTTGCTTTTGGTGTCCATTTGCATGGAATATCTTTTTCCACCCCTTTACCTTAAGTTTATGTGAGTCCTTATGTGTCAGATGAGTCTCTTGAAGACAGCAGATACATGGCTGGTGAATTCTACATCATTCTGCCATTCCGTATTTTTTAAGTGGAACATTCAGGCCACTTACATTCAATGTTAATATTGAGATGTGAAGTACTATTCTCTTCATGGTGCTATTTGTTGCCTGAATACCTTGGTGTGTGTGTGTTGTTGTTGTATTATAGGTGCTGTGAGATTTATGCTTTAAGGAGGTTCTATTTTGGTGTACTTTGAAGATTTTTTTCAAGATTTAGAGCTCCTTTTAAGCAGTTCTTGTAGTGCTGGCTTGTTAGTGGTGAATTCTCTCAGCATTCGTTCATCTGAAAAAGACTGTATCTTTCCTTCATTTATGCAGCTTAGTTTCACTGGATACAAAATTCTTGGCTGATAATTGTTTTGTTTAAACAGGCTAGGAAGATAGGCTCCCAATCCCTTCTAGTTTGTAGGGTCTCTGCTAAGAAATCTGCTGTTAATCTGATAGGTTTTCTTTTATAGGTTACTTGATTCTTTCTTTTGCCTCACAGCTCTTAAGATTTTTTTCCTTCATCTTGACTTTAGATAACTTGATTACTATGTGCCTAGGCAATGATCTTTTTGTGAAGAATTTCCCAGGTGTTCTTTGAGCTTTTTGTATTTGGATGCTTAGATCTCTAGCAAGGCCAGAGAAGTTTTCATCAATTATTCCTCAAATATGTTTTCCAAACTTTTATATTTCTCTTCTTCCTCAGGAACACCAATTATTCTTAGGTTTGCACATTTAACATAATTCCAGACTTCTTGGAGGCTTTGTTCATTTTTTAAAAATTCTTCTTTTTTTTTTGGATTGGGTTAATTCAAAAGCCTTGTCTTTGAGCTCTGAAGTTCTTCCAGTTGTTTGATTCTATTGCTGAGACTTTCCAGTACATTTTGCAATTCTCTAAGTGTGTCCTTCATTTCCAGAAGCTGTGATTTTTTTTTATTTGTGCTATTTCACTGGAGATTTTCCACTCTTCTATATCTTTTTTTTTTTCCATATCTTTAAGTTGGACTTCACCTTTCTTTGATGCCTCCTTGATTGTCTAAATAGTCAACCTTCTGAATTCTTTTTTTGGCAATTCAGAGGTTTCGTCTTGGTTTGGATCCATTGCTGGTGAGCTGATATGATCTTTTGGCAGTGTTAAAGAACCTTGTTTTGTCATTTACCAGAATTGTTTTTCTGGTTCCTTCTCATTTGGGTAGACTATGTCAGAGGGAAGATTAGAGACTCAAGGGCCGTTGTTCAGATTCTTTTGTCCCACAGGGTGCTCCCTTGATGCAATGCTCTCCCCTTTCCCCTAGGGATGGGGTTTCCTGAGAGCTGAACTGCAGTGACTATTTTTCTTCTGGACCTAGCCACTCAGTGGAGTTACCAGGCTCCAGGCTGGGGAGTGTCTGCAAAGAGTCCTGTGATGTGATCCATCTTCAGGTCTCTCAGCTGTGGATACCAGCACCTACTCTGGTGGAGGTAGCAGGGGAGTAAAGTGTACTCTGTGAGGGTCCTTGGTTGTACTTTTGTTAAGTGCGCTGGTTTTGTGTTGGTTGGCTTCCAGCTAGGAGGTGGAGATTTCAACAACACATCAGCTGCGGTTTTATAGGGAGGATACAAGCTTGCCCTAGGGTCAGGTGGTGGGCAGGGCCATAGAGCTACCAAGGGATTATGTCCTTTGTCTTTGGCTACCAGGGCAGGCACAGAAAGACCATCAGATGAGGGCAGGGTTAGGTGTCTGAGCTCAGACTCTCCTTGGACAAGGCTTGCTGTGACTGCTGTAGGGGATGGGGATGTGATTTTCAGCCAATGGAGTTATGTTCCCAGGGGGATTATTGCTGCCTCTGCTACGTCACACAGGTCTCCAGGGAAGTGGGGAAAAACCAGCAGCCACAGGCCTTACCCAGCTCCCATGCAGCCCACAGCTTAAAAGGCTGGTCTTACTCCCACCGTGCCCCACGACAGCACAAGTTTATTTCCAGGCAGCCAGTGAGTAAGGCTGAGAACTTGCCCCAGGCTACAAGCCTCTCAGTTAAGAAAGCAAGAAGATTCACTGTTCCTAGGCTGTCCCATGGAGGCTGCAGCGGCAATCCACCTCTTTTTAAGGGTCTGTGGATTCTCTCATCTTTGCTGGTATGTTTCTGTGGCAGTTCTTGGAACAAAATTCAGGATGTGGGCTTCCATACGCTGCTCTGTTCATCAGTGTGGGATCTACAAGTTAGTCCTGCCTCCTATACGCCATTTGCCTTGGTTTTCCCCAATGTCAGTACTCTTAAAGCTAGCTTTGCTTCCAAGGCATCCTATAACATTAACCTTGATGCCCTTGACCTTGAGACAGGAGTAAATGAAGCAGCTAGTCTCTGTGGACTGCTCTCTCTGACAGGAGGAAACCCACTTCTTGAAAGCTCCTCCTCCTCCTCCTTCTTTTTGAGATGGAGTCTTGCTCTGTCACCCAGGCTGGAGTGCAGTGGCACGATCTTGGCTCACCACAACCTCTGCCTCCTGGGTTCAAGCGATTCTCCTGCCTCAGCCTCCTGAGTAGCTGGGACTACAGGCGCGTGCCACCATGCCAGGCTAATTTTTGTATTTTTAGTACAGATGGGGTTTCACTATGTTGGCCAGGCTGGTCTTGAACTCCTGACCTCATGATCCACCCCCCTCGGCCTCCCAAAGTGCTGGGATTACAGGCATAAGCCACCGCGCCCAGCCTCTTCTTAAGCCCCCTGAAGGTTAATGGGCAGCCTGCTAATGGTGAGGGTGGAAGAAGATTCAAACATTCAAAGTGATGTCTTTTTTTTTCTGGGAATTGTTTCTCTATTTTCTCCAAGCCACTTCATGCAGCGATCATGTAGTGTGAGTGGGGAACCTGCCTCAGGTCCCTGGGCTGTTTTCTGGCTGCTATCTGCCCTGCTTCTCATGGATGGTCCCAGTCATCAGCTTCCCAGCACATACAACCCTGTGCCAGTTCTCAGATGAGTCCTGACCAGCCCCATTTTCATACTTCAGCTCAGGGATCTGGTTCCTAAGGCAGACCCCTTGCTCCCAACCAGTCACACCCAGGCAAATATATTGTTTAAAAATATTTATTCAGCATCTACTATGTTTCAGGCACCATGCTAAGTACTGGCAATTCTGAAGCGAACAAGACAGACCTAGGACATAGCCCAACCTAGAAGGCAGGCACTAGGCAAGTAACTGCTCTGAAATGTCAGGATGGTTGTAAAAGGGGCCAGACATCAGGGTGCTATGGGGAATTCAGGAATCAGCCCAGCTAGTGCTCTATTCTAAGTGTTAGGAAGATGTTGAGGGTTTTAAGTAAAAAGAATGATGTTTAAGCTGAGATCTGAAGAATACATAGTAGTTAGCTAAATAAGGCAGTAAGGATGGCATGGGCATAGGGCCAGAAAGAGAGAAAGTGGCATATTTAAAGAACCAAATAAAGTTGACTATGCCTGGAACTTAGACATGGGGGTAGGCATGCAGAGCGCTGCCACAGGAGAGGCATGCAGGGGCCAGGCTGGAAGTGCTTCAAACGATGGCAGTAAAAAGTTGGTCCTTTTTCTTTGGAGAAATAGAAATAAGACGGATTTTAAGCAATGCTGTGTTTTTTTTTTAATAAGTTTTTTTTTTATTAAAGACAAGTGTTTCTTCACTGCTATAATAGAGAGCAGAAGATACCTTGTTGTGATGTTACAGAAATTCCTGAGCACCAAGCTCTTCACAGTCACATTCTTATAAGCCAAATATCAACTTCATGCCACACAAATATACCATAAAATTCGTGATCAGGAAATGAAATTAAGAGAACAAAAATCTAAGTATTGTTTTTAGTGATAACCCTCATGTTCTTTTTCCTAGTTCTGCCATTATTGCAAGACTCTGGTTCTATAATATTTGTATGGATGGTTTTTGCTTACTTTTGGCTTCTCCTTCTAATTGTCTGCAGAATGTCTAATTTGTCCTGGAATAGTCAATAGACTTACCCACCCAATTACACACTCCAAGGAAGTTACAAAAATCGAACCTGGAGTCTAGTGGACCCTTAACCCAGATTTCTCCAACAGTGGTAACTTATTTACCAGCATTACAATATCAAAACCAGGAAATAGGTATTGGTGCAATACTATTAACTAAATCACAAATTTTAATTTGGTTTTCACATGAACTGCCCTCTCTCTCTATCTCTCTCTCTCTCTTTGTGTGTGTGTGTGTGTGTAGTTCTATGCAATTTAATCCCACATATACATTCATGTAACCACCACAATCAAGATACTGAACTGGTCCATCACCATAAAGGAGCTCCCGCATGCTACTCCTTTCTATTTGCTTTCCCTTGGCAACTACTGATTAGCAGTATTGTTTTTAAGGTGTCTTCTTGTTGCTGGGTACTCTTTTAATCTGTTGTCTCTAGTTGCTAATAAAATTCCATGTAAATGGCTGGGCGCGGTGGTTCATGCCTGTAATCCCAGCACTTTGGGAGGCCAGGGCGGGCGGATCATGAGGTCAGGAGATCGAGACCATCCTGGCTAACACCGTGAAACCCTGTCTCTTGCAGTGACCTGAGATTGCACCACTGCACTCCAGCCTGGGCAACAGAGCGAGACTCCGCCTCAAAACAACAACAACAACAACAACAACAACAACAACAACAAAACATTCCATGCAAGTACCAAATTTTACTTATCCATTCTCCTGGTCATGACCTAGAGTACCTACAATTCTTTACAAGAACAGACATTATGGGTCCGTGTGGGTACTTCTCTAAGATGTGTTAATGTATAGCCAGGAGTGAATTTTTTGATGCCAAATGCTGTACGATTTGTTCATTTGACTCAGCAGTGCCAGATGCTCAAAATGTATCCCTTTGACCAGAGTCTATTTAATACATAGCAAGAGTGGATGGGGCCAGGCACAATAACTCAGTTCTATAATCCCAGTACTTTTGGGAAGCTAAGGCAGAGGATCGCTCGAGCCCAGAAGGTTGAGACCAGCCTGGCGACATAGGGAGACCCCGTCTCTACAAATAATGATAATTTAAAAATTAGCCAGATGTGGCATGCACCTGTGGTCCCAGCTACTTGGGAGGCTGAGGTGGGAGGATCACCTGAGCTGAGGAGGTCGAGGCTGCAGTGATTGTGCCACTGTGCTCCAGCCTGGGTGACACAGCAAACCTCAGTTTCAAAAAAAAAAAAAAAAAAAAAGAGTGGATGGAAAACGTAGTCTTAACTTCACAACCATGTGTCCAGGTAAACTTTCATCATTAGAAGGGGGCCTGTTAGCAATGATGGCAAGAGCTTCTATTCCTAGCCTGTTAAGGCTTTTGAGTAAATATTTGGTTTTACCCCTTCCATCCATGCATACGTTAATATAATCATGATTTTTCTCCTTTAGACTATTAATGTTGTAATTTTATTGGTAGGTTATTTTTATGTTGCCATTTCCTTACATTGCTGGGATAAACTCCACTTCATCATGATATGTTTTTAAAAATATAGTGTTGAATTTGTTTGTTAATATTTCATCTAGAATTTTTGCATCTACATTTATATGTCAGAAGGGCTTGTACTTTTATTTTATTTATTTATTTATTTTTTTGAGACGGAGTCTCCCTCTATCCCCCAGGCTGGATTGCAGTGGCACGATCTCGGCTCACTGCAAGCTTCACCTCCTGGGTTCATGCCATTCTCTTGCCTCAGCCTCCCGAGTAGCTGGGACTACAGCGGCCCACCACCATGCCAGGCTAATTTTTTGTACTTTGTTTTTTTTAGTAGAGACAGGGTTTCACCGTGTTAGCCAGGATAGTCTCGATCTCCTGACCTCGTGATCTGCCCGCCTCAACCTCCCAAAGTGCTGGGGATTATAGGCGTGAGCCATCGCTCCCAGCCAGTACTTTTAAAAATGTATTAATTTATTACATTTTAATTATTAATTAAATTTGTATTGTATAATTATTACAATATTAATTATTAATTTTAAAACCTCTGCTGTGTCTGTGGTTATTTCCCCATTTGCATTCAGTTTTTAAATTTGTACTTTCTACCTCTTTTTTTTTCACTTTAGTAGCCTTGTCACATCTATCTTATTAATCTTTCTGAAACACCAGTTTAAGGTTTTATTAATCTTCTCTGTTTTGTTGTTGTTTTTCTCTAGGTCATTGATATCTGTTCTATCTTTGTTATTATTTCTTTCTTTCTGTTTCTTTGCTTGTCCCTTCCCTGTATTCTTGAGTATTACTCTTTGTTTTCAATCTGTCTTATATCTTGATAAATGTAATTAAAGCTATACATCTGTCTCTAAAACCTACTGTAGATGTGGTCTTCAAATTTTGAAGTGTTTTCATTACCAGTTTTATATATTTATTAGCTTCATTTGTTATTATTATTTTATTATCAGAACTTTCATTTTACTGTTAGACCAACTATTAATAATTGTTTTCTGGGTTTTCTAGAAATAATGCATTTCTAGAAAAAAATTCTATTTCTAGAAATAACATAGTTTTGGAAAAATGTTCTCTAGTAATCTAACAGTTTTTTCACTATGCTTTTGAAAAATATTTTATAATTTTAATTCATTATGATTGAAAAATATATTCTTGATAACATTCATTCATTAGACTTTCTTGTAACTTTCTTTGTGGATTAATATATGATTAATTTTTAAAATTGTTTCATATATGCCCAAAAAGATTGTGTGTTTTCTGTTGGATATAAATAAAGCTTATTAATTAAAATACTCAGATTTCTATATCACTGCTTTTTCTCTGCTAAACCTATTCATTTCTGAAGACTCCATTTCCTCCTCAATAATTTTTTTGTGTTAAAACTTCCAATTAAAATGATTAATTTATTTATTTGCTATGAAGTTCTGTCGATTACCTTATTTTTTTGTTGCAATATTGTCAGGTGCATATGTGTTTGCTCTACTATTCTTTCAACAAGTATGGTTTCCTTTTTTGTCCTTTGAATTTTTCTATTAGATATTAAGATTGTTGCTTCAGCTTTCTTTTGGATCATATTTTCTTTATTTTCAAACTTTTTGTATTCTTTTGTTGTAAAGTTGTCTTCTGTAAACAGTATATTGTTGGATCTTTCAAAATGCTCAATTTGAGATGTTCTCTTTTGATTGGTTGTTTAACCTATTTACATTTCTCATAATCACTTTATATTATTACTTATTTCTTCCATTTTATTTCATGTTTTTCATTACTGATACTTTTTTTTCTTTTCTAATTTTACTCTTCACTGAGTAGATACGATTTTCTTTTGCTGGTTTAAAAGAACGTATTTTATTTTTGTTTTTATGGTCTTTGCTCTTAAGACATATTTGTTTATTTATTCATCCTGACTTACTAAACTTATAAATACCTATTTCTTTCCTCCAATAAGGCAAGTAGTTTAGCATGTTCTCTTATGTCTCTGGACTCTTCTTTCTCTCTCCCCCACCAATACATATAACAACAACAACAATAACACACACACAACTGATATGGTCTAGACAGAATTTAGTTCTGGGTTTTTATGAATATGGTTTTTAATTTGTGTTTTCATCACACTTTGATTTTTTAAGATAACAATTAATTTGCCAAATTATTTAATCACCCTAACTTCACATTTCTATACAACATCTGTTGTATTTATTTTCCTCTAATTTGAATATTTCTTCCAAGGGTTTTTCAAAGTAAGTTTTTGTATGACATAGGTTCTGAGATTTTGTATACCAGAAACTATGGTTGTTAAGTCCAGAATTTTTAAATTGTATCTTCATGTTTCATGTCAATTTGTCTGTATGTAAAATTCAATGTACAGTAGACCCTTTGAAAACTTGAGTGTGAACTGCAGGGGTCCACTTATATGCAGATTTTTTTCAACCAAATTAGATAAAAAATATGGTATTTGTGGGATATGAAACCCACACATACAGGCAGCCGACTTTTCATATACATGGGTGGGTTCTACAGGGCCAACTGCAGGACTTGAGCATGTGCAGACGTGGATATATATATGGGGGTTCTGGAACCAATCCCCCACATAAACCTAGGGATGACTGCACAACACTTTAAAAATATTACTTCTTTGTCTTCTTGCATCCAGCATTGTTACTGAGAGGTCTCAGGTCAATCTAATGCTTGTTCTTTTGTATGTTTTTCTCTCTGAAAACATTCTAAAAATTTCTTGCAGTCTTTGATGATTCTAATTCTCAGTAAAATGTCTAATTTTGGGGTTTTCTCTCTCTCTCTCTTTGGCTCTATATTATAGGCTCAATTTTCAACTTTATGTTTTTCTCCCTATGGAATCTCTATTATCTGAATACTGATATTTTTATCCTTCATATCCCTATTGTTTCTTTTCTTTTTTTAAAGAAAAGCTGTTTTACTTTCCCCTGCATTCTTGCATAGGTCTTTGCAATGATCTTGCAGGTTCCTAATTCAGTCCTTAGCTGTATCTATCCTGATTCATACTTCAGCTATTATGCATTTTGTTTCAACAGTTATATTTTTCATACCTGATATTTCTTCTTGGTTGTTCTTGCATCATATTGCTAACATCCTCCCTGATCAAGTTTTTGACAAGCCAATGAACCAGCTTGTACTGCTGGTACCTTCCTCCACAACTGTAAACTACAGAACTATAGCAGAGAAAAGCTACAAAAGAGAAATAATCATGGACATGATAAACTAACATATAATTGAGAACCCTCTGAGAAGACTGAAGGCTCTTTTGAACCAGAATGTGAGCAAGCACATGTTGGGGGATGGGTGTCTGCAAACTGGGGCAGAGAAGGAAAGGACAGGGGAGAGCTGGTAAACTCTCTACTTGTTCACTCCCGTCCTGCCTCATCACCACAGCAATCATCAGCAACAGTGTAGTTGGTCCAGTGGTGGAAAAGGGGATATGAGAAGAGGTAATCTGAAGACAGTGCAAAAAGAAAGAAAAGGAAAAGTCTATACAGCCGATTCTCACTATTCATGGTAGTTATGCTCTGTAAAGTTATTGCAAACACTGACTTAGCAAACTGAAACATTGCTCCCAGGGGAAATACAGGGTTAGATTCCTGTGAGCCTTAACACTGAGTGAGTAAACAGTGAGTCAACTGATCAATACAAAACCTAATTTTATGTGTGTTTCTGTTTAAAGACATCTTATTTGAGATATATTGTTGATGCATTAACATTGAACTCATGGCCACCAGCACTATGACTCATGCCTCAGAAAAGCTTGTATAACACATGTTTTCTCTATAAGCCACATGCATAGTTGATAGTTTGCCTAGAATACTAAGCTGAAAATTCCCCAGAATTTGAAAGCATCGCTTTGTTGTCTTCTAGCTTCCAGTATAGTTGTTGAGAAATCCAGTGCTATTCTAATTCTTTCTAATTCTTGATACTTGGTATGGTGTCTCTCTCTGTCTCTCTCTCCACTGCCTTTTTTCTTCTTCCTTCCCCTTACCCCTTTTCCTCTCTCCCCTTCTAATCTTTGTCCCAGTGTTCTGAAGTTTTACAATCATATATCTTGGTGTGAATACATTTTCTTTCATGGTGCTAGGTCCTTGGTAAGCACTTTAAAAAAATAGACTTTATTTTTCAGAACAGTTTTAGATTTACAGCATAATTCAGAGGAAGTTATAGAAATTTCCCATATCCCCCCTATCTCCGCCAACACACATAGCCTTCCCCATTATCAACATCCCCAACCAAGACTGGTGCATTTTTTAACAATCGATAAGTCTACATTGACAAATCATTATCACCTAAAGCCCATAGTTTACAATAAGGTTCACTCTTGACGTACATTCTGAGTTTGAACAAATGTGTAAAGGCAAGTATCCACCATTATAGTATCAATCAAAGTATTCTCAAATCTCTGAAAAGTATCTGTCTCCTGCTATGTATCCCTTCCTGCCATCTGACACCTAGCGACCACTAATCTTTTTACCGTTGCCACAGTTTTGCCTTTTCCAGAGTGTCATATAGTTGGAATCATATGGTATGTGTAGACATTTTAGATTGGCTCCTTTCACTTAGTAATATGCATCTAAGTCTTCCATGTCTTTTCATGGCTTGATAGCTAACTTTTTTTTTTTTTTTTTTTGAGATGGAGTCTCACTCTGTCATCCAGGCTGGAGTGCAGTAGTGCAATCTCGGCTCACTGCAATCTCTACCTCCTGGGTTCAAGTGATTCTCCTGTCTCAGCCTCCCGAGTAGCTGGGACTAAGGTGCATGCCACCATGCCTGGCTAATTTTTGCATTTTTAGAAGAGAGACGGTTTCACCATGTTGGCCAGGCTGGTCTGGAACTCCTGACCTCAAGTGATCCACCTGCCTCGGCCTGCCAAAGTGCTAGGCTTACAGGTGTGAGCCACCATGCCTGGCCGATAGCTCACTTTTTTCACACTGACTAATATTTCGTTGTTTGGATGTACCACAGTTTATTTATCCGTTCACTTACTGAAGGACACCTTGGTTGCTTCCAAGTGGTGTCATTATAAATAAAGGTGCTCTGGGCATGTGTGGGCAGTCTTTTGTAGGAACAAGTTTTCAACTTCTTTCGGTAAATACCAAGGAATATGACTGCTGGATTGTATGGGGAAAGTATGTACAGTTTTATAAGAAACTGCCAAACTGTCTTTAAAAGTGGCTGTACCATTTGCATTCCCACCAGCAATGTTTGAGAGTTCCTGTTGCTCCACATCCTCACTGGCATTTAGTGTTGTCAGTATTCTGGACTTTGGCCATTCTAATAGGTATGTAGCGGTATTCTCATTGTTGTTTTAATTTGCATTTTTCCTGATGACATATGATATAGAGCATCTCTTTGTGTGCTTAGGTGTTTGCCATCTGTATATCTCCTTTGGTGAGGTGTCTGTCAAGGTCTTTGGTCATTTTTAATCTGGTTGCTTGTTTTCTTATTGTTGAGTTTTAAGAGTTCTTTGTATATTTTGAATAATAATCCTTTAACTGGCATGTCTTTTGCAAATAATTTCTCATAGCCTGTGGCTTGTCTTTTCATTTTCTTGACTGTCTTTCACAGAGCAAAAAAATGTTAATTTAATTTAATTTAATTTAATTTAATTTTCAGACAAGGTCTTGCTCTGTCGCCCAGGTTGGAGTGCAGTGGCATGATCACGGCTCATGGCAACCTCTGCCTCCCTAGCTGAGGTGGTCCTCCTACCACAGCCTCCCTAGTAGCTGGGACTACAGGTGTGTACCACCCTGCTGGGCTAGTTTTTTAAGAAAATTTTTATAGAAACAGGGTCTTACTATATTGCCCAGGCTGGTATCAAACTCCTAGGCTCAAACAATCTTCCCGCCTTGACCTCCCAAAGTGCTGGGATTACAGGCGTGATCCACTAAACCTACCCAAGAAAATTTTAACCTTAATGACGTCTAGCTTATTAATTTTTTCTTTCATGGATCTTGCCTTAGATGTTGTATCTAAAGAGTCACTGCCAAGACCAAGGTCCTCCAGGTTTTCTCCGATTATCTTCTAGGCATTTTATAATTTTGCATCTAATATTTAGGTCTGGAGATGTTCTTCGCCGACAGTCACCGCGGTTTCCTGCTTCACCTGTGCTTGGAGGGAACTGGCGCTTTTCCCGTGCCCCAGCGGCTGGCGGCTCAGAGCCAGAGCTTCCACCTCCTCACCGTGCGCTGGGACCGCCCTGAGGCCCCCGGTCAACCTGGCGCTCCAGCCTCCTCCATCTACCTGTCCACATCTGATGCTTTCACCGCCATAACGTAGCTTTGAGGAATTTTGCCAAAAACTTATTTCTTCACTAATCTCATGAGGAGAGGGAGCCCGCTGAGAAACCGATGAAGCTGCAGAAACAACGAAGGGGCGGAGTCTTCCTTCAGGAGTCAAGACACCAGGCGGAGAACCGGCTGAATGCGATGGAGTGTGTCTTACACTTGGAAAACACGTGAATCGGTCACTATTGGAACTGCGTAAAAACGGCTCCCGCTTGTGTCACCTTATTGAGACACATTACCTCAATGAACCAGTGAAATCCATCAAAGAATTGGGTGTCCACGTGACCAACTTGTGCAGGACGAGAGCCGGGCATCTGGCCTGGCAGAATCTCTGGGAGAGAGGGATAATGACAGCTAAGCCTTAGGCTCGTTTCCTGTAGCCACGGGGTGACCTCTCTGGACCGAAGCAGTGCCTGCACGGTGGGGTTTCCTTTACCTTTTCTGTAAGTTATGCCAAAACATCCACTTAAGTTCTTTGATTTGTACTATTCCTTAAAATAAATAAATTTAGTATCCAGGCCACCAAATTTAGGTCTGTAATTAATTTGAGTTGATTTTTATGAAGGCTGTTAAATCTGTGTCTAGATTCATTTTTCTCTTTGTGTATGTGGATGTCAAGTTGTTCCAGCATTATTTGTTGAAGAGACCATTCTTTCTCCATTGTTTGGCTTTTGCTCCTTTGTCAAATCAGGGGTGTCCAATCCTTTGGCTTCCCTGGGCCACACTGGAAGAAGAAGAATGGGGTCACACATAAAATACACTAACACTAACAACAGTTGATGAGTACAGAAAAAAAATCTCATAATGTTTTAAGAAAGTTGGCAAATTTGTGTCGGGCCACATTCAAAGCCATCCTGAGCTGCATGGTGCCCGCGGGCTGAGGGTTGGACAAGCTTGGACAAGACGATGAAATTTATATGGGTTTCTCTGGCTCTCTATTCTGTTCCATTTGATCTATTTGTCTCTTCTTTCACCAATACCATACTATTTTGATTACTGTAGCTTTATAGTACATCTTGAAGTGGGGCAGTTTGGTTCTCCAATTTTGTTCTCCTTCAATATTATATTGGCTATTCTGGGACTTCTGCCTCTCTATATAAACTTGAGAATCACTTTAATATCCACAAAATAGTTCGCAGGGATTTTTTTTTTTTTTTTTTGAGATGGAGTCTCACTCTGTCTCCCAGGCTGGAGTGCAGTGGCACAATCTTGGCTCACTGCAGTATCCACTTCCCAGGTTCCAGCGATTCTCCTGCCTCAGCCTCCCAAGTAGCTGGGATTACAGGTGCACACCACCATGCCCGGCTAATTTTTGTACTTTTTGTAGAGACGGGGTTTCACCATGTTGGCCAGGCTGCTCTCAAACTCGTAACCTCAAGTGATCTGCCCACCTCAGCCTCCCAAAATGCTGGAATTACAGGCAAGAGCCACCAAACCCAGCCCAATTTGCTGAGATTTTGACCAGGATTACACGGAATCTACAGATTGAGTTGGGAAGAATTAATATCTTGGCAACATTGAGTCTTCCTATCCATGAACATAAAATAGCTCTCCATTTATTTGGTTCTTCCTTTATTTTGTTCATTAGAGTTTTGTAGTTTTCTTCATGTAAATCTATACCTAAGTATTTCATTTTTTGAGTGCTAATGTAAATGGTATTATGTCTTTAATTTCAAATTGCACTTGTTCATTGTTGGTATACGGGAAACTGATGGACTTTTTAATATTAACCTTGTAAGAATTATTTAATACAACCTTGCTATTAATATAATCCCTTATTAGTTCCAGTATTATTTTGTTGTTGATTCTTTCAGATTTTCTACACAAACGATCATGTCATCTACAAAGATAGTTTTATTTATTTCTTCCCAACCTGCATACATTTTATTTCCTTTTCTTGTATTATTGCACTAGCTAAGACTTCTAATATGATGTTGAGAAACAGTGGTGAGAGGAAACATCCTGATTCCTGATCTTACTGGAAAGTTTAGAGTTTCTCATTGTTAAGTAAAATGTTAGGTGCATGTCTTTTTTGTAGATTTTTTTTTAATCAAGTTGAGGAAGTTTCCCTCTCTTCCCAGTTACCAAAAGTTTTTTTGATAAACAGGTGTTGATAAACAGGAGTCAAATTCTTTTTTTGTATCTACTTATAGGATCATGTGATTTTTCTTCATTAGCTTGTGGATATGATAGATTATACTAATTGATTTACAAATGTTGAACCAGCTTTGCATACCTGAGATTAATCCCACTTGGTTGTAATGTATAGTCCTTTTTATACATTGTCAGTCAAATTTGATTTGTTAATATTTTTTGAAAAATTTTGCATCTGTATCTGTGAGAGTTGTTGGCCTGTAGTTTCTTTTTTGTAATGTCATTGTCTGGTAGGCAATTAAAAAGATCAGAATTTTCCCTTGTTTCCTCATCCTTTTGTTCTGTGTTGCTATAAATAAACCAGAAAGATGCCATGTACTTAAGTAATGTCCTGGCATTTTTTCTTCAGGAAAACCCTGCTTATGAAGCCAGGGAAGTGACAGAAGGCTGGTGACTCAATCTAGGATTTGCGAGGTGGCCTCACAGGTCTGTTCTTTAGCTTTAAATACCTCTGGTGTAGGATTTTATCATCCATTTGTTCCATGTGAGGCAACATTATGAAACTGACTCAGATGAATCAAACTCATAGCAGACTAAGTCACCTTACAGAGTGCTTATTTATCAATTTATAATGAGCTGTGTGTCTTTCCAATAACTAGCCCATTTATATGTGCCATCCAGGATATTCCTTCTTGAGTATCATGCCAGAAATAAAGCTCACAGTTTTCAGATGCATTCTGTACACAAGGATATATTTGTTACATTACATACATTATTTCCATTTAGTCCTCACTCTAACCTTGTGAGGTGTTATCCTCATTTAGCAGATGAGAAAATCAGTGTTTACAGAAGCTGAATAAATTACTCAAGCTTACAAATCCAGTGAGAGAGAGAGTCAGAACTTCCTGGCTTCGATACCTGTGAGTCTTCTACTACATTGAACTTCATGGGCACAGAACTGGACACAGAGATGGTCTCACACAAGATTCACGTTACAGTGGAGTTCAAGAGTTAGGAAAGGTCTCCCCCAGGAAATGACTTTCTGTCTGAACTCTGAAAGAAGAATGTGGACAGGTGAAGAGCCAGGTGAAAAGTGTGGGCAGTGGGAACAGCATGTATAATAGGAACAGCATGTACAGTGGTCCTGAGGTGGCAAACTTATTGGTGAACTTGAGTCACCAAGTCACTGCAACCCACTGAGCATGGGTAAGGAGCCTAACATTAGAAAATTAGCAAAGGAAAAGGAGCAGGAGGACTGAGATGAAATTTCCCAGTTTACAGTTGAGACCCTTTTGGAGCTAAGCTGGTCCAGCTGCTAGTATTAGACTATTATTTAGGGTGGGCAGATAGGCTATCAGAAACCTCTAAATTTTCTGTCTTCATATAAACCTCTGCGATGTTCCAGTGCCTTAAATTATGTGGATATTTTTTCCAACATGGTTGGCCTTCTTATTGGAGATTTGCTTGTGGGGGAATAGCTAACTGGGCTACAACTGTTTATTTTTCTTACAATACTGCATTATCTATAGTCTCCAAGGTTGTCTACAACTTGAATGCCCATTGGAATCAGCTGGAGAGGTTGTTTAAAAATATGTTTATTTGGCCCCCAACCTGACTGACAGAAGTGTCAGCATTTTTTTTTTTTTCACAAGCTCTACAAGCTATTCCTACGCAGCTGGCCTGACTACTTCTCAGAATGTCCATGCTCTGGGGCAGGTTCAGTGGGATGTCACACAGTGTCAGACAGGTGGGTGACAGCAGCACAAATCTTAAGCAAGGTTCGTGTTTCCCACCTAATGGTGGTGCAGGGCAGAGAATCTGTCTTATCTTCCCTGGATAAGGAGGACAAGCATGTTGTGTATGTTCACTTCCCTTCCTTTCATCAGGACTGGGCTCACCCATTGAATCAATTGGCTAATGATAGCTTCAATAAAGTGCTGGCAGCGATATTGAGAAATGGTCATTGTACTCAAAAAGCTTCTTTACTATGCATTTCATCAATTCTAAAATGCACTAACATAAAATAACATTTTTTCACATTTTAATATCTCAGGAATGGGATTGTGACTGAAAGTTGACTGTATCTTAGTATTTGTTACAATGCAACTGAGAAGTGTTCTTCTCTTTCTTAGTGGCATGTAAAAGAATGATGCCACTTAAAATCAATGCCATCTTCAAATTAGTTAAATATAGTTGTTAAAAAAGAAAAAGAAATACAAAAAGTTGAAAACAGTAGTTGAAAAATCAATGACATCTTCAAATCAGTTAAATACAGTAGTTGAAAAAGAAACTACATGTTTGTGTAAACAGAAAGCCAAATGAGCCTTGCTCATGCTGTTGCCTCTACATGGGTAATTCTGTACCTCTGCTTCACCAGTTCAATTAATCTATTACAACGCAACCCAAACGTCCCTCCTCTAGGAAGCCCTCTTTGTCACCCCAGTCTTACCACTCAGTCTGGGTTCAAAGTCCTTCCTCTGGGTTCATGCACTTGCCTCTGACCTATATTTATCATACTGCATTGCATTTGTCCCATGGTTGGTCCGTTTCTTGCCTACCAGGTGGTGAGCTCCTTGAAAGCAGAGATGCAATTGTACACCTCTGTTTTCCTAGTGCCTAGCACAGAGCCTGACACATAGTAGAAGTTCAATAAATGTTCGTTGAATGAATGAACGATGAAGGATTGAATAGGGTGTATGTGTTTTGTACCATATGTAATGCCACAGGAGTTCAGAAGAAAGGCAGAGCCCAGGGCTGAATAGACCAGGGAAGATTTTCTTAAGGGAATGGCGTATGAGCTGTTCTGGTGAGATAGCCAATGAAATCACTCATGGGTATCATGAAGAATGAGAAAGGGGCAGAGCTAGGACCCTCATCTCTCTCTCTCTCTCTCTCTCTCTCTCCTTTTTTTTTTTAGACGGAGTTTTGCTCTTTTGCCCAGGCTAGAGCGAAGTGACACGATCTCACCTCACTGCAACCTCCACACCCCAGGGTTCAAGCAATTATTCTGCCTCAACCTCCCGAGTAGCTGGGGTTATAGGTGCGTGCCACGATGCCCGGCTAATTTTTTTTTTTTTTTTTTTAAGTAGAGAAGGGGTTTCACCATGTTGGCCAGGCTGGTCTCAAACTCCTGACCTCAGGTGATCTACCTGCTTTGGCCTCCCAAAGTGTTAGGATTACTGGCACGAGCCACCATGCCCGGCCAGAGCCCTCATCTCTCTACTGGGTAGATCCTGTGGCAATTGTTACCTAGCTGGATTTTGTGTTTGAATTTTGGGAGGCGATGAGGTTTCATTCATCATTGCCCTTAGTAATTAACTCTGGTTGCTGGAAAAATAGACTCTCAGATTCAGAGGAAAAAGTAGTTCAATCCTCAGTGAGCTGTCACAGGAAGTCCTGAATGTACTTAGTTTTTGTGGTTTAGCCCTCAGAGCTTCCTGCCAGAGTGTAACAAGGTTTAGCAAGTCTAAGAAGCCAAGGAGAAGGCGGGCAGACAGGACCACAGACAAGGCACCAGCATTTCAAAGCAGGTGCCTTCTCACCACCTATTGTTTTAGAACTCTAACTGAAAACTATTTTTTTCTCCCCACTTCCCTCAAAGTACAGCTGCATGACTGCTAGCTGGGGATGGGGTCTGACCTTTTAATCATAGTCATTTAAGACACTTAAGATTTGATTCAACTGAGTTGTCTCTTAGCCTATCTTTTTGTATGTCATCTGATGAGTTCATGACACCTCCAGTATCCATAGATTCCCTTGTTTTGAAGGATGACAGTACAGGTCATTATGACCGTGTCTGAACAGTCAAGAAAGTAAGACCTAAAATGTTAAGTTTTCTGGTGACTCCTGTTAACGTTTGTGCATGGAGGCTTTAATTCATTATGGAAATCTACAAATAGGTTGTTGGACCCAGCTTTGCAGCTGAGACCTGGGGAGCATGTTCGGGTCATTCTGGTGAGGACTAAGGAGGTCTCAGCCGGATTGAGTTGACTGAATTTGATCCTGCTGTCACACCAGCGAGGCTCTTTCTTATTCGGCAGCTTCCTCTCCTCGACACTGGGATCCTTCACACAATGAGCAGACACGGGTCTAGTCAAAGCTTTTATTTCACTTTTACTCACAGGATGGTGGGCAAGTGTCCACCAGGGCACATAAGAAACTCCAGAGTCTCTTAAGCAGATAGGCTGCTTGTAGTGAGACCCAGGCACACCAATCACTTGATTTATCGCATCTACACATGACCTGAGAGGGGACAAGAAATCTCTAAGATTTCTGTGCTCGGTCCTCTACCATTCTTGCAATCACACTTATATTGCTTCTCCTTACTGGTGTGATGGAGCTCTCTGAGGAGACCAAAAACTCCAGATGTTGACCACATGGCTGAGTTCGAAGATGCAGAGGTGGCTGTGGCCCACAGCCTCAGGAGGTGACAATGTTCTGCACACAGAAAACACCTCATGGAAGTACGGATATGCACATCAGGAGGGCAGAAATCCACAGTGCTTTTTATTGAAAAAGACAGTTTCTATCTTTTTTAATTAGAGGAAGGGGACAATGAGTTTTCTGCTGCCCCATGGGGAGGTTTTGGCTGAACTCGAGGTCTGGGGAGGGGCGGGCCTTTCTGCTGGTGAACTTGTGTGCCCGACGGAGCAGGAGGCCTCTTCTGAGGCTGGTGCTGAACACGGTGTCCAGGAGGCGGGGGACGATGACTAGGTGCCTGGGAACGATGACCAGGTGGTGGAGGAGGATGTTGGGAAGTTGCTGGATTCTGAGGGGTTGAAGCTGGAATTTGGTGGGGCTTCCGGCCCCTTTCTTCAGTAGCTACTCTGTGGGCTCTTGTCTCCAGCTCCTCATCTGCAACAACAAAACCTCAATAGAGTTCATCTTGGCCAGGTGAAATCAATGTAAATATTGAGTACCTTTTATATGCAAGGCGCCATGCTAGCTGCTTTGGGGGATGCAATGAGGAAGCAGAAGTTGCCCCTACTATCTGAGAACTCTAAGCTTGTAGGAGAGAAAGAAGTGCTCACCATAAGGTAGAGTGAAAGCCTAGGACAAGAGAACTCAAGGAATCAGCAGGAAGAAGACACATGGGTGGAGGGCTTTGTGCCTGGGGCTCCCATGATCAGAGAGAGCACGCAGACCTGGAACCCTACCTCTGTGCTGACCTAGAAATTGTTCCCTGAGAGCAAGAACCTCATGGTTAGAGCGCATGGGAAGGGGTTATGAGCAGTCATGGAGGATATTAGTAACTACATTCCTTCTGAGGCATTTCTATGTTAGATCTGCCTTTCCCCCAATTCTACTGTCATGCAATCCACCTTCCGGCAAGAGGTTGGAACACATGCAAGGAACTTTTTGTCCTTAGAAATTTACTCGCTTCTCAGAAATTCAAGACCTATGTTCTTGGCCTTAGGAGGGAAAGAACTCCTCCTCTCCTCACCCTTCAGGATTTTCTTCTTTGTGTGACTTCAGTCCATGAAAGCAGGCCTACAGCTACTCGTAATGTAGTTTTTCCTGTACTCTTAAAATCACAGGGAATCTGTGAAGGTGCCCAGCTGCTAGAGGCCTGGAGCACCCTGCTGGCCCCTCTGGACTCCTTTAGGCTGTAAGTTAGGTATTTCAGTCCCTGCACCCAAGGCCGTCTTTGCAGTGGCTCCAGAGGGAGGTAGGAAGAGAAGTTTTTCCCTGGGGTGAAATAATTACCTCTTTTTTTTTTTTTTTTTGAGTTGAAGTTTCACTCTTGTTGCCCAGGCTAGAGTGCAATGGTGCGATCTTGGCTCACTGCAGCCTCTGCCTCCCAGGTTCAAACAATTCTCCTGCCTCGGCCTCCTGAGTAGCTGGGATTACAGGCGTTCACCACCACGCCCGGCTAATATTGTATTTTTAGTAGAGATGGCGTTTCTCCATGTTGGTCAGGCTGGTCTCGAACTCCCGACCAGGTGATCTGCCTGCCTTGGCCTCCCAAAGTGCTGGGATTACAGGTATGAGCCACCGCACCCAGCTGAAATAATTACCTCTTACATCTTTATGGAGATGTGTGGCTGGGGAAGCACAAGCCCTCTCTAAGCATCACCCTGTAACTTCCGGATGTTGATTCAAACCAGATGGCCTCCTCTGACTACATGAAATGTGAGCATCAGATGGCTTTGAGTGTAGAGTCAAAGTTAGACAATGTGATTTTGATACCTAAATGGCTCGTGTGCTCTAAGCACAAAGAGGAAAGGGCCTCCAGAAAGGACAAAACACATCCTCTATGCCATCTTCCGTGCCCTGCAGTCATTGCTTAGGTTATGTCCAGTAGACTGTGGAGAGGGCTCTAACCCCTGGCCCTAGTTCTGAATTATGGGGCAGTGGGTGGTCCTTCTTCATCTCCTATGTGGCAAGCTTGCACTGGCCATTGGTTTACTACTCTGTTCACCCACTATTTTTGTTTTTTATTTGTTTTGTTTTTTTGAGACAGGGCCTTGCTCTGTTGCCCAGACTGGAGTGCAGTGTGTGATCGTATCTCACTGCATTCTTGATCTCCCGGGCTGAAATGATTCACCCACCTCAGCCTCCTGACTAGCTGGGACTACAGGCATACACCAATGCACCCACCTAATTTTTAAGTTTTTTTTTTAAAGTAGAGACCAGGTCTCACTATATTGCCCAGGCTGGTCCCAAACTCCTGAGCTCAAATGATCCTCCTGCCTCGGCCTCCCAAAGTGCTGAGATTACAGATATGAGCCACCACACTTGGCCCATACACCATTTGGTTCATTTGTCCTTCCAACATTTATTCCTCATCTTCCAAGTGTTAAGTGTCATTGTGACTTAGACACAAATTGTCCTCAGGAAGCCTAAAATCAAGTAAGAGGCAAACAAGAACTGAAAATCGCAATGTCAATTTCTGTGAAGAGCCCAGGGCCACCAGAAAGTGTAGACAGAGGCACATGAGCTCTGGTAGGAGGAATGGGGTGTAGCCACATGGCTGAGACTGCAGGCAGGGTTGGACAGACAAGGTTGGCTACGGCTCTGTGCACCCTGCCTGGTTCAAGCAGGACAGTGGGTCCTCAGCCTACCCACTCCAGCAGCTGCAGCTGGCGCCTAAATGTGTGCTCCCAGGAATTCCTCCAGGCTCATTGTCCTTCTCCCTTGTTTGCATCTCCTGGTTACTCAACCCAGGGCATGACTGGAATGAGGCAAGCGAGGCTGACAGGCATGCAGTTTAAAGACACACCAACTTTCAGGTTGTGCAAGGGCAGGCCAGCCTCCTTAAATTCTATGCCTTAAATTCTGGGCTCCTTGCCTCGGCCTAGGCCTGAGTCAACCTACTGGCCATAGGATTTAAGGCAAATAATTGAACCTCACTGAACTTAAGCTTCCTCATCTGTGTTGTTATCTATCTCCTAAGATCACTCTGAAAGCTGGATGCACTAATAGACATAAAACACAGAGACTAACGACTTTTTTATCAGCATGAGCTAACCATCATTCTTCTCAGCCTGGTGATGGCAGAGATTGCCTTGTCTTGGGGTGACAAGTGAGGTCCACCTTGGAAGAAGATATGGTCTTTGACCATTAGTCAATGGAGAAGGAGCATGGAGAGGAGCATGGAGAACAGCCAGAGCTGGGCACAGAGGAGGATAAGCCAGGCATGCCTAAGGGCCCTGCCAGCGATTCTGCTGTGCTGTGGTGGAAAGTGTGGGACAGTCGTGGTGGGAAGAATGGGACTAAGTTCAGGATGATGTTTCGGGGCCTGGGCTGGGGGTAGTGACGTGATGGGACGTGGGGCTGAGGGACCGCAGCCTGATGGGGAGGCAGAAGGAGAACTGAGGAAGAAATCTGAGGTAAAGAAGCCAAATCCAGAGGGCACGGGGCCCAAGGCCACCGGTGCCTGGGGAAGTTTGGACCACCTCCCTGGGCAGCACTGGAAGCAGCTGGTGTGGCTGTGCCTGCCGGTTCTAGGGAGAGACCAAGTCCTGCTGTGAACGTGAATTGCAGAGAACCCCAGGGCCTGTTCCCTTGGCTGCAAGTCCCGCCAATGGCTGACACCCTCATCTGTGCCCCCCACAGTGACCCCGGGTTGGCCATTCTCTGAAGTGTTCTGCCTTGGGTGGCCTGGATGCTCCCTAAGCCGGCTCCCCACTTGCAAGCATAACCTTTTCATTGCTGATAGATTGTCAGACAGGCCTGATCTGAGGAAAAACTCTCAACCCTAACACATCCCTCGAACAGAGAATTAGCAAAGGGGGCACAGGCACCCTGCTTTAGAACAGCTGTTTTCCTGTGACTACCTGATGACCTGAATGATTTTCCCTGTGTTTCTAGGAGCTTGGTCCTGAACTCACCTTGGGCCACCCATAGATAGGACATTTATTCCTAGAAACGGTGTTTTGGAGCTAACCTTTCTGCCTATGTAGAGAAGTGTGGCTCATTCAAAAGATGTTCACATTAGCCTGTCACCAAGTAGGCCTCAGTGGTGGATTCCAATGAGGCCAACTGGATTCAGTGTCTCAAAGCTCCCACATTGTCACCACTAAGAATTTGTTTTTCAAAAATCAAGCTAACCACAAAATGAAACAAGCTATAACCGCTGACTACAACCCTGACATTCCGAAACTACCTATTTCCATCATTTTCTCTGCAGATTCAAGGTGTCATCCCCATGAGCTGTTTCATGGGGATTTTGCTGGGGCCTGCGGTGGGACAAAAGAGGGGGAGCTTACCATTTCTCCGACTCCTCTGTTTTTTCCTTTTGGTGATATAGAAAACGAGCAGTGCCACAAAGACCATCAAGAGGCTGCCTCCTCCACATATGCCAATGATGAGATAGATGTCCAGACCTTTCTCTGCAAAAGGAAGAGAAGTGGGATGGCTGGGAGGGGTCCAGGCAGAGAGCCCATTACTCTGGCCAAGGATGCTGCCTCCTGCATCAAGCAGATAGAAGAGCTTGTTGGGACCTTTCACCCCATAACTCCCAGGCTCACAGAGGGTGGTGAGTGGTGTCAACCCTGGAAGGACCCAAGGTCCTTGGGAAGCTCCCTCTGCAGGCTCTTTGGGAAACTGCTCTCAGGGGCTAGAAATGCCTGATTGTTCATGCACCAAGGCCGGCCTGCCCACTGCCCCCGTCATGGAAAGCATCACGAAATTTTAGATCCGAGGATCTTAGAGATACTCTAAATGCAACCTCTAGCTTCAAACATGAGGCCCTGAGAGGGAGAATGAGTTGCCCGAAGCCACACAATATCTGTTCCTGAGCATTTCCCTTAAGCAGCCCCTTGTCTCGGTGTTTCTGCACTGTTGATCCTGCTCTCGTCTCTGGCTACCCCCACTGCACCATGATTCCTTCTCACTGTCTCTACCAGGCAGTTTCCAAACACTCAGGGTAAATATTTCACTTGTCCAGCCCAGCACTCTGACCTCACGGCCAGCACCCTCTCACAGAGTTTCCCTGGAGCCACGAGAGAAACCCGGGTGCACAGTGCGTTAGTAACAGCAGTGGGCTTAGTCTTCAGTTGCTGGACCTTCAGTCACTGTAATGCAATGAGGAAAACAGTGACTTTGGTGTTAAGGGAAATGGGTTTGGTCTAGGCTTTTTTAGGCAGGAGCTGTGTGAACTTTGGAGAGTTACTTCACCTCTCTGAGCCTGTTTCCTTCTTTGTAAAGTGGAGATAATGAAACCTACATCATAGGGTGGCTGTTGGAAGTCAATCAGATAATGGATATGAAAGTGCTTTGTAAACTGTAAAACAACACAAATGTGAGGTCTTGCTCTTACTAGTGTTCTCGCACTGGTGTTTCTGGGAGCTGTTTCCCAGCAACAGGGGAAACAGGAGGGGTTCTAGGGCTGTCTGCCCTTTGTGAGTCAATAGCAGTTAGAAAAGCAGCAGTGGGGCTCGGGTCAGGGGACGGGGTCATCTGAAGAACAAACTGGAACTTGGCCCAGCATCACAAAAGAAATGCTTCTCCAGGCAAAAACATACCAGGGAGACACTGTTATACATGAAGCCCAGGATGGGCCCCAAGGAGAGGGTCAGAGGCTCAGAAACCAAGTTTAACAGATCATCAAACTGTGGTGGTTTATTCATCTTGGCTTTCTTTCCTCGAGTCTCTCTCTGACCCATTCTTTGCCTGCCAGTTACACAACTCTCTAAGCTCTACTGATGAAGAGGCCTCCACCAGAGAAGCAGACATAATCTTAAACCATTGAAATTGGGTCAGTAAAGGATTCAGGGCCCTTTAGGCCCTGCTGGCTTGGACGAGGGGCAGGAGATACCAGAGGCCACTTCCTGCTGAGCTTGAGAACTTTTCAGATTTGACCCGGGGTGGGGCAGGGCAGGCCTGAAATGCTTTGGGGAGCACATGGCTAAGTCATGCAGCCACCAGCTCCATCTTCCCTCCAAGTCATCGGGTAGGGTGGCCACAATTTTATCTTGGGCACATGCAGGAATGTAGGCAATGCCTTACACAGCCTGCTCTCCAGTTTGTCCAGGGTGGTGCCCTGGGGCACCTGGTAGTACTTTTGGTGGGGAATGTTCCATCATGTTTCAGAAGCAGCGGTGGCACTGTCAGTCAAAAATATGCCCTCCCAGTTCCTAAATCCAGGCATACTATCTTCCAACAGTATCTCTTGGAGATCACATGCCCATGAGTTTATGTGACAAATTATTTTTGTGCATCTGAATCTGTTCCTTCCTCCTAGTATTTTGATTTTAAGTATGTAAACACTCACCTAATCTGAGCCAAATGGTCAGACTCTGACCATTGCTCCTCTCTGCCTTGGCCTTTCAGAATAAAACTTCCAAATCCCTTTTCGGGTCTTCAAGAGCAGCTCCTCCACCCTAATCTCTCCCCAGGTATTCTTCCCATCTCCCTAGTGGTCCTTCTCGCAATGAGCTTCTGCTCTGCACCATAGAGTAAGGGACATAAGTGTTCCAGCCTTCAAACCTTGGCTGCTCCCAAGGTCCTCCCTCTCTCCCTCCTTCCATCCCTAATACACACACATATTTATACTTGTGGGCTCCAGTTAAAATAAACATGAAAAGTAGGGTTGCCAGATATAATGCAAAACACCCAGTTAAATTTGAATTTCAGATAAACAATGAAAAATTTCTTGCATAAGTATGTTCCATGCAATATCTGAAACGTACTTATGCTGTATTTTTATTTGCTATATCTGGCAACTCTAATCAAAGATCTCCCGAGGCCACTGCAGTGACTCATGCCTATAATCCCAGCACTTTGGGAGGCTGAGGTGGGAGGATAGTTTGAGCACAGGAGTTCGAGACCAGCCTGGGCAACAGAGTGAGACCTTATCTCTACAAAATTTTAAAAATTAGCTGGGTGTGGTGGCATGCTCCTGTAATCTCAGCTACTGGGGAGGCTGAGGTGGGAGGATTGCTTGAGCCTGGGAGGTGGAGGCTGCTGAGAGCTATGATCATACTACCACACTCCAGCCTTGGCAACAGAGCAAAACCCTGTCTCAAAAAAAGTTGCGAAGTCAAGGAGAGGCAACTTCACTTACTGTGCCTTAGTGATGGGGGAATGTGGGAGGATGACTGGTGGGAAAACCGGGGGTGAAGTGATGCTGGTCAAGTTGGTGATTGGCAGACTCTCAGATGCCTTCAATGACCCCTGCTTCCTGGTATTCTCACCTATGTGCAATCCCCTCTGATTGAATGTGGGCTAGACTTATTAACTTGCTTCTAATGAACAGAACACAGCAGAAGTGATTGGGATATTACTCCTGAGATTAAGTTACAAAAAGACCACGACTTTTGTCCTGGGCACTTATTCCTGCTCTTTCTTAGAGGGCTCTGAGGGAAGCTAGCTGCCATATTGTGAGGCAGCCCAACGGCCCACATGAATGAACTTGGAAGTGGATCCAAGAGCCTACTCATCTAATAGTCTGTGAACATGGTGCTTATTTTCTTTGTGGGCCAGGAAGCTGAAGCCTAGAGAGGGGAAGAAACTCTGTCAAGATTCTCTGGCTAAATTTGGACAGACCCAAACTAGAAGTCCAGACCTCTACTCCCAGGCGAGAGCTTGGGCACTATAGAAGGCTGCCTCTCAGAAATACTTCTGGAGGTCACATCAGGCTGGGACACTGGGGATCCATTATGGTCTTGGAGTTTTGAGATTTTCTGGAGCTAGTCCCCAAGCCTTGCCGTCCTGTTGTGTGCCAGGAGTGTTGCCTTGCTGTCCACAGTCCTCTTTGGCCTCAAGGGCTCCATTCCCCCATGACCCTGCCCCCCAGGGTTTCTGCAGCCTTTCTACCTTTACTCCTGATGGGAGGTGCTGACCACTAACCATCTTTAGGGGAGCAGTTGGAATCATGTCACTAACTAGCCAAGGGACCTTGGGCAAGTCAGTTTCCCTCTCTGGAAAATGGGGCTTTGCATGAGATACTCTCTACAGCTCCTCCTTCTTCAGTTTTGCAATTCTTTCTCCTAGAAGAGGATCTTTAAAATTTCTTGTGGTCAAATTGTGCTCAGTGGGAGGACTCCCAGGATGGAAAACCATAGAACACCACCTCCCCTGATGCTTCCCTTGAAGGTTTCCAGGAGGAAGAGATATGCTTTCATGCCTCATCCTGAGCCAGGGCTGCCTCCCAGCATGAGCACCTGTGACCTGGAGCAGCATGCCTCTGCCTACTGAGGGCCTGGCAGGCTGTGTTTGTGAAGTGATGCCCGCCACGCACCTGGACAGCTGACAGGCTCGACACTGGATTCCTTGCTGACTTTGTTCCCTGCTGTGCACTTGAATTTTGCACTCAGGCTGGTGGTCCACTTGTGTGTGATGACCCTCTGAGAAAGTTTTAGATGTTTCCCATCTTGATACAGGTTTAATTCGGGGTCAGTTCCATTCATTACCTCACAGGTCAGGGTTGTGTTGATACAAGTCCAGGAGATCTTTGGTTTTGAGACCCTCTCTAAAAAGAAAGTAAAGATTCAGTTCAATTTAGGCAATTTTCTGATTTTAATAAACATATCTATTTATACAGTGGGGGATGGAGTCAGTTAGGGACAAGGGAACAATGTCAAAGACCTCTAGCAACTTTTGGAAATTATTTTATTTTATTTTATTTACAAAGAGCATTCAGAAAAAAATTATTTCTGATGACATTCACAGATACATTATGCCACTAAATAGTGTATCATATGTAATGTTTATATGCTGTCTTATACCTTAAAATGCTTTCACATATATGACATCACTTAACCCTAACAGACAGGCTGATGTTTTTCTTCCCATTTACAGACAAAATGTTCAAGGCTCTGAGAGGTCCAGTAGGTGGTCTTGGGGCACCACCTAAAACATGGCAGTCAGGGTTTAGGAGTATGGGTAAGAAAGTGCCTCCAGAGTTTGAGAAAGGCAATGCTTTAACAGCAGCCAGGAACCCCATCCTGGAGGAATCACCACATTGACATGTGACTGGGGACCTTGGATACCTCTGCCCCCACCAAGTTCCTGGAGCAGTGGGCCAGGTGGGTATATGTGAGTGTGTGGGTGTCCAAGGAGCTCAAAGCTCTAGGGAAAAAGAGCACCTGCCTGGGAACCAGAGACTTGATTCTGCCTTTTCCCAGCCCAGAGCTGCTCAGTTGCTCACAGGGTCTACGCTGGCCCTCCTCAGAGCATCAGAAAAGGATCAGAAAAACATACCCTACCTGTCACAAAAGGAGCAACATGTGGCAAAGCCCTGGGCAGATCGTTAGGCACTGACATTATTAGTGGTAATTCATGCATTCGATAATCACAAACCTCTTGCCTCTCCCGCACAGAGATTGCACCACAAAAGGAAAATGCCTAGGCCTAGCATTAGATGGCTCAGGTCTACATCTTAGCCCCATCACTTCCTAGCTGTGTGAACTTTTCCTTTTCCTCGTCTTCTGTTTTTTTTTTTTCTCATTCTTTACTTTGTTCCCCCCAGACTTGCCACTTTTCCCTCTCAGTTTCTCTCCATTCATAATATAGATGGACTAGCTTATTTTTCAATGATTCCCTCCCACTCTGACTTCCAGACACCAATATTTTCCCCATGGAACACCATAGTCAAACTTCATTTATGTCCCGATATATATAGGCATGCAGAAATTAAATTAAAAGTTTTCTTCTCATCCCAAGATTCTGCGTTACTGAGAAGGAAGAAAATGGAAATTATCAACATTCAGCAACAGAGTTAGTACATAGTCTAGAGGTTGGGTCACGAAGTTTGCCCGTCTCTTCAGAATGGAAATATTTTTTTTCTACTTATAACAGCAACACAGTAACATGATTGTGGTGATGGTTGCAAAACTCTGAATATACTAAAGGCCGTTTTAGTGTATGGACAAATTGAATGATAGGTGAATTATCTCAATGAAGCTGTTTAGAAAAAAAAGAAAAGGTCATCATCCTTGCCAAAAAGACCTCTGAGTTTGAATCCTGACTTTGCTCCTGTCAAGCAATGAGACCTTGGACAAGCTGCTTCTGACTAGGTCTCTGTTTTCTTATATATAACAAGGAGATAATAACAACTAGGTCTCAGTATTGTTGGGCGCTTTAAATAAGATCATGTAAGCAAGCACTTGACCCCTAACTGGTAGCCATTATTTCCGCCGCAATGCTAAATGTGACCCAAATGTGAAAACACCAACATGGTCCCCCATGTAGGGCTCACACTCAAAACAGGACACTCGAGTTCTGTGCTGTTTGGAGTCCTGAGATCTGTGGTTTCCAGAGCCCATAATCAGAGGCTCTTTTCAGCGCCATGCTCAACCCCACTACATTTCTACAAGGTGCTCTCCACTCAAGGTTGCAGGACTAGGGTGTGGAAAGTTGTCACTTCAGGGGAGCTGACAGTGTCTGGGATTGCTGGAGTGGGCAATCTGACACTATCTGGGATTGCTGGTAGGCCCAGGTGCTGAAGATGGGGCTGGAGACAGAGAGGAAGAAGGTGGGGTCCCTGCTTCTGGCGACATTTTCTGTGTGAAGCACAGAAATGCTTATTTGCTCACTGAATGGCTGGCCTGTGCTCATGCTGGGGTTCCTGTCTTCCTCCCCAAGCCAGCTTCCTCTTTTCCCTTCTTATCACTCCCTGCCCAGCATCCGTGGGCTTTCAACTCCAATCATTGTACAAGCTGATAAAATATTTTTAAAAGTTTAAAGCAGATTAAAAATTACCCACAACGCCACCACTCAAAGTCAATAATGAATAATATTTTCATGTATATCTTTAGCAGATATTTTCTATTTATATGTATATATATAAATAATATAATATTTCAGCTGGGAGAGGTGGCTCATGCCTGTAATCCAGCACTTTGGGAGGCTAAGGTGGGCGGATCTCTTGAGGCCAGGAGTTCAAGAGTAGCCTGGCCAACATGGTGAAATACATCTCTACTAAAAATATGAAGATTAGCCAGGTGTGTTGGCATGCGCCTCTAATCCAAACTACTCAGGAGGCTGAGGCATGAGAATTGCTTGAACCCAAGAGGCAGAGGCTGCAGTGAGCCAATATTTCACCACTGCACTCCAGGCTGGACGACAGAGTGAGACCCTGTCTCTTTCTGTCTGCCTCTCTCTCTCTCTCTCTCTCTCTATATATATATATGTAATATTTTAAAAATTAAAACTAATTTATGTGATCTTACAGTCTGCCTTTTCCCCTTTATTGTGAAATTATATTATGAAGTTCTTTTCTTAATGAACATCAATAAATGCATATATGCATCTTTTTAAAGGATGCATTCTTAATTTAACTGATTAATAAGTTTCTAACTGCTGACTGTTCTAGTATTTCGCTAACATGAATAATGCAGTGATGGGCACCCTTGTGGAGTAGTACCTCCGTATACATTCACTAAGATAGCGTCTTAGAACTGATCCAACCTAAGGCCTTCCATGGATGAGAACTCCTTAATTCTGAGTTGCTGGGATTAACCCCTTCCCTACTAGCATCTGCTTCTAAGGGGCCCTCCATTGCCTCTTCAGCCTGCAGCAGCAACTCCCTCATGAAGGAAATGCAGGCACAACTACTGGAGTTTGAGAAGTTTGGAGGCCGGGTGCGTGGTTCACACCTGTAATCCCAGCACTTTGGGAGGCCGATGCAGGCGGATCCCCTGAGGTCAGGAGTTTGAGACCAGCCTGACCAACATGGCGAAACCCCGTCTCTACTAAAAATACAAAAATTAGCCGGACGTGGTGGTACATGCCTGTAATCCCAGCTACTTGGGAGGCTGAGGCAGGAGAATCGCTTGAACCTGGGAGGCAGAGGCTGCAGTGAGCTGAGATCATGCCAGTGCACTCCAGCCTGGGCAACAGAGCAAGATGCCATCTCAATTAAAAAAAAAAAAAAAAAAAGAGAAGCTTGGAGAAACAAAGAGATGTGGGAGGGCATTAGCACTGAGAAAACAGGCATTGTGCCCCAGGCACTGCAGGACACTTGTACACACCTTGTCTCACTGAATATCCCTTGAAGTTGTCATTGGAAAAGCAGACTCACAGCAGATAGGGAATTTGCCCAAGGCCATGGTCACCTTAAGTCTGGTAATAGTGACCAACTACAAGTTGAATCAAGATGTTGTATGACATTGACGTGCACACACATAAAGCAAGTCACTGTCTTTCGGCTAAAGGGTGAAGGGTTTCTTTTTGGGGCAATGAAAATGTTGATTGTGGTGATGGTTACAAAACTCTGAATATACTGAAGGCCATTTTAGTATATGGACAAATTGAATGGTAGATGAATTATCTCAATGAAGCTGCTTGGAAAAAAAAAGAAAAGGTCGTCATTCTTGCCAAAAAGACCTCTGAGTTTGAATCCTGACTTTGCTCCTGTCAAGCAATGAGACCTTGGACAAGCTGCTTCTGACTAGGTCTCTGTTTTCTTATATATAACAAGGAGATAATAACAACTAGGTCTCAGTATTGTTGGGCGCTTTAAATAAGATCATGTAAGCAAGCACTTGACCCCTAACTGGTAGCCATTATTTCCGCCGCAATGCTAAATGCGACCCAAATGTGAAAACACCAGCATGGTCCCCCGCGTAGGGCTCACACTCAAAACAGGACACTCGAGTTTTGTGCTGTTTGGAGTCCTGAGATCTGTGGTTTCCAGAGCCCATAATCAGAGGCCCTTTTCAGCGCCATGCTCAACCCCACTACATTTCTACAAGGTGCTCTCCACTCAAGGTTGCAGGACTAGGGTGTGGAAAGTTGTCACTTCAGGGGAGCTGACAGTGTCTGGGATTGCTGGAGTGGGCAATCTGACACTATCTGGGATTGCTGGTAGGCCCAGGTGCTGAAGATGGGGCTGGAGACAGAGAGGAAGAAGGTGGGGTCCCTGCTTCTGGTGATATTTTCTGTGTGAAGCACAGAAATGCTTATTTGCTCACTGAATGGCTGGCCTGTGCTCATGCTGGGGTTCCTGTCTGCCTCCCCAAGTCAAGCGCAGCTTCTTCTTTTCCCTTCTTGTCACTACTTCCCCAGCATCCCCCCGGGCTTTCAACTTCAATGGCATTTCGATTCCACTTTCTCTACCTTCTCTCCCTTGCCTAAGCCACCTTTCTCTATGCCTGACCCTTATTATCCTCATTCTTCCTATTTTAGAGGCACCCTTTGGTCTAGGCCAGTGGCGATTGACTTTGGCAGCTCATTAGAATCCCCCAGGGAGCTTTAGAACCTAATGATACCCAGGCCGCATGCAAAAAAAATCTGATTTAATTGGTCCTCACTCCACTTGGATTACAGCAGCAGCTTTCTAACTAGTCTCCCTAACCCCATCCTCAATATCCACTCCTGTCCTCCCAGTACAGGCAGAGATATACAAAGCCACACCTTGTGCATCTTCTACACATATCAGCAAAAATCACCTGCCACCTTGTATCACTCTGACAAGCAGATCCAAAATAAGGGCTGTTCATCCTTAAATATGTTGTTTCCAGCCCTTTTCTGCCATATAACTCCTCCTTCAGGGCAGCCTGGCTTGAAATGGGCTCTGTCGATGAAAGGCCCGCTGCTCTCCAGTCAGCCTCTTCTTCTCGCCCCACTCTTAGCTCGCCGATTCATCAGCAACCTGGAACAGTTGCCTTTTCCCTCGGCCTACCTGTGTCCCCCTCCCGATTAATGCCACCTTAATCCAGGTTCTTCACCCAACCCCACATTCCTGTAACCACCTGAAGACAGAGTTGTAGGCAGGTAGACTTGAGGGTCTATCAGATGTGTGGATCCCATTCCCGCATTGGACCACAGTCTCCACTGGGGCAGGAGACATGCATCTGGTTTCCTGTATAGCCCCCCTGGAGGCAGAGGTCAGCGCTGGGGAATATTAGAAATGCTATTTTCCAACTTGCCAAATAGCACCCACACTGAAATAAAGCAATTAAGGGAATGAACACTTACCTTGAATCTTCAAATCAAATATTTTTTCCAACACATTTTTTCCTTTTGTATCATATATTGATACCTTGTAGATATCCTGATCATCGGTCTTCAGATGCTTAATTTTCAGAGTTCCATTTTTAAATAGCTTATATGTATCTTTTTCCTTGAAAGTCTCTTTCTCTTTTCTGAATTGTGCAATCTTTTTCTTGTCTGAAGTTTTTTCCCATTTTATATCGTCAATATCATCACTCATTTGAAAACTAGGAATGTCCAAGTTGATGTCCTGACCCAAGGCACCCCAGGTTTCCAAGGCATTCGTAATCTCTTTGGAGACTGCACCTATAAAAAGCAAAAGAGTTACTGAGAGTCACTTTCAGGGAAAGCTGGGTTGGGACTTCTTTGACTCTTATGCTTACCTTTGGAAGAAACATTGAAAATCAGAAGGAAGCTGGCTACAAATTTACATGGAAAGCTCATCTTAGGGGTTGGTTTCCTCTTTTGATTCTGAGCTCTTCATGCAAAAGGAACTGAAGTGAGACTGGTGGAGTCCACACCCCGAGAGCTTAACCACGTGCCTCTCTTTACATCTTTTACAGTAACATAAAACATAATACACATACACAGAGAGCAAGAGCGCGCACAAGCCAGCCCTTCTGATGTGCTCCTTTGCCAAAGCAGATGTGTTTATGAGTGTGTGTTTTCTTGCTGCATTTTAATTCTCACACAAAAAAATTGGGAAGGATAGGTTTTCTCATCTCAGTGAAAGAGAAAAGGAACAGAGAGGCTAAGTAGATCACTAAGGATCACTCTTTTGTAAACAAGAAGCCAAATTCAACCACACAGCCTTTTATCCACTTAGGTATACTGTCCCTAACAAGACCACATAGAAATATAGGTAAATGTTCACAAGCCAATAGCAGAATGCAAACATTTATCCCATATGATTATATTGAAAAATGTAGACCCATAAAATGATGAGGAAATTGATTTTTTTGTTTCTCCAAAGATATTTTTCATGTTCTAAAATCGTTTTTGTGGTGAAAAGAAAGAAATTGAATATCAGCTGTAAATGCTTGCAATCCCCAAATCCTATGTTCGGCATACATTTTACAACTCTAGTGAAATTCACAGTTAGATAAATAAAAACTTATTCCAAAACAAAGAAGCATAGAGACTATGAAATATAATTAAACTACCAAAACAAAGGAGTCAAAAGCATTTAAAGTGATTAACATTATAGGTGGTTAAGAAAAAGGAGAGATTAGGAGAAAAAATAAATGAGAGGGAACAGGGAGAGAAAAAAAGAACAGAAATTTGTGACACAAGGAAACAGACAGTGATGCAGAGACGGGTGTGCCCTGAAAAGATGCCTAAAAAGAGAAATAACCATGACAGACTTCCAAAGCACATTTTCAGGGTTATAATTCTTTAGGTCACAGTGAGTAAAAATTGCAAAAGTGGTGCTCGTTTTCTTTTTCAACTTTAAGTACAAATATGGATATTATCTGTCAGAAAGTTGCCAAGGAAATGAAATTAAGTCAAAGCAGTTGTTTGCTGTTACTGGGTAAAAGAAAGCCAAATATTTACCTCATGGTTGTATGAGCGTCATCCACAATAATGAACTACAGTTGGATTAAAGTTTTAAATGCAAAAATACTATAATAATGCTAAAAGGAGGCCGGGGGTGGTGGATCACAGCTATAATCCCAGCACTCTGGGAGGTCGAGGCGGACCTCCTCACCTGAGGTCAGGAGTTCAAGACCAGCCTGGCCAACATGGTGAAACCCATCTCTACTAAAAATACAAAAATTAGCCAGGTGTGGTGATGTGCGCCTGTAATCCCAGCTACTCAGGAGGCTGAGGCAGGCAAATTGCTTGAATCTGGGAAGCGGAGGTTGCAGTGAGCCAGGATTGTGCCACTGCACTCCAGCCTGGGGAGCAGAGTGAGACTCTGTCTCAAAATAAATAACTAAATAAATAAAATAATAACAATAATGCTAAAAGGACAATATAGAAAGATATTCCTATAGTTTGAGTATGGAAGGCCTGGCTACATATAACATATAATCCAAAGTAAGAAAGAAAAGATGAACACAACTGATGATATAAAGAAGTAAGATTTACATGCAGATGAAGAAATAAGGAACAAAATGAAAAGGCGTGACAAAATATTTGCAATATATATAAAATTATTAATATTCAAAATATTCTTACCAATAATTCTTACCAATCAATACAAAGTAGTTTTTAAAATGGGCAAATGATATAAATGATCAGCTTGCAGAAGAAATATTTCGCAGAAGAAATATCAAACCTACAAGAGGAGTCTAATGTGACCAAAAATATATGTATATATCTTAGCTATAAAATACCATTTTTCACCATCAGATTGGTAAAATTAGAAAAGATGATAATTTACATTATTAACATGAGTGTGTGGAGAAATGAACCCTCATACAACATCAGAGGGAATGTAAATCAATACCTTCTGGGGAAAGGAATTTATCATTTCCACCAAACTTTAAAATTTATGTCTTTTTCTCACCTAGTGATTTTAATTTGAGAAATCTATCCCACAGAAATGATTGCACAGATGTTTTAAAATTCTGTTCAAGGACGTTTGTTGTAGCATTTTTGTAATAAAAAATTGCAAACAACTAAAATTATGGTATATCCATATTATGAAATATTGTATAACCATCAAAATAGTATAACATAGGCCTAAAAGTAAGACATGGAAAGATGCTTTTGGTAAATCACATGAAAAGAGCACATTGCAAAACAATATCTATAGGATTAGTCCTTTTTATATATGATACTATGTTTATACTATGCTATGGGTATACCAGTATACCATAGCATACTATGTTGTTATTAAGGTATGTGTTGGAAAAAAGCCTGAAAGGGTTGATGCTGAATTTTTTTACAGTGCTTGTCTTTCAGGTATTAGATTGTGAGAGAACTGAAATGAAATTTTCACTTCTTACCTTTGTAAACCAAAAAGAATTTGAGACAGATCTCAATCAATTTAGAAGTTTATTTCATCAACATTAGGGACAAAAAGGAACACAGAACCACAGGAAAAATCTGTGGTTTGTGCCTTTTTCTCAAGATTATTTCAAAACCTTCAGTTAAGGGGAAAAGCTGGCCAGAGGGGAAGGAGGGAGGGTACAGTCACATTACTGAATCCATATGTTGCAAGAGAAAAAAAGTAGGTAGGGGAATGGTCAATTTGTATTCTTCTCATGCTCAGTAAATTGGCACTTTCTTAAGATAAGGTGAACATAGAGTAGCTACCCGTGGAGACAGCAGCTTTTTATCTGTAACTCTCTGCTTAGGAACTCAAGGAAAGGCAGTTTCTTGTGTGACTCAACTTTCAGCTTAATTTTTCCTTTTGGCATAATGAATTGGGGTCCCAGGATTTTATGTTTCTTTCACATTTTATTTATTTCTGTGAAGTTTAAAATTTTGGAAATAAGCACCTTTTTTGTTAATAAAAAATGTCTTTTTAAGAAAGGATGCTTAGGGCACACGTATTTTTTCAAAAGTATCGCCAACCCAGAGGAGCAGCATGGAGCTTCCTGTTTGTGAGTGGCTGACCCACCAGCTGCCATCCAACTCCAGTGTGTCAAGGCCTGGTGGAGAGAAGGTGGCGCCAGCCATCCTCTGACCCATCTCAGCTTTGGAGGGCGCTTGTCCTCTCTTCCTCACACTTTCCTCATGGAGCATGTGAAGAGCAGCTTTCTGTTCCTCTATTTGAAACATTAATTTTGCTCCTCTAAAACTAATTCAATTCTGAGTGATGAGCATGGCTTCAAGGGCAGAAACAATGAAAAAGAAAGAGGTCAGTAGATTTGACTCTGTAAAATGTGAAAACTTTCTATGTAAAAAGCCATAAAAAAATTAAAGACAACGTACTAAAAGGAGCAAATTACTTGCAAGATACATGACAAAGGCATAACAATTTTTTTTTAATTTTAGAGACAGGGTCTTGCTCTGTTGCTCAAGATGGAGTGCAGTGGTATGACCACAGCACCACAGCATACTGCAGCCTTGACCTCCTGAGCTCAAGTGATCCTCCTGCTTCAGCCTCCTGAGTAGCTGGGACTACAGACATGTGGCACCATGCCTGGCTAATTTTTTTATTTTTTGTAGAGACGGGGGGTCTCACTATGTTGCCCAGGCTCATCTTGAACTCCTGGGCTCAAGTGATCCTCCCACCTTGGCCTCCCAAAGTGTTGGGATGACAGGTGTGGGCCACCGTGCCTGGCCAACATTAAATTTTTAGTATTAAATTTTTCTTGTAAACATAGAAAAGATAGACACCTTAAAACTAAAATGGGTCAAAGTCATAAAAGGAGCAATCCACAAAAGAAAAATTTTATTTCTATTTATTAATAAAGAAATGTCAGTTTTAACATAGATGCATTTTTCATCTTCATTTGAAAAATGAAAACATAGTGTTGATGATGGTGTAAATGGGCATTCTTGTATATGGCCAGGAGAATTGCAAGTAGGTATAGTTTCTGGTGGGCAATTTGTCAGTGTGAATTAGAGTATCAAACATTTGTGGATTTCTAACAAATCCACAAGGATGATTTTATCATAAGGAAATAATGAAGGCTATGTACTAGACTTGGCTATAAATTTATATGCTGCAGTATTTTAAAGACAAAATTGGAAACAATTTAAATGTCTAAGAGAAGGAAATTGGTTAAGTAAATCATGATATAGACAAGCTGTGGAATATGACAAAAACAGGTCCCAATTGTAGGAGAGGTGAAAAGTAATCTTTTTCCTCTTCTTGTCTTAGGTTCTCTGGCTGGAGCCCTGTAAACCAGACTGGGAAAAGACAGGTTAAGAAGGGAAAGGCACATTGAAGTTGATTAAGATGTGTATCCCTCATAAACATGGGAGCACCCAGTGGTGAGTAACCCAAAGGGATGTTAGAACTTGGACTTATAGAGTATATTAGACTAAACAAAGAAAAAGCGATTTGGGGCTTCTAGGTTGGGGAGGCAAGTTACCCAATGACCAGGAAAAGTGTGCCAAACAACAAGATGTGTTTAGTAAGGTTTGTTATGCAGATTGAAGCCAATGCCTTCTCCATTGATAAGAGTTGTTAAGAGTCCTCCTCTTCCTGATACAGGAGAGGGAGATACCTTTTACAAACGGCTATTTTCTTCAGAAATTGTAAATTTTCTTTACAAAAGAAAAATATTGTGCCATGTTTTTAAAGCTTTTACTGCCTCTGCTGGTTCATGATGGCCTTTTGCTCAAAAAAAAACCATATGTTAAAAAGGCATGTTTTAGGGTGGCACTGAAGTAGGAGGTGGAACTTGACTCTGGAGGTGGGGCTTGGACACTGGACCAAATTGAGGACTAGCTAAAACAGAGATAGGTGGAAGCAGCTTTCCATAAAACATGCTCACCAGTGTGCCATGTCAGTTTACTGTTGCCATGGCAATAACCAACTTCTACCACCTTTTTCCATGGCAATGACCTGGCGACCCAGAAGTTACCACCCTTTTCCTAGAAATTTCTGCATAATCTGCCCTTTAATTTGCATATAATTAAAATGGGTATAAATAGGACTGCAGAACTGCCTTTAAGCTGATACTCTGGGCACACTGCCTGTGGTGTATACTTGCTCTGCAAGGAGCAGTACCTCTGCTGCTGCTTCAATAAAAGTTGCTGTCAAACACCACCAGCTCGCCCTTGATTCTTTCCTGAGTGAAGCCAAGAATACTCCAGGCTAAGCCCCAATGGGGCTTACCTGTCCTACATCAGCATCTTCTGGTACCCTTCACAGTCAACAATATAGTCCCATTTTATTTCTCAAAAAGCGTGTGTTGGGTGCATCTCTTGCAGAATGTCCCCAGGGTGTTGGTCCCTGTGTGGTGGGATAATAGCTACTATTCTGCCCTCCTTGCTTGCTGTTGCTATTCTAATATATCTAAATTGAACACGTATTGTCCTTCAATTGAATTATGTTTAATTCTAAGTGGACCTGTCACTTCGGTAAATGTTCTGAGTGCTGAGGCAGGTGCAGTCCCTGCCTCTGAGTGTTTGCATTTCAGGGGACCATCTACTCGGTTGCTCATTCCAGCTCCTCCCTTGCCACTCTTGCTGCACTGTACAGGTTAGCTCTTGCTCTGTCTTCATTGATTCTTTTTCTTACCTAAACTCACACTCCTGGGGAAGTAGGCTACAGGGAAGAGAATAAGAAGCAGAGAAGGAAGAAAATATTCTTGGAGGTCTTACTTTAGGTTGACCTCTTATTCCCTGATTAGTAAAATATTGATGGTCTTGACTTCTACCTCCCTTTCCCTTTGTCAAAGGAGAGCCTTAACAAGGCTCAGGTCAAGTCAGGACTGTTAGAAATAAGTGCTCAGTGCCACAAGGAAAAACCAGCACTTAGACAGAAAATTTCTCAGCAAGGCACATTTACTTCTGCAGATGGGTGCTGCCTGTGTCCCTCTGATTGTACGAGCACACTAAGCGGGGTAGCACAGGGGTTTTTATCCCTAATGCAGTTCCTGTTTCTGTGTCCTTTCCCCACTGGCTGGAGTCAGACCGCACAGTCTAAGCTGACTCAATTGGCTAGTGTTTGAAATTGAATAAGGCCAATTAGGCAGGAAGGGAGAGGCTGTCCATTACCAACTAGGTGAAAAGAGTTGTTTAAAGAGTAAGAGGTTTGCCAGTTACAGATTAAGCAGAGAAACAAGTGCTCGTTACAGATTAAGCAGAGTACGAAGTGCTCATTACAGATTAAGAAAGACCAAGGAAGCTTAGAAGAGGAACTTATTATTTTTGGCAAATTTCCCCCTCTTGACTTTATAGTTCTCCCTCTTCACATTTCCTTAACATATCCTGACTTTGTTGCTCCTCTTAGTCATTTAGGAGTAGGAACTTATCTGAGTAGGGTGGGGGAGAATCGAGGGGTTTTCATGAGGGCTTTTTCTATAAGCCTTTGCACTAATCAACAAATACAAGGTATGATGCAGCAACCTACAAGAGTGAGTACACCTATAACAATTGCAAGAGGGGTAAAGATTGAGGTTATGAGTCTCTTCCATTTTCCAAACCATTTTCCCATGAGACCAGAGAAGGGGTCATCTATTCCAGAATTTAGCTAATTCATTTGTTAGGGTGGTAAGGCCCTGTAAGGCTTTTGTAATTGTTCCATCAGGGGCTGTGTTGTTAGGGATAAAAGTATAGCATTGGACCCCAATCATGACACAGACCCCACCTTTCTCAGTCAATATCATGTCCAGGGCTATTCTATTTTCCCGGACCATTTGGGTGGTAGGGCCTAATTGTTCAGCTATTCCTTTAATGGTATCCCTAGCATAATTGACAAACTGCTGTTGATTATAGTAAATGTAATTTATCCAGTCTACATTTTTGTTTACATTTACCCATGAGAACAATATAGATTCAAATCCTGCAGCTATTTGATTTCAAGTTTTAAATTCATTTGGCACTCTTGTGGAACTCTGATGGCATCTATATAAATGTGAGAGTCAAAGGACCCGTGGGGGGATGGTACTTCTTTTTTGCAATTGTCTTTTTTGCTTTGTTGATGAAATGTCAGGATAAAAGGGATGGCCAATTGAATTAGGGTGCAAGTGCCGATCCAGTCACTTGGCAGAGTACCTAGTAGTGGTCCACTGCAGTACTACCATACATCTGCTCTGGGATGAACAAGGGCAGAGTGATTGGTTAGCTCCTGAAAAGGCTTAGGCTTACTGCATCCCGCTAAATTCGGCATGCTTTATTGCCCCAGGCTGTGGGGTTTTGGAAGAGAGCTACCATACAGCTCATACCCTGTTGGTTGGAGGATCATCCAAGTGGAAAGGGGATAATTTGGGTCCCTGGCCTTCCCGTTGCACAAGTGTAACAATCGCTTTTGTTTAGTGTGTGAATGGAATATCTAATCAATTCTAGCCAGGCATTTGCATCTTGGTACTCCATTTCAATAGCTAGGATTTGTTTTAAATCTTTAACTTCTACAATGGCTACTTTGGTGTTGCTATTGGGTAGGGAGAGACTGGTAGTTTGATTAGAAGGTTTAGGAGAGGGAGGAGGGGATGAGGGGGTGACGAAACGCATTTCAAAAAATCCTATAGAGTCTGCCCCTGCGACCTCTGCTCCTATACCATAGAAATGACTTAATGAAGGGGAGGAATTTTGGGAAGTTGTGATAGTAATGGAAATTTGTACTGGATTACATTGGTTTTGCTGGCAGTTGGTGGGGGCTTCATTTGGTGAAAGGAATGTATGGTTTTTGGACACACAGAGAGTTGTTGGGGAGGTCCAACCATGATTTTTGGTAGTCCATAGAATTTTGGACAAGCTACGGCAGAGAAACTCTGTTTTCGGAGTACAAGATTCCCAGTTAACAGAGTTTTCTTTATAATATCCCAAGTCTAAGGGAACTGCCCAGTTAATTGAATCTGCCCAATCTGATAATTTCCAAGAATGGCAAAGATACTTTTCTGAAGTAGAGAACTGCCTTTGACTTTGCAAGTCTCCACAAGGTATAACAAGACAAGCATCAAAAGTAATGATTTGGGGTGACTTTGACCTGGTTACATTAATAATGAGATGTGGGGTAGCTAAGGGAAAGAGAAGAGGAAAAAGGGACAGTCAGATTAGGCTTTTTTCTTTAACATTACTCTGGTGGGGGTTGGTCCTGGGGTGACGGTCCATGACTTTTTTTTCTTCTAAGATTTTTGCTTTAAATCCTTCTTCTTTCACTCCTGAGATCAGGAGTTCTTCTTGTGAACAAAGTACACCAGATGGAGGATAACAAAGAGAGGAGTGAGCTGCCCCTGAGTCGATTAAAAAGGCAATGAGCTCGGGTTTGGGTCCCACCTCTAAATTTATCAATGGCTCTTGGTGGAACTCGAGATAAAAGAAACAGAGCCCCTGACCCCCCTATTCTTCCTCGAAGGCCATAGGTGGGATGACTTCCTTTTCTTTTTCCCATTCAGGACATTCCATTTCGAAGTGACCTATTCTTCCACATTTGAAACATTTGTTCTGCTCTCTTTCTCTCCTTATTTTTAAATTCCCTTGCTTTGCTTTTTCATACCCTTTATATGCCTAGCGAGTGGGGGCTTAAGTTGTTTACAGGTTTTGGCCCCTTGGGTACTTTGTTGTAGAGTGGAGAGCTGATTTTTGCCTTTTGCTTTTGCTTTTCTTCATCCGTTCTTACATATGTTTTTTTGGGCCTCCCTCAAAAGTTCCTCTATAGGCCGATCTTTCCAGTTCTCTATTTTTTTTGTAATTTCTTTGTGATACCTGGCCAACTATTAGTGACAAAATGGAGCTTTAACATCACCTGCCCAAGGGGATCCTCTATGTCTAAGCCTGCATATTTTCTCATCTGTTCCTTTAGTCTGTTTAAAAACTCCATGGGCCCTTCATCTTTCCCCTGCTGTATATTAAATGCTAGTGAAATATTTGGGGTTTGAGGCATTGATTCCCAAATCCCTTTAACTATCATCTCCCTAAGGTCTTCCATGTTTTTTCGGTGGGTTGCATTATCATTATCCCATTGGGGGTCTTGGGCTGGAAATTTTTGTTCTACTGCAGGGATATTTTGACTGGGAGGATGTGCATGCTCCCAGACTATCATAGCAGCCCTGTGGATCATGTTTATTCCCCTCCACCACCCAAAAAAGAGAATACTTAAGATGGACATTAGCCCAAGTATATACTTGTGGTCCTAAAAATTGGTCAATTTGATCCACAACCCCAAAAGGATCATCTAATGGTGATTTAAGTTCCCTCTTCAGGTTTCTGACCTCTGAACTAGTTAAGGGGGCATTTTCAGAGCCAATTCCCCTCCTCCAAGTGGTACTTCTCTTAAGGGAAAAAGGGTTGGGGCAGACTCCTTTGAGGAGGAGGGGAAAGGGAAGTTTCGAATATCCTTTTTACATTGTTCTATTTCACATTGAAGCTTTCCTAGGACAGGGCATTCAGACTGGGAATGGCCCCAAGAGTCAGGATTATAAGGGGAGGGAACAACGTGAGCAGGGGAAGGGTTTGGGGTGGTTACATCTGCTTGAGGAGGAGGCAAAGTTGGTGGTGTTTAGCAGAGGAAGGTGGTCTAAAGGATCCCATGTGTTAATGGACTGTTTGGGGTAGGGGTCTCAATTTCTTTAGGGGAGGTAGTTTCTGGCTTATTTCCTGTAGCTTTTAGAGGGTAGAAGAGGACAGGCCCCTGCCCCCAGCACAGGGCATAGTCTATTTCCTCTTGGGAGACAGGACTTTTATCATTGACATATTCTATTAAAAGTTGACAAATCCAATCCTCATTTGACCCAAACCTTGGTGAGAAAACTGAAGATTTGAGAATAGGTTTTTTTGGTCCAAATAAAGCAACAATATTTGGTCCAAATAAATCAACAATATTTATCATTTTCTGCTTCTTCTTATGTTTGGTCCTTTCATTATCCCTCCAATATTTTAACATGAGACCTAGAGGGCTATCAGAGGGAATTTTATTGTCTGTCTTGTCCTTTATATTCCCTGTCCTGCTTAGGGTATTTCCCATCCTGGAAGTTGTAGGCATTTCCCTGAGTTTCCTGACTGTGTGTGGCTCATTCTCTCTTACTAGAGATTTCTTGCACTCTTTCTCTGGAGGCTCAGCAACCCCCTCCCCCCCAACCACTGGAAGTTTCTTGAACTCCTTTGCTTTCCCTTTGTCCTTCTTTGGCTGTTTCTCTCCTGGGAATTTAGGTCCTTCTTAGCATTGATGGGTCGGTATAAACCCCTGACAGGAAAGCCACCTTAAGCCATGTGACGTGACCACAGAACAGCAAATCCAGACTCCACACTCGCTTTGCACTTAATTGTGCATCTTATTCACACACTTTCAACCTCCAGGACATCCCAACCACCAAGGAAGTACTTCACCACCCCCGCAGCTTTTCTTACCTTGGTCTATGCACAGAATTACCTGGTCACTGCAGTATCTGTAGGCCTTTTCCTCCCATGTTGCTGAGAGTCTGGGTTTATTCGTCACGCCAGGTGGGTCTCGATCCCTCACTCCTGAGGCAGCTGCAATGAGGCAGTGGGATGCGTCTCCTCACAAGAGATGATCGGAGACCCTTCCCCTGAGGAGAATGGGATCCTAGATGAGCCCCCAAGTTGTTAGAAGCAAGTGCTCAGTGCCACAAGGAAAAACCAGCACTTAGATAGAAAATTTCTCAGCAAGGCACATTTACTTTGCAGAAGGGTGCTGCCTGCATCCCTCCAATCACAAGAGCACACCAAGTCAGCTAGGGCAGGGATTTTTATCCCTAAAACAGTTCCTGTTTCTGTGTCCTTTCCCCATTGGCTGGAGTTGGGCACAGTCTAAGCTGACCTGATTGGCTAGTGTTTGAAATTGAATAAGGTCAGTTAGGCAGGAAGGGAGAGGCTGTCCATTACCAACTAGGTGGGAAGGGTTGTTTACAGAATAAGACATTTGCTCTTTACAGATTAAGCAGAGAAACAAGTGCTCATTACTGATTAAGAAAGACCATGGAAGCTTTGAAGAGGAACTTGTTATTTCTGGCAGGACTATGGTCAAAATTGCCATTTCTGTATTTCACACTTACCTGAATTTTTTGAACTGTGAGATTTTGGAAGAGAAAGAAATTCCAAATAGGATTACATCCCCTCACATTTCAGTGGAGGACTCTAAGCCCTGAGAGGTTCTGGGTTGTGCCTGTCCCCTTCCTCCACACTTTCATCACCTAATCCCTAGCCCTTTGGACCTGTGCTCCAAACTCGGAGACACTGCTTGCTTCTTCCTGAGACCTCACTGTCACTTTTTGCCTTGCACACCTCACTTGTCCTTAGTTGCAGTAATCCCTGCGTCCCACCTCACCTTCCTGCCTAACTTCCATCTCCTCTCTTTGGTGCCTCCACTTGCACCCTCATTACACCTTCCCACAGACTCAGGGTAGAAACACAAAAAAGGAGTAAAGTGTCTAGCATTTTTTTTTTTTTTGAGATGGAGTCTTGCTCTGTTGCACAGGCTGGAGTTCAGTGGCACAATCTCAGCTCACTGCAACCTCCCTCTCCTGGGTTCAAGCGATTCTCCTGCCTCAGCCTCCTGAGTGGCTGGGACTACAGGTGCACACCACCACACCCAGCTAATTTTTGTATTTTTAGTGGAGATGGGGGTTTCACCATATTGGCCAGGCTGGTCTTGAACTACTGACCTCATGATCCACCAGCCTCAGCCTTCCAAAGTGCTGGGATTACAGGCATGAGCCACCATGCCCAGCTGCATTTTTACCAAAAACTGACATTTGAGTGCCTCCCATCCCGTCCTGGCCCCAGGCACCTGCTCAGACCATGATGAGCTTTGGTGGCTCTGAGGCACTGCTGGGTGCTGAACGGCAGCAGCAGCCTCCACTACACGCTGACCCTAAAGGGCAGCACAAGCAGAAGGCGCTCGGCTGCTGGATCCTCCAGCGGGTTCCACTCATGGACACGGATGTCCATGAGCTCCATGTCAGCCTCGCCCAGCCACTTCGGGGGCGCCTGCCGCCTTGAGCACTGACTGGCTGGACACGCTGACCAATGGGATGGGAGGGCTGAGTGGTGGCGGCAGCCACAGCGCACAGTGAGAAGGAGCAGCTGCAGGTGCTGAAGGACTGCTTCACAGGCTAGAGCGACAAGGTGCGGCAACTAGACGTGCACAACTGCAGCCTGGAGGGTGAGGCGGTGGTGCTGCGATAGCAGCAGGCAGGCTGCACCACCGTGGGTGAGCTGTATGAACTCGAGGTCTGCGGGATGCGCCCCACGGTGCTGTGCCTGGGCATGGTGCGCAGTCTGCTGCGCCTGGAGCAGGAGCACCTGCTCCAGGACTTCCACATGTGCACCGGTGCCTCCATGATGAGGCCCAGCAGCACAAAGAGGTCAAGGCTTGTGCTGTTGGCGGCTTCTTGCAGGAGGCCGAGGCGGCGGGCGTGGAACTGCAGAAGAAGGCGCAGGCACTGCAAGAGGAGTGTAGCTACCTGTGGCACCGCCAGCAGGAGCAGGTGGGCGAGCTGCTCGGCCAGATGCAGGGCTGCGGCGCCTCGCAGGCGCAGGCGCAGGTGCAGGCCGCGGAGGGGACGCCCTCAAGTGTGACGTGATGTCACGGCGTCTGCACTGCATGAGATCTGCGGCAGCTTGAAGGCCATGCGGTGCAGAGCACGCTGCAGTTTGAGGAGTGGTTCCAAGTGAGGATGGACCGACTGTCTGAGGCAGCCAAGGTGAACACAGACTCCATGTGCTGAGTGCAGGAGGAGATAACTGAGTATCAGCGTCAGCTTCCGGCCGAGACCACAGAGCTGGAGGCACTGAAGAGCACCATCGACTCACTGGACAGGCAGTGTTCTGAGCTGGAGGACCGTCATCAGGCCGACATTGCCTCCTACCAGGAAGCCACTCAGCAGCTGGACGCTGGAACACCAAGTGAGAAATGGCGGCCCAGCTGCGAGAGTACTACCAGGACCTGCTCAATGTCAAGATGGCTCTGGATATAGAGATAGCCCCTTACAGAAAACTCCTGGAAGGTGAGGAATGTCAGACTGGCTTTGGCCCAATTCCTTTCTCACTTCCAGAAGGACTCCTCCAAATGCCCTCCATGTCCACTCACATAAAGGTCTAAAGCAAAGAGAAGATCAAAGTGGTAGAGAAGTCTGAGAAAGAAACTGTGATTGTGGAGGAACAGACAGAGGAGACCCAAGTGACTGAAAAAGTGACTGAAGAAGAGGAGAAAGAGGCCAAAGAGGAGGAGGTCAAGGAGGAAGAAGGGGGTGAAGAAGAGGAGGCAAAAGGGGGAGAAGAAGAAGCAAAGTCTCCCCTAGCAGAAGAGGCCACATCCCCAGAGAAGGAAGCCAAGTCCCCAGTGAAGGAAGAGGCAAAGTCACCGGCTGAGGCCAAGTCCCCAGAGAAGGAGGAAGCAAAATCCCCAGCTGAGGTGAAGTCTTCTGGGAAGGCCAAGTCCCCAACAAAGGAAGAGGCAAAGTCACTGGCTAAGGCCAAGTCCCCACAGAAAGAGGAAGCAAAATCTCCAGCTGAGATCAAGTCCCCCCGGGAAGGCCAAGTCCCCAGCAAAGGAAGAGGCAAAGTCACTGGCTGAGGCCAAGTCTCCAAAGAAGGCCAAGTCCCCAGTGAAGGAAGAAGCAAAGTCCCCTGAGAAGGCCAAGACTCTTGATGTGAAGTCTCCAGAAGCCAACACTCCAGCAAAGGAGGAAGCAAGGCCCTCTGCAGATAAATCCCCCAAAAAGGCCAAAAGCCCTGTCAAAGAGGAGGTCAAGTTCCCAGAGAAGGTGAAGTCTCCCCTGAAAGAGGATGCCAAGGCCCCCGAGAAGGAGATCCCAAAGAAGGAAGAGGTGAAGTCCCCAGTGAAGGAGGAGGAGAAGCCCCAGGACGTAAAAGTCAAAGAGCCTGCAAAGAAGGCAGAGGAAGAGAAAGCTACCGCCACGCCAAAAACAGAGAAGGAGAGCAAGAAAGAGGAGTCATCCAACAAGGAGGCTCCAAAGCCCGAGGTGGAGGAGAAGGAAGCTGCCATCGAAAAGCCCAAAGAATCCAAAGTTGAAGCCAAGAAGGAAGAGGCTGAAGATAAGAAAAAAGCAGCCACCTTAGAGAAGGAGGCTCCTGCCAAGGTGGAGGTGAAGGAAGACGCTAAACCCAAAGAGAAGACAGAGATGGCCAAGAAGGAACCAGATGATGCCAAGGCCAAGGAACCCAGAAAACCAGCAGAGAGGGAGGAGGCGGCAGCAGCAATGGAGAAAAAAGATACCAAGGAGGAGAAGGCCACTGAGTTCAAGAAGCCTGAGGAGAAACCCAAGACCCAAAGCCAAAGACGACCCTCTCAAAGGAGCTCAGTGAACCTAAGGCGGAAAAGGCTGAAAAATCCTCCAGCACAGACCAAAAAGACAGCAGGCCTCCAGAGAAGGCCACAGAAGACAAGGCTGCCAAGGGGAAGTAAGGCAGGGAGAAAGGAATGTCTGGAGCAGCCAAAGAAACTCAAAAGGGTCCTGGAGCTCAAGGATCAGAGTAATGCAATTTTTACTTTTTATGTAAGAAGAAACTGCTTAGATGACAGGGCCTCCCTCTTCAAACAGGAACTTCATTAGCAATATGTTAGCAAAAGAGGGCAATCCCAGCCTCCTGCCCCCACACCCTCCCGAGGCGATGGACAATTATGTTATGATAGCTTATGTAGCCGAATGTGATACATGCCAAATGCCATACGTAAATACTTGACTATAAAAACTGCCCCCCTCCTTTCCAAATAAGTGCATTTATTGCCTCTATGTGCAACTGACAGATGACCACAAGCAGTTAGAAACACATTATGCTTGAGATGTCTTAACCTGTTCCCAAATGCCTTCTGTTTTCCAAAGGAGTGGTCAAGCCCTTGCCCAGAGACCTCTATTCTGGAAGAGTGGTCCAGGTGGGGCCGGGCACTGGGCACTGAATTATGCCAGGGCGCACTTTCCACCTGTGTCCAGTTTCAATTGCTTCTGTGCAATAAAACAAAGTGCTTATAAAACGACAAAAAGAAAAAAAACTGATATTTGCCAGGGCTTCAGTGATGATCAGAAAGGCCACACTGTGTGTCTGTGGCCAGGTCCTATTGATGTTTATCTTGGTTGTATCTAGATGATCACAGCAGAATTTCAGTATCAGTATCAGCAGCAAAATCAGATTCCACAAACATTGTCACTGCCAGGCAAAGAGGTGAGTGTTCTCACAAAAGCAGCCTAATGTTATCGGCCACCAATGCATGCACCATGGCAGCAGATGTACTCTTTTCCAGCCAAAAAGTCTGTCTCTGAGAGCTTGTTCCTTTGTCAGGTGTTATCTCCTCCAAGGCAAAAACTGAGTTTTCTTTTCCTCTTGGGCTTCCCACCCACAAAGCAGAGAGGACAGAATCGGCCCACAGTGCCAGTTCCTGTGTGAAGCCTGGGTTCCGGATATGAAAGTCACTGACCTTGGAATTCCCCCAAGCGTTAAACACCTCTGAGAGAAGGGGTACATGCTTGTTGCTAGCTGTATAATCATGTGCTTTAAGGGAAAAGAGCTTTGAGCCACCACATGCTAGAAACACGAATTTAGGCATGTCATTTCATGTCTTTGCGTCTCGGTTTCCACATTTGTAAAAGAAGACAAATGCTTTGTTCTCAAGCCTATTGTGAGGTCAAATGAAGTGACGTGTGTCCAGGGTCTAGCACGATGCCTGGCCCTAGGAGATGCTCAACAAATGTCAGCTTTCTTCCCAGATTGCCTCTATGTTCCTGATAATGAGGCCAACTTAAGAGAATAAAAGAGACAAAATAGAGAAGTTTCACCTTCGGAAGTAAGTCAGGAGAACTCAAGCTCAGGGCTTGAAGACTTCGTAGCAGAGAAGTCGTGAACTGTAGATTGAGAAGAACTAGGAAACTTTATATGATTCCTTAGGTATGCGTTACTTTTCTCTGCTTTTTATTTTTGTTTTTGTTACCCTCCTCTTCCTAGTTATTTCTCAGGATTGCCTAAGTATAAAGCCAGCAGGGCCTGTGAGATTGTGATCTAAGAAGCTGTGATGTAGGGAGCAGGGGGAGACAGAGCCCTTTCTCAGCTGTTGGGCTTGGGATATGAGCCCCAGAACACTAAGGAGGTGGCGCCTGCTGCCCAGAGTAGAGGAAGATAGACTGAGGCCCTAGCTCTGAACAGAAAGGGTGGGAGACATCGGCTCGCCTAGGCCAGGAGAGCGGCCACCATGGCTAAGTAGTAGGAAGTCTATGCAGCTCTCCAGCAAACTGCAAGAGCCCAAAAAGTGCTGGTTGTATGAATAACTGAACAAGCAAGGTGAAAGAAGTGATGATGTAATGGAATTCAAGCTAAAAAAAGAAACCCAGGCTTAAAATGCAAATTCTAACTTTTTCCTATTTAGTATCTGTGTGATCTTCAAAGTAACCTCTTTGGGCCTCAGTTTTGTCATGTCTGAAATGGTGAGGTGCAGCCAGGTGCCGTGGCTCACGCCTGTAATCCCAACACTTTGGGAGGTCAAGGCAAGTGGATCGCTTGAGGCCAGAGTTCAAGACCAGCCTGGGCAACATAGTGAGACCCTGTCTCTATAAAAATGAAAATTTAAAAAAAAAAATGATGATCTGTGGGAAGGAGTTACAATCTGGCCTGCTCACTTATACTCAAAAGTTTGTGGTGAAGACTAGATGAGGTCACCAAGAAAACACCTACACCGAATGCCGGAAATTTCAGGACAGCATCGTGATGGTGAGGGTGGCCGTAAAAAACATCTGGGGAAAATCACTCAAGGGAAGACTTCTGGGGTTTGGTTCAGCCCTGGCCAGATCCCACTCCAGGAGAGAGGGCAATCTCTTCAGTCAGATGAGCTGATCATCTCAGGGCAACCCAGCGAATGTATCCCTTTCTGGCAGTTTCCAGGGTAGCTTTTTTCAAAGGACCGTGGGCCAAAGTCCCTGCCTGCTGCTGCCACCCTCTGGCAGCAACCTGAGCCACACTCTTGTCAATTTCACTGGTTAGAACATCTTTTACACATTCGTTTACATTTGCATAGTGTTTTCCAGTTTACACTTCTTCCCCCCTCAAGAATGATATTCTTTTATCCAAACAATATCCTTGTGGCATACACATTTTTGTAGTTGAAGAAACCAAGGCTTGGGAAAGGTAAATGGTTTGTCTAAGGAGACTTAGCAAGGAGATGAGACCAGGCTCTCTGATTCCAAGACCTGTGTTCTTTTCACTGTCATAGGGGCATGTCAGTTAGTTCTACTTCTGTTGTTGCACTTCTCAAACTCTGACAGAATCGGATATGAACATGGAGTTCTCCAGACCTCCTCTCTCACCCCATCCCTCCAACACATCCCCAAATTCTCCAGACCCCATCTGTATCTGCAGCTGCCTATGAGTGAAGGGAGGTAAGGACTACAGATATGAACAAGGCAGAGCAGCACCTGCTCTTCTCTGGGATTCAGACAGATGAAGGAGATGAGACAGATACCCAGGGACCTCAGGACCTGGGAGAAATGCACATGGAATTCACCAGAGGCCAAAGGGACTCCAGCTAGGTGGTACCTGAGCTGGTCCTGAAGAGACAAACAGGTTGTAAGTTCACAAAGAGGTAGATGCAGGACCTTCCAGGCAGAGGAAATGGCAGAAGCCAGGCTTCAGTGCACTGAACCGGGGAATACCTGCTCCGGTTGAGCAGAGGAGGGAGGCAGGTGGTGAAGCTGGAGAGGGAAGTTGGAGGAGATCTCGGCAGGATGGAATTCATACTGTTTTCTAAAGGCAACAATAAACCAGCCATCCTGCATGTCTCCCATTTATTCACTTAACAAATATTTATTGTGATAGGCATATACTCTGTTTGTTTCTCGGGATAAAAGCAAAAGCATAACTTTGTTACAGAGTATTCATTTATTTCTGCAATGGATATTGACTGCCTGCTTTCCTTGTGCCAGGTATTCTTCTAGGCCCTGGGGGATGTATTTCTGTGCATACTGAACATACACTCTAGTGGGAAAGGCATAATAAACAACAAAAATGAGTAAAATAGAAGTATTTAGATAGTGACAAGTATTCAAGAGAAAAATAAAGTAGAAAAAGAGTCATGCAAATTGGAGACATGGGTGGGGATTTGCCCTTTTGGAGAGCATGGCCACAAAGGACTGATGGAGGAGGTGGCTCTGAGTAAAGGCCTAAAGCAGCGGTTTCCAACCTTCTTGGCACTAGGGGCCAGTTTCATGGAAGACAATTTTTCCATGGACCGGGGCACTGGGGTAGAATGGCTTCAGGATGAAACTGTTCCACCTCCCATCATCAGGCATTAAACTCTCATAAGGAGCGCAACCTAGATTCTTCAAACTCACAATTTACAATAGGGCTCGCGCTCCTAGGAGAATCTAATGCTGTGGCCCAGTTCCTAACAGGCCATGGACCGGTACCAGTCTGCAGCCAGGGCTTGGGAACTCCCGGCCTAAAGGAATTGTGAATTGAGGGAGACAGCCAGGCAAATATACAAGGAGGGACAGTTCAGGCAGGGGGAACTGCAGGAACAAAGGCCCTGAGATGGGACCATATCTGGTGTGTGGGGGGCCAAAGGAGGAGACCAGCATTGCTGGGGAGTGAGTGAGGGAAGGTGGAAGGAGAGGAGGCCGGAGAGGCCCAGGAGGGACAGGGAGGTCGAGTAGGAGGTCCCAGCAGGCCTTGTTCAGAGTGGCAGCGAGTCAGTGCTGACTGCTGTAGAGTCTGGTTCTTTCTGCAGGGTTTTAACAATGGACAAGGAGTTTTTTCTGCAGTCTGGCCCTATAGATTTGATGAGGTGTGGGTGGTCCAGCCAGGAGGCCTGGAAGGTCTAGTTCTTGGAATGTACCCAGGGCCCTTTTAACGCTCAGCATTCACCTGGCTGTGTGCTGTGATTCCTCCTGCTGCAACCATCCCACACACACTCAGGGGCATGAAACGGCTGTCTTGTTACATTCACAGAACCTGTGGGCCCGGCTCTTCACTGCTCTACTGTTTCTGGAGCGATGCGGGGAAGACTTTAATGGCCCGGGTGATGCAAATGGCTGAGCGCTGGGTGGGCTGGCGCTGGGAGTGGTGCCTCCAAGAGAGTGGCCTCACTTGCATGCCTGGGGCCTGTGCCTGGAGGCTGGAGTACAGTCAACCAGAGCACCCCACAAGGCCTCTCCATGAGACTGGGCTCCTTACAATGTGGAAGCTTCCTGCTTAGGAGTATCCAGAAAAGGGGCCACAGCGAGCATCCCAAAAGCTGCAGGTGGAGTGGGCCTGGCCCCTTCTGACCCCGCCTTGGGAGGCCATAGCGTCCTCCCACAGCACTCGCTTGGTCAGAGAGGTCACAGAGCCCAGATTTTAGCAGAGGAGACGTTGACCCCACCTCTTTTTTTTTTTTTTTTTTTGAGATGGAGTCTCCCTCTGTCACCCAGGCTGGAGTGCAGTGGCTCAATCTCGGCTCACTGCAAGCTCTGCCTCCTGGGTTCAGGCCATTCTCCTGCCTCAGCCTCCTGAGTAGCTGGGACTACAGGCGCCCACCACCACGCCTGGCTATTTTTTGTATTTTTAGTAGAGACAGGGTTTCACTGTGTTAGCCAGGATGGTCTTGATCTCCTGACCTCGTGATCCGCCCGTCTCGGCCTCCCAGCGTGCTGGGATTACAGGAGTGAGCCACCATGCCCGGCCAACCCCACCTCTTGATGGGAGTGTGTAAAGGAATTGGTAGCCTCTTAAAAACACCACTACAAGCCGAGTTCACACCTGTAATCCTAACCCTTTGGGAGGCCAAGTTGCAAGGATCACTTGGGCCCAGGAGTTTGAAACCAGCTGGGGCAACAAAGCAAGATCCCATCTCTACAAAAATAAATAAATAAATAAATAAAAATAAATAAAATAGGAAGAAGACTCAAGCAACCTCTAATGCTGTGCCCACATGAAGAGGCATACTACCTGGATGTCTCTGGGCCTCAGATAAAAAAACAAGCTCTGCAGAAGGTTCCTAGAAAGGGGGCTATATCCTTGCCCCCCTTCCACAGTATGCTATGTCTGTAAACATGTAACTAATCCCCCATGGGGGACAGGGCAGTGTTGTGTGCCACACTTGTGCCAAATATGTATTAATAAACTCTGGACCATATTGGCAGCTTTGTGGTTTTCCATAGTCTTTTGCAGCCTGCAAAACATTTTCCGATTAGAAGCCCCCGCTGTTTTATCTATTACATGTGACACTGAATAAGCCTCTGCATATCCACTGGGGGTTGGTAAGTAACATCAGAGCGTGCAGCGAGGGGAAAGGAATTAAAAAGGGAGCTAATGTCATCCGTGGGGAATAGCTGAGGAAGGAAAAAACCACTCTGGAAGAGAGGGGTTGCAGAAGGATTTTTTGCAATGTATTATGACCACTCAAGGCAGGCACACACATGTGTCTGTTGTCCCAGCCCCAACATGTAAAATGAAACTCCAAAGAATGTGATACCATGGGGTAGCTGGGAGGGTGGGGGCAAGGAGGGAGATTTTTATCTCACAAAGCAGATTTTATTTTCTGAGAGCCATATGCTTGATTTTCTTTTTCCCAAAAAGCCCACAGTCTCATGTGGAAAAGATTTAGAATTTTATTGGCTTTCAGGGAAGAGGGAATTAGAAATGTTAGATAAGTAGATATCACATGGGAACAGGATTTCATAGCACTCCCCCAGGCCTGTGGGTGAATGCCACACTATGAAGCTGCAGAACTATGGACAGAAATGCAAAACTGAGATGTGGCAAGAGCTGTGGGCTGGGGACAAGATGTGGGCTCCAGTCCCTGCTTTGCTGCTTAACTCCACCAAACCACTTCACTTTTCCTGAAATATGGGGGGAAGGCAATATTTGCCCTGTTGATATTGTAAAACCAATGTAAGTATGTAAGAGGGCCCTGAATGTGGTGTCTTGGCATTCAAAAGGGACAGTCACATGTCAGGTATTGTTATCTATGAGGATGTAACCTACAACCCAACCTAAGCTAAGGTACTCATTGGTCCACTTTTTAAGCAAACATATTAATTAAATGTTGTGTGAGAATACTTTGTAAGTGGCAGAAACTCAACTGAAAATACTTCATGCAAAAATAGGAAAATGATTAGCTCATGTGTTAATTCATCCAATCAGTAAGTTGACAGCACTCTGCTGAGTACCTCACTTGCCAGCTGCTGTTCTAGGAGCTGGATATATAGCAGCAAACTAAGCAGCCCAAGGTTCTCATAGGGTGCATGTTCTAAAGGGTAGATACAGATAACAACAACCACATATACACTGAGAAATAAAAATGAAATCCCGAGTCCCCCAACCAACTGAATGGTCCCCCGCCTGGCCAAAGAGTCCTCAAAGAAACCTTAAAAACTGACTTCCCAGCCATGACAGAGTGGGAAGTCGGACACATCTCCTTACACTCCCTTCTGCTAACTACTATTAGGGTTTTTTCCCTAAGGGTTAAACAGAAACCAGCCCTGTTTCAGTACAACAACTGATCAGAGTCCCTTCCTCATTAGACACCACTGACCATGGGGTGGTTTGGGCCAGTCTACAGAGGCTGCACACAGAGGGCCTTTGTGTCCCCTGCTTCACCTTTTGACATATAGAGCCTAACTGTAATACATTTAAATGTTGAGTTTCCACCCTAGAGCGAACACGGGATGCGTGTTTTACACATTAGCCTGCTATGCATGCCCACAACTCCCCTTTGCTACTATTTATAGCTCTTCCTATAACCTGTTGATTATGTATATTTGACCACCCTCTTCAGCATAAATCCCTGTCTTAGTCTTCCCACCCTTAAGTCCTTGCTTCTGGCTTCTGGCCAGAGGCTACACTTCCAGCCTGTCAGAATGGTCACCTGCAGAGAAGTACAGCTCTCCTTTCCAAATTTATGAACCTTGTGATTCTTCAGTTGACAGTATATAATTTTTTCAGGTGGTTGTAAGTGCTACAAATAAGATAAAGCAAGGCAAGGGGATACAGAGTTATAAGAAAGTGCTATTTTAGGAAGGAGGGGTCAAGGATGGCCTAACTGAAAAGGTAGCAATAGAGCAGCACCCTGAAAGAAAGAGAGAACAAACCGTGCAGCTATCTGGTGGAAGAGCATTCCAGGGAGATAGATCAGCAAGTGCAAAGGCCCTGAAGTGGAAGCTAAAATGCTAGTGAGGATACAGTGGGCTGAGCGAGGGCTAGAGTGGTAAGAGAGGAGGACAGCGGGAGCAGCCAGGCCATGCAGGGCCTGAGAGTCATGGTGAGGATCTTGGAGTTGGATGGGGAGCTGTTAGAGGGTTCTGAGCAGAGCAGTAGTGTGATCCGACTTACGGTTTTAAAAGGATCTCCTGGGCCACTTGTGGAAGCAGTGAGACCAGTGTGAGGGCTACTGCAGTAGTCTGAGCAAGAGGACTAGGAAGGTAGCAGCAGACATAGAAGGAATTGGATTCTGAATATTCTCAAAGGCAGTGCTGGTGGGATCTGCTTATGGATTGGATGTAGAATGTGGGTGCATAACAAAGGTGTAGGAGTGGTTCAGGCACAGCTGGATCCATGCACTTGAATAATAAAATTGGGACTCTTCATCTTTCCATATCTCTTGTCTCTGCTTTCTTCTGCATTGGCTTCATTTTCAGGTAGCCTCTTCCCATACAGTGGGGAAGATGGCTTCCAGCACCTGGCTCAACTCTGGGAGTGTTCTCAGAAGAGCAAGGAAGTTTTTTGTTCCCAAAGACTTCAATAAATGTCCTCTCTAGCCTCATTGGCTTGAACTGGGTCATGTGCTCAGCCTGAACCAATGAGAATAACAGGGAGGTGGGGGAGTGGGGTGGAATTACACTGACTGGGTTAGGCATAAGCCACAGCCTTCATTCCTAGAGTTCTGGGTAGTTGGCATCCCTTAAGTAAATGAGGAGATGTGGTGATGGAAAGAAAGCCAAAGGTGGTTATTGAGAGAATGGGGCTGGGTGTAAGTTGGCCACCACAATGTCCAGTGCATCCAGAGAAAGTTTAATGAAGGGCATCTAGCGTGAATGAAAAGGAGGGTACTCATAAAAATGCAATTTGGTGACCTATTACCTGTGAAGGCTGAGGGAGAAAGGAGGCTGTAGATGGTTCCAGAATAATCTAGGCAATGATGTTAATAGAAATGGAGACTATAGGATCCAAAGTATGCGTGGGTTGCAAAGGAGTGAGATGACTTCAATTTTATGACATAAGAGAGACAGACACAGAAATGACGAACCACAAGTCAGGGCAGAGCAAAATAGGCATTAAATGAGAAGAATAAGCAAAACGCTCAGGGGAAACTATAGCTGTGGTGCCTGCAGGTCATAGATAGAGGGACGGACATTGCCTCTGGCTGTCAACAAATCAAAAGTGAAGTTTGAAGGTCTTGGACTAGGAGCACTTAATTATCCATGGCTCTCAACGCCTTGAGGTCCCTAGCATCTTTGCTGTTGTTTGCTTCACCTCCAGTCTGTGTACCAGAGCTGCTAACAGGGAGCCCATCTCACTGCATGGTTTCCCTTCTTCCTTCTTGCCCCAGGCACAGTCTTCTGTTCAAGCAGTGAAACAGCAAGGGAAAGAGTTACCTGCCGCTGAGGGGCAAAGAGCACTTTGTCTGGCTGCAGATGGAAGACTGGACAACCTGGGTGATTTGGTTTCAGGGGAGGAGCCTGTGGAAAGGAGGGGAAGCCCAGCCGAGGACTTTTTTTTTTTTTTTTTGAGACAGGGTCTCACTCTGTTGCCCAGGCTGGAGTGCAGTGGAGTGATCACAGTGCACTGCAGCCTCCACCTCCTGGGTTCAAGTGATTCTCCTGTCTCAGACTCCCGAGTTGCTGGGATTACAGGTGTGCGCCACCACGGCTGGCTAATTTTTGTATTTTTAGTAGAGACAGGGTTTCACCATGTTGGCCAGGGCTGGTCTCAAACTCTTGGCCTCAAGTGATCCGCCCACCTCAGCCTCCCAAAGTGCCGGGATTACAGGCATGAGCCACCGTGCCCGGCCCCAGCCCAGGACTCCTAAAGGAGAGGCAAAATCTAATCAGCACAACTTCTCCCAAAGACTGGTAGGAAATCTATGGAGAAAGAAATACTCTCCTGTCTGCTGAGAAAAAGGGAAAGAATTAAACGAGGATATGCTGCATCAGTTAAAGCTTCCCAGGAAAAGATAAGGGTGGCGAAAAATCAGAATTAGATCACGCCAGCCAAAGCAAATAAGGAGAATAAGATGTGCTTTTACAAATATCAGGAGGAAAGAAGATTATGGAGAGGAAATAAGACTTAATTAATGCAGAGGACCATGAAATTAATGATGACCACAAATGACTAAAATATCCAATTCATTTTTTGTTAGCCTTTAACTAGGAAAACAAAGGAAAGAAATTGAGCAATTAAAGAGTAAGGACCAAAAAAAAAAAGTAAGAACAACTTGAGAGAAGAGTTAAGTAGACGCTGGCAGGGAGGAGGTCTCTGCACCCTGTGGTCCTCAAACTCTGCAGGCAACTTCCTGGGACGCCATGGGCTCAGGGAACAGCCCAGCCCCTCATTGGCACTGGGCTGGTGGGCAGGATGCCTGAAATTCTGAGCGCAACCAATTGACAGAACTTCCCCACTTTCTGGGGAAAGACAGTGAGCGAGGAGGGGAGAATGGGAAGGAGAGCCAGGCCAGGGTCTTCAGAGAATGGTGACCTTGGAGCCATCGTGACTGCTCCAGGATAAACAGAGAGGCAGGTTCCACTGGGCTTCCGCATCACCCCTCCCTTCCCATTCCTTCTCTCTGCTTCTGCCTCCAGTGCTCACCACCCTGTGTTTGGTGCACATCTGTTGAGCTCTTCCCTATGAAAAGCACACCAACAAGATTGTCATCTTCATGAGAAATGGAAGGAAATACAGAGCATGCTGAGGGAACTAAAATGGCTTGTCCTTTTTTTGCTTGAGGGGAGATCACGTTGATTTCTGTAACTTGCAACCAAAAGTCCTTACTCATACAGCCCTGTTCTACAACAGGCACTGGGGATACAAAGATGTGAGATTCAGTGCTGCTCTCAGTGAACTCACAGCCCAGGAAGGAGACATACACACACACACACACACACACACACACACATCTTTGCAATATGGTGTGGTGCACACAATAATGGTGGATGTATGGACAAGGTGCCTTGCCAGCTCAGAGGAGGAGTGAGCAGCGCTGCTCCAGTAGGCCAGTGAAGAAGGCTTCTAAGAGTTTCTTGTGCTTGCTCCTGAAGGATGACTAGAATTTTGACAACTGGCAAAGGTGCACTCTTTAGACAGCAGGAAGCCCATGCGCAGAGGCCAAGAGGCACCAATAGCCTGTAGTATCCAGCATGTAAATCATTCCTTTTTCTTTCTAAATCTTTCCAGCTAAACCCTCTGCCTGCCTAATATTCCCTCATAATTCAGATATTTCTTGCTAGAGAGAGAGTTGTAGGAATAGGTTCAACTTTTGGCTAACATCAAGGATTAGGCCACTCTCATCTCCCTTAATTGCATTACAAAAGAAAACTGAAATGTGAGGACAGTGCTTACCCAAAGCAATAGGTAATGCTGGTGGCCTTTCTGACAGTGACTGGCTACAGGGAGTAGCTGGGGAAGTACATGGGCTCAGGGAAGGCAGGGCCAAGGAGGCCAAGTCCTATTCTCTATCTCAGCAGCAATGGGAAGCTGCTGAGAGGTCTAAGTAGCAGGTGACAGGGTAGGTTCGAATTTTTAAAAAATTACTCAGGTTTCGATGTGTATATAAATTGGAGTGGGCCATGTGATGTGAATACAGGTCCAGGTGACAGATGAGCCTGGGGCTCAGATTAGTGCAGAGGCGGTGAAGATGGAAAAGAAAATGGGCAGGATGTAGTGATGAGCTGAATATGATGGTGTGGAGTCAGGGTATGGAGAGGAAGGTATCAAAAGGGACACCTTGGGGTTTGGAATCACGTGTCTGGATGGGGATGCACTAACCAGGATGGAAAGCCCTAGAAGAGGACCCGTGGTGAGCCTTACCCAACCCTCAGCTCCCCTTGTTCTTGCATGTAGACCTGCCCAAGGGCCATTGGAGGTACCAGTGCTGCCACCATCACCCTGATTGACCCAGAAACTGATACTTTGATAATCAACAGGCCATGTCATGTCCAGCTCCCCCAATGGAGGGACGTGGCACTGTCAGACAATGTGGCCTTGGTGTTTTAACTTTGGTCATTCTGTATTGTGTTTGCTAACTTTTGGGGATGGGGGTGGGGAGGAGGAGAGGCTAACAATTAAGATAAAAGAACTGAAAGGAGCTTCGACTTGGCAAAAACATATTGAAGAGTTACATGATCAATCAATCATAAAGCGTTGAAATTGGAAGGAAACTTAGTAAAAAAAAAATCTTTTCCAGAGCAGTTTTGACAGTAGTTCAAATACCCTCTGCTTTAGTGTTTCCAATCCTAACAGCAAACTGTCTCAAAAAGCAGCCGGTTCCATTGTCAGAGGACTCTGATAGAAGGAGACAGGGTTTTCTTGTATTGAGTTGAAATTTATCTCTGAGCAACTTCCACTCATTTGTCTTGGTTCCATTCTCTGGAGGGAGAGTAGGTCAACATCCCTTTTAAAATGTGGTGCCCAGAAAGCAACATAAGACTCCAAATGTGGTCTGATTTAGTTAAAGCCCTGTAGGGAATTTAGAGGGGGAAGAAAAATAAAGCCACTGAGTTAACCAGCTTTAAAAAATGACAGTCATAGAAAGCTCCCATAAGTGGAACCTTAGAATCATAAACTAAAGAGAGCCTTTGAAAATACCCAGCTGGTTCATTTCCTTGCAGAGGAAAATCACACCTAAACCTGTCTAACCCAGAGATACTGACCTATTTTTTAAGATCTCTAAAAGCAAGTGTTCCACTGATGTTTATTGCAGAGAGATTTCTTACAAATCAATCATTATAAAATATCTTCAAATCACTGTTTTCTAGTAGACTAATTTGTTTTTACATTTTCCTCTTTCTCTTGCTATTATCTTTCCTACCACATAAATTGTCTTCCTAATGAAGCCGCTTATTGTATCATATTCTGGGAGTGCATGTTCATCTGCTCCTGTAGTGTTTCAGTTCCTACTGCATTAATTAACTGCGCTTCCTCTATTATTTTCCTCTTTTTTGCATGCGATCCATGGCATTTATCCTTATATTGTTGCATAATGCTTTGTGCGATGGATGTGTTCTCAAAATTGTGTGCGAATCTAATCTCTGTAAATTGAGTCTCTTCAATTAGAAGTGCCTTCCAAATGCATTTCAGATGTTCATTATTTAAAGTCACTCTGTGGGAGGTGGCTTGGTAGAACAGGAAACACAGGACCTTTGGGTCTTCCTCTTACAAGCTGTGTGACCTTTACTGGTGACTTTATCTACCTGAGCCCCAGTTTCTAATCCATGAAATGGGGACAAAAATGCCTTCTCTCAATATGTTGTTGTGGACAATAAGTAAGCTAAGAAAAAATTACTGCAACTTAAAAAATAGATGTCTTCTTGTCTTTAAAGCAAAGAGTCCTTTTTAAAGAAAATAATACTCTCAAAAATCTATTTTGCAAGTTCAGATGTTTTTGCATCACATGTTCTTAAAGGAGAACACAAGCATATTTTGACTTTACTGTCTGGCTGTGGCAGCTTTCTACCAAACTTCTTGGATTCATGCCTCTAGAACCGTGTCTTGTCTGGGCTGACTTTCTCATCTGCAGAGGTGAACATGTGCAGCGTTCATGGCCATCTTGCTGTGTCCCTGCTTTTATCACTATGCTTGAGTTCTTGAAGCTTAAGTTACATCCCTTCTGTTTTCATTATCATTTAAATATCTCTTTCTGAATATCCTAACCTGCTCGTTTCCATGTTATTTGGATCCTTTTTGTTTCCCCAAGAATCACCCATCTCTCCTACCTGACTCTGAGTTCCACAGGCCAGGAGTAGTGCATGAATGAATGGCTAATGACCCTCATTGAGAAATTCTTTCTATAGCCTGACACATGGAGCAATTCACTTCAACTCTCTGAGATTCCATTTTCTCATCTGTAATATTAGGATATACAATGATATCAGTGGTTTCCAGGAGGCTGGGGTACCTTCTCCTTGGGGGTCTACAATGATAGCAATGGAGCAATGTTTTTAAAAGCTCAAAAGAAAGTGCATGTGTTGCCAGTTAAGGCTATGTTGCCTAATATGAACACTGTCTCTTGCTCTGGTTGAATGATGTCAACTCTGCAGGTATCATAGATAAAATCATGTTGCTTAGCATGTGTATCCATCAAGATTCTTGGCTGCATGCAATAGAAACCAAGTCTAGTTGACTTAAGCAGAAAATAATTGCTTTGGGAAAATGTCTGCCAGCTCCAGAGCAAATGAAAAGACAGGAAGACCAGACTCTGGATATGCGCAGTAGCCAGGAAAAGCTGAGCAATGAAGAGCTCAGCCAAGGTCACACCACAGAAGCGGCATGGTTGGGATACCACTGGACACCAGACACCGACCCACTGGAACCACCAGGACATGGGATGTCACTGCCCAGTGGACTGCATTCCAAACCATGGTTGCTGCTTTGTGTTACTTGCTCCAGATGCAAAGTCCCAGGTGAGACCATCCAGTTGGCAAATTTTTTTTTTTTTTTTTTTTTTTTGAGACAGAGTTTTGCTCTTGTTGTGCAGGCTGGAGTGCAATGGCACGATCTCGGCTCACCGCAACCTCTGCCTCCCGGGTTTGAGTGATTCTCCTGCCTCAGCCTCCCGAGTAGCTGGGATTACAGGCATGCACCACCATGCCCGGCTAATTTTTTGTATTTTTAGTAGACACCGGGTTTCACTATGTTGCCCAGGCTGGTCTCAAATGCCTGACCTCGTGATCCACCCACCTTGGCCTCCCAAAGGGCTGGTATTACAGGCGTGAGCCACCGTGCCCGGCAGAGTTGGTAAATCTTAAGCCTTGTGTGCCCTTGTCCAGCTGCTGAAGGACAGGGACAACAAGTATTAGGCCATCAGAGGCTCTATTTTATTAGGAGAATTCCCCAAATATAAGAAGGAGATCAGCTGCTGGACAGCCCACAAAACGAAACAAAGCAAAATCCACTATGGTTGCTAAATGTTTATTTTTTGTTTATTTATTGATATATTTTTTTGAGACAGGGTCTTACTCTATTGCTTAGGCTGCGGTGCAGTGGTGCAATCATAGCTCACTGTAACCTCAAACTCCTGGGTCAAGCAATCCTCCTGACTCGGTCTCCCAAGTAGCTAGGATTAGGACCATAGGCATGCATCACCACACCCAGGTTATTAAATGTTTTTTATGACCAAAAACACCAACAAAACTTAACTGACGGTAGAAACACAATATTTTGGAACACGAGATCAATGGAAGAAAAAAATAATGAACAGGTTTAACGATTAAAAAAAAAAAGACTGACTGGAACAGGTATCTCTAATGTTGTTCACAGACTTAGACGCCCCCTGCAGGCAGGATGAAGGAATAAAGACTGGACTGATTTTCTCAAGCCCTTTCTTTCATTGACTATATGCCATAATAACCTGGACTTGTAGAATTAATCACTGCTTAGAAATAACTAGCTCATAGCTGCTACACATAAGAGAAAACAAAAGTAATAAACATGGTATGGAGGTCCTATGGTTTGAATGTGTCCCACAAAGTTCATGTGTTAGAAACTTAATCCCCAAACCAACATTATTGGGAGGTGGGACCTTTAAGAGGCTCTGCCCTCGTGAATAGATTAATGCTTTTCTCGCAGAAGCGTGTTCCTGGATAAAAGGATAAGTTTGGACTGCTTCCTGGTCTCTCTCGTGTCCATGCTTTCTTGCCCTTCCACCTTCCACCATGGGATGTCACGGCAAGAAGCCTTTCACCAGATGAAGGCCCCTGTACCTTGTACTTCCCAGGCTTTAGAACTGCAAGAAATAAATCTCTGTTCTTTATAAATTACCCAGTCTCAGGTATTCTGTTATAGCAGTACAAAACAGACCAAAACAAGTGGTTTCTTTTATATAAAAGAAATCTGAAGGCGGGCAGGCCCAGGTTGGTACCGTGATTTCATGGTGTCCATGAACCCAGGCCTCTTTTGTTTTTGCTCTGCCATCATTAGTAGTACAGGGCTCCCATCCTCAAAGACACTTCCTTAAGGCTGCTGGAGCTCCAGCCATCATGTCTGAATTCCACATAGGAAGTAGGAGGAAAGGTGAAGGGACAAAAGACAAGAGAGAAGATATAAACTGTCTGACCCCTCTTAAGACTTCCTGAAAGTCCTGAAATGTACATTTAGATTTAACAATGTCTGCTTGCATCTTATTGACCACCCTTAACTGTAAGATAGCCTGGGAGTTGCGGTCTTTTATTAGGGCACATGGTCACTCAAACATTGTGTGAGCAACTAGCAGTCTTCACTTCCCCAGGGAAGTCTCAAAAGTAGTGAGAAGTTTGGTTTAGAGGCCTTTGACTCTCCCTCTGCTCCAACTTTGTCCTCCCCTGAGTCAACTTTATGTGATATCACTTAGGACAAGGGAAGCTTCCAGGGAAGACACCAGCACTGAGGTCTTAGGACCACCTCTCTGCAATGTCTAGAGAGTGGTATGAGCCCTTTGAGGAGCTTCCTAGGAAATAACCAAACACTGAACATTTATTGAGCATTAACCTTCTGCCAGGCACTGTGTGAAGTGCTTTATCTCCACCCTGTTACCCCATCCTCACAACTGCTCCTCGAGGTAGGCACAATTGTGCCCATCCTGAAAATGAGGGAGCCAAGGATACGTGGCCATAACTTGCCTGATTACAGTTAGTGAGTAGGGACCAGGATGGAAACGTGTGTTTATCTGACTTCTGAGCCAGGATCTTAACCAACACGCTGCAGCTGTGCTGTCCCATACAGTGTCACTGGTCACACGTAGCTGTGTACACTTAGATTTAAATTAATTAAAGCAAAGTCAAATTTAAAATTCAGCTCTTCAACCATGCTGCCAACATTTCAAGAGCTCAGTAGTCGTGTGTGGCTAGTGGTTACCATCTTGGGCAGCAAAGCTATAGAACATTTTCAACATCACAGAAAGTTCTATTGGACAATGCTGTGCCAGAGGAATGGATCATTATTGACTTTCATTCGTCATCACAAATGGGATGATGAGAAACTTTTTTCTTGCCCTAGCCTCTTTTCCTGTTTTCCAGTTGTCTTGTCTTCATATATTATACAGCCCAGCCATACAAAGAGACAGAAGAAATTCTGAAGAAGCAAATACCAACCGAAGTTGAAAGTGGCCGCTTGTGATATTTCTACTGCGACAATACTTTCCACTCTGGGGTAGGGGACCATTGTGGAGGGCAGGGCAGGCTTGGTGGGGAGGATGTTCCCTGGTGTCTGCAGTCAGCTCAGCTCACAGGGTGAGCACTAGATGGCATGAATTCCTGAGCACAAAACCCTCTTATTTTTTAATTCTGTTGTTTAGCTTTTCTCTCCTTTCCCTACTTCGACACATGCCAAATGTGTTTCAGTTTAAACCTGCACTTTTAAAAGGTTGCAAAGCTCCCAGCTGCTGCAAAGTCAGGTTTTTCAGAACACATTTGCATCTTTTCTCAGTTGCTGCCTTAATTACACATAATAAAGGTATTTAGTTATAGACAAATAGCTGATGAGCCCGAACTATAATGAAAAGGTCTTGCCAAAAGCCATTTCCCTTGTCAAGAGAGAACTTGCTCAAAGACAGTGGGAAGCTGTGATTCATTCTTATGCCACAAGTGTTACTACAAGAAATTCAGTTCACTGGGAGTGGCTGGCACACAAACTTCAAGCAGTGACAAAGTCCAGAGTTCTCAGCTGTTTTCTGCAGCCACCACTGATGCCTTGACTAGAAATGTGTGATGAGAGAAGACCAACACCATTTGTGACTGGTTTAACAGGAGTCAGCAAACTTTGCAGCTGACCACCTATTTTTGTTAATAAAGTTTTATTGGAACACAGTCATGCTCATTCATTTACACAGTCACGCTCATGATTTATGGCTGCTTTCATGAGACAACAGTAGAGGTGAGTAGTTGCAGCAGACGCCATATGGCCTGCCAAGCCTAAAGTACTTAATAGATGACCCTTTCCAGACAAAGTTTATTGGCCCCTGGCTTAGAAGGTAGGAGTTGGACTAAATTGGAGTTCTCAGCCCTATCTCTGTAGGAGGGCTGGCACTGACCTTTCCCCTCTCACCTGGCCAAGATGACCATCTCTCCCCTGCATGACAGCCCTACCTTCTTTCTGCCTACCTGTCTACCTCCTGGCCTCCTGCATTCTATTCTCCTCAGCACAGCCAGAGCACGCCCCTTTGGAACATAAGCCATTTCATGTCACTCCCTTACTCAAAGCCCTTCAAGTGCTTCCCATTTCACAAAGAGTAAAATCCAAAGGCCTTCAAGTGGCCTGCAGGGCCCTATATCAGCTTCCCCGGCCATCCTAGCCTTCTCACTGAGCCTCAAACTGGCAGGCACTGTCTCCACTCAGAGGCAGAGGTGGCTCACTTGCCACCAAAAATGCCCATCATAGTGTGCCCTTGCTGCTGGAGGCAGCTGCCTAGCAAGATGCCTCAGCATTCAGGTGTGGCTGAGGAGTGGTTCTCCACAGCAGAACATGACGCGAAGTGGTGCTAGTCACTCCTACTGGGGGTGTGGGGAGGGGGTGTCTTAGGAACCATCTGTGCCTTCTCTACTCCCCATCTGCCCACTTACTGGGGAGGAGTTTGGGACCCTTGGAAATGCGAAAGCCACAAGATGGAAGTTGTTTGGATGTCTGGACCCAAATGAAGACTGCTGTCCATCAACCAGCAACATCATGTTGAACTGGAGCATGAGCAAGAAGTAAACATTTACTGTGCTGTGCTCTTATTGTGAAGTTTGGGGATGTGTTTGTCATGACAGTTAGTAGTACTGTAACTCACATAGGGCCTTTGTTCCTGCTGTTCCCTTTGCCTGAAATGCTCTTCTGCAAATACTTGCATGACTTTTCACTTCCTTCAGGTCTCTGTTCTGATGGCATCTTATCCGAGCAATTTCCGCAGATTACCCCATATAAAATAGAAGCTCACCCACCCCAGCATTCCTCTCTGCCTGACCCTCTTTTCCTTTTCCTTTTAGCACACATCGCTTGGCACAGACTTTACCAGCTCGTGGCTCGGTGCCTGAGTTGTTTGCTGTCTTTCTCCCTCCACTAGAATGTAAGTTCCATGAAGGCTGCCATCTGGTCAGGGTGTTTCCACATGCCCCCACCACTTAGTATGGTGGCTGTCACAGTGTGGGGGTGCCATAAATGTTTGATGGACACATAAAGAAATGAGTGAACAGACCAGCAATCTGGCTGTCTTCCTGATTATGTACACAAGGATGAATGGGGAAAATAGCAAGGTTTGGGGTAGGCGGTAGGGAGGAGAGAAGAAAGCAGAATGACACAAGTGGGGTGATTTTTTTGCAGTTTTTAATATTAGGTATTATTTGATGCCAGAGACAATACATGCACCAGCCATAGGGGGCCCCAACTGTCAAGGTGCTGCAAGTCCATGAAGGTGTGAGACTGGGAAACAGGTGGCACACACTGGGAGCATGGCTATGTGTTCTGCAGGGATCTCTGAGGCTCAGGGATGAGCATCATGATTAGCCTGTGGGTCAGGGAAAGCTAGGCAACCCCTAGGAGGAGTCGGCAAGAAGGAGAATCCAGAAGAGGCACTCCTGGCATCATGAAGAGCAGGTGAATTTCCACAGCCTGGTGAGTTGGAGGAGCCCTGAGCAGTTTGATACAGCATGAACCTAGAGGAAGGTGGCGGGGAAGGGAGGGGAGGCAGACAGGCCTGTGGGGCCCAGATCATGAACAGACTTGTTTGTTATACTAGGAAGTTTGAACTGTATGCTGAAGGCAATGGGAACCAAGCAAAAGAGGTTCAAGCAGGCCGATGGCATAATCAGATGTGCATTTTATGAGGCTCTTTCTGGCAGCAGCCTGTAAAAAAGATATGCATGGAAGTGAGATTAGAGGCCAGGTGAGGCAAATATATCAAGATGTCCTAGGGGTGGTCCAGGAACCCAGCACCAAATGGCTTTGAGACAATGCAAACCATGTGGCCTAGCTCTAGCCATGGGAGCCTGGGAAGCTGTTTTCACTTTCTTTCTCCCTGTGCCAGGTGAGGGGGTGGGTGCCATCTAGATCTAGTTTCATAAAACCTTGGGCTCCAGGAGAAGGCAAAGATTTCACGCAATGACATCTTGAAACCCTGATTGGGCTTCATGTTCTGCCTTTTTTCACCAACCAGGGGGGTTCCTATGGGGATGGTGGAGCCCTGAGGAACTGTTACCAGAAGCCAGTGCTGAGGCATAGGCCAAGGACCTTGAGGTCCAACTGAAAGGGAGGATATTTGGGAGGCCCAGGTGCCAGGTCGATCATGTTTTAAATGAAGTGTCTAGGGCCTTAGCATCTGAGGGGTGGCCAGAGAGGGGACTTTCAGGGTATGTAGACAAGGCAGCTGCATTTCAGCTGATTGGGGTTGGCATTCTCCAGGAGAATCAGCTGAAATGCAGCTGACTGGGGTGCATCCTTCCCAGGAGAGGCCAAGGAAGAGAGGGGAGATGTCAGGAATGGGTATCTGTAGCAACCCAAATGTCAACAGGAGATCTTTTTTTTTTTTTTTTTAATTTTTTTTTTTTTTATTATACTCTAAGTTTTAGGGTACATGTGCACATTGTGCAGGTTAGTTACATATGTATACATGTGCCATGCTGGTGCGCTGCACCCACTAACGTGTCATCTAGCATTAGATATATCTCCCAATGCTATCCCTCCCCCCTCCCCCGACCCCACCACAGTCCCCAGAGTGTGATATTCCCCTTCCTGTGTCCATGTGATCTCATTGTTCAATTCCCACCTATGAGTGAGAATATGCGGTGTTTGGTTTTTTGTTCTTGCGATAGTTTACTGAGAATGATGGTTTCCAATTTCATCCATGTCCCTACAAAGGACATGAACTCATCATTTTTTATGGCTGCATAGTATTCCATGGTGTATATGTGCCACATTTTCTTAATCCAGTCTATCATTGTTGGACATTTGGGTTGGTTCCAAGTCTTTGCTATTGTGAATAGTGCCGCAATAAACATACGTGTGCATGTGTCTTTATAGCAGCATGATTTATAGTCCTTTGGGTATATACCCAGTAATGGGATGGCTGGGTCAAATGGTATTTCTAGTTCTAGATCCCTGAGGAATCGCCACACTGACTTCCACAATGGTTGAACTAGTTTACAGTCCCACCAACAGTGTAAAAGTGTTCCTATTTCTCCACATCCTCTCCAGCACCTGTTGTTTCCTGACTTTTTAATGATTGCCATTCTAACTGGTGTGAGATGATATCTCATAGTGGTTTTGATTTGCATTTCTCTGATGGCCAGTGATGATGAGCATTTCTTCATGTGTTTTTTGGCTGCATAAATGTCTTCTTTTGAGAAGTGTCTGTTCATGTCCTTCGCCCACTTTTTGATGGGGTTGTTTGTTTTTTTCTTGTAAATTTGTTTGAGTTCATTGTAGATTCTGGATATTAGCCCTTTGTCAGATGAGTAGGTTGCGAAAATTTTCTCCCATGTTGTAGGTTGCCTGTTCACTCTGATGGTAGTTTCTTTTGCTGTGCAGAAGCTCTTTAGTTTAATTAGATCCCATTTGTCAATTTTGGCTTTTGTTGCCATTGCTTTTGGTGTTTTGGACATGAAGTCCTTGCCCACGCCTATGTCCTGAATGGTAATGCCTAGGTTTTCTTCTAGGGTTTTTATGGTTTTAGGTCTAACGTTTAAATCTTTAATCCATCTTGAATTGATTTTTGTATAAGGTGTAAGGAAGGGATCCAGTTTCAGCTTTCTACATATGGCTAGCCAGTTTTCCCAGCACCATTTGTTAAATAGGGAATCCTTTCCCCATTGCTTGTTTTTCTCAGGTTTGTCAAAGATCAGATAGTTGTAGATATGCGGCATTATTTCTGAGGGCTCTGTTCTGTTCCATTGATCTATATCTCTGTTTTGGTACCAGTACCATGCTGTTTTGGTTACTGTAGCCTTGTAGTATAGTTTGAAGTCAGGTAGTGTGATGCCTCCAGCTTTGTTCTTTTGGCTTAGGATTGACTTGGCGATGCGGGCTCTTTTTTGGTTCCATATGAACTTTAAAGTAGTTTTTTCCAATTCTGTGAAGAAAGTCATTGGTAGCTTGATGGGGATGGCATTGAATCTGTAAATTACCTTGGGCAGTATGGCCATTTTCACGATATTGATTCTTCCTACCCATGAGCATGGAATGTTCTTCCATTTGTTTGTGTCCTCTTTTATTTCCTTGAGCAGTGGTTTGTAGTTCTCCTTGAAGAGGTCCTTCACATCCCTTGTAAGTTGGATTCCTAGGTATTTTATTCTCTTTGAAGCAATTGTGAATGGGAGTTCACTCATGATTTGGCTCTCTGTTTGTCGTCAACAGGAGATCTTCTGAGACTCTTGGTTTGCTCCCAGATGCTTGGTAGCTTCCATGTGGCAGTGTCTACACAGCAACAGAACTCTTGATAATTTTCCCCAAGCTCACCCACCCATGTAGCATTTGTTGAGAATTCCAGGAATGGGAGAAAGGATGGAGTGGGGTCTCTCAGGGTATGTAAAACATACTTGGAGCTGAGCAGTGGGTGAACTCTAGGGGTCTGGCTTCCAACAATGAGTCATAAAAACTGGGAGAAGGTCAAGATTCAAGATAGCCCTTGTTTCTCATATGGTTTATGCAAAGCTCCTGTGCTGTGAGAGAACATTCTGCATTCAAGGAGTTTACAGACATTTAGGGTGGCTGGAGTGAGAAGTACAAGGAGGTGGGTGTATGAGCGAGGTTGAGAACAGAGGCCAAGTCAAACAGAGCTTTGTAAATCATGTCAAATATTTGAACAAATGTCTGAAACAGGTGCCCATAACTGGCTTTTACAGGTTCCCTGTGGCTCTCGTTATACATGAGTGGCATGGAGATTTCAGTTAGAAGCTTAGAAGGGCTGGGGTTCAATGTGATGCTTTGATATATGTATATATCGTGGAATGACTATATTAAGCTAATTAACGTATCTGTTGCCTGACATACTTATCATCTTGCACAATGAGAACATTTAAAGTCTACTCTTTCAGCAATTTTGAAGTTTATAATATATTATTACTAACTATGGTCACCATGCTGTGCCATGCTGAGACCATCTCAAAAACATCTTCCTCTTGTATAATTGAAACTTTGTACCCTTTGATCAACACTACTTGTTCCCCACCCCACTGCACTCCTCAGCCTTTTGTAGCCACCATTCTACTCTACTTCTAGAAATTCAACTTTTTTAGATTCCACATATAAGTGAGATCATGCTGTATGTGCTTTTCTGTGCCTGTTTTATTTCATTTAGCATTATATTATCCAGGTTCACCCATGTTGTCACAAATGACAGAATTTCCTTCTTTTCAAAGGCTGAATAGTATTCTGTTGCATATATTGTGTATGCATACCACATATTCTTTATCCATTCACTGGTTGATAGACACTTAGATTGATTCCATGTCTTGGTTATTGTGAATGATACTGCAATGAGAAGGAGAGTGCAGATATCTCTTCAACAGACTGATTTTAATTTCTTTGGATATATACCCGGAAGTTGGATGACTAGGTCATCTGTTCATTCTAATTTCCGTTTTTTGAGAAAGCTCCATACTGTTTTCCATAATGGCTGTACTATTTTACATTTCCACGGTCAGTGTACAAGGGTTCCTTTTTTTCCACATCCTCACCAACATTTCTCTTTTGTCTTTCTTATAATGGCCTGTTAGAAACAGGTGTGAAGTGATAGCACATTGTGGTTTTAATTTGCATTTCCCTGCTGTTGGCCATTTGTACATCTTCTGTTGAGAAATGTCTATTCAGGTCCTTTTTCCACTTAAAATATTGGATTGTTTTCTTGTTATTGAGTTGTTTGAGTTCCTTATATGTTTTGGATATTAACTCCTTAACAGATGAATTGTTTGCAAATATTTTCTCCCTGTTTATGTGTTGCCTCTTTATTCTGTTAGTTGGTTCCTTTGCTGTGTAGAAACTATTTAGCTTGTATTTCTGGTGCTACAGAAATACAGAGGATCATAAGAAATGACTATGAACAATTATTTGCCAAAAAATTGGATTTTTATGAAATCCAATCTAGATGAAATGGATAAATTTCTAGACACATACAACCTGCCAAAACTGAATCATGAAGAAATAGAAAATCTGAATAGATCAATAATTAGTAAGGAGATTGAATCAGTAATAAAAAGCTCCCCATCAAAAAACAGCCTAGGACTGGATGGCTTCATAGCTGAATTCTACCTAATATTTAAAGAAGAAAAATATCAATTCTTCTCAAACTCTTCCAAAAAATTGAAGCAGAGGGAATACTTTCAAATTCATTTCTCAAGCCTGCCTTTACCCTGGTATTAAATCCAGACAAGGACACTACAAGAAAATAAAATTACAGGCCAATATCCCTGATGAACATAGACGAAAAAATTGTCAACAAAATAGTAGCAAATTGGATTCAACAGCACATAAAAGGATCATGCACCATGATCAAGTGAGATTTACCCTTGGGGTGCAAAGGTGGTTCAGCATACACAAATCAATAAATGTGATACACCATATTAACAGAATGAAGGGCAAAAACCATCATCTCAATATAGAAAAAAAATTTGATAAAATTCAACATCCTTTCATGATTAAAACTCTCAACAGAAGAAATGTACCTCAACACAATAAAGGCCACATATGACAAGGCTACAGCTAACATCATACTCAGTAGTGAAAAGCTGAGAGTTTTTCTTCTAAGCTCAGGAATAAGGCAAGGACGTCACTCCTGATACTTCTGTTCAACATAGTGCTAGAAGTTCTAGCCAGAGCAATTAGGCAAGCAAAAGATACAAAAGGCATCTAAATAGGAAAGGACGATGTGAAATTGCCTCTATTGGCTGGCAATCTGGTCTTAGAGAAAATCCTAAAGACTGCCAAAAATTGTTAGAACTGATAAACAAATTTTTCAAAGTTTCAAGATACAAAATCAACATAGAAAAATCAGTAGTGTTTCTATACACTAACAACAAATTTTCTAAAAAAGCAATCAAGAGGGCCGGGAGCAGTGGCTAATGCCTGTAATCCCAGCACTTTGAGAGGTCAAGGTGGGCAGATCACAAGGTCAAGAGTTCGAGACCAGCCTGGGCAACATGGTGAAACCCCATCTCTACTAAAAATACAAAAATTAGCCTGGCATAGTGGTGGTGCATGGCTGTAATCCCAGCTACTCGGGAGGCTGAGGCAGGAGAATTGCTTGAACCCGGGAGGCGGGGGTTGCAGTGAGCGGAGATCGTGCCACTGCACTCCAGCCTGGGCGACAGAGCAAGACTCTGCCTCGGTGGGGGGGCAGTGAGGGAGGGAAGCAATTAAGAAAATCCCGGCTCTCTGCTCCTCCCATTCCACAGACAGCTGCATCTTCTCGTGTAGCGCCAGCTGCATCCCTGAGACATCATGGTGAAGGTGAAGCCTGGAGTCAATGGATTAGGCTGTATTGGGTGCGTGGTCACCAGGGCTGCTTTTAACTCTGGTAAAGTGGATATTGTCGCCATCAATGATGCCTTCAATGACCTCAACTACATGGTCTACATGTTCCAGTATGATTTCACCCATGGCGAATTCCATGGCACTGTCAAAGCTGAGAACAGGAAGCTTGTCATCAATAGAGATCCCATCACCATCTTCCAGGAGCTAGATTCCACCAGAATCAAATGGGGTGATGCTGGCACTGGGTATGTTGTGAAGTCCACTGACATCTTCATCATGGAGAAGGCTGGGGCTCATTTGCAGGGGGAGCCAAAGGGGTCATCATCTCTGCCCCCTCTGCTGATGCCCCCATGTTCATGATGGGCTTGAACCATGAGAAGTAGGACAACAGCCCCAAGATAGTCAGCAATGCTTCCTGTGCCATCAACTGCTTAGCACCCCAGGCCAAGATCATCCATGACAACTTTGGTACTGTGGAGGGACTCGTGACCACAGTCCACACCATCACTGCCACCCAGAAAACTGTGGATGGCCCCTCCAGGAAACTGTGTCATAACAGCCGCAGGGCTCTCCAGAACATCATCCTTGCCTCTACCGGCACTGCCAAGCCTGTGGGCAAGGTCATCCCTGAGCTGAATGGGAAGCTCACTGGCATGGCCTTCTGAGTCCCCACTGACAATGTGTTGGCCAGGAACCTGACCTGCTGTCTGGAAAAACCTGCCACATATGATGACATCAAGAAGGTGGTGAAGCAGCATCAGAGGGCCCCCTCAAGGGCATCCTGGCCTACACTGAGCACCAGGCTGTCTCCTCCGACTTCAACAGTGACACCCACTCCTCCACCTTTGATACTGGGGCTGGCATTGCCCTCAATGACCACTTTGTCAAGCTTATTTCCTGTTATGACAATGAATTTGGCTACAGCAACAGGGTGGTGGACTTCATGGCCCACATGGCCTCCAAGGAGTAAGACCCCCAGACCACCAGCCCCAGTGACAGCATGAGAGGAAGAGAGAGGCCCTCACTGCTGGGGAGTTTCTGCTGCACTCAGTCCCCCATTGCACTGAGAATCTCCCCTCTTCACAATTTCCATGCAGATCCTCTGAAGAGGGAGGGGCCTAGGGAGCCCCATCTTGTCACGTACTATCAATAAAGTCCCCTGTGCTCAGGAAAAAAAAAAAATCCCATTTACAATAGCATTGAAAAGAAAAGTTCATTTCTGCTCCTGTTGTCAGCAGCTGTGGCTCTGCTCTGCATGTCTTCTTGTTCCAGGATCCAGCTGTAAAGCAGACCCATCCTGGACACACCGTTTTGTGGCCGAGGGAGAAGAGGGCCCGCAGACCCACGTGGTGCTTCTTCAAGCCACTGCTCACCAGGTGGCACAGGTCACTTCTGCTTACACCCTATTAGCCAAAGCAAGGCCCCTGTCCAGGCCTGAGGGAGTGGGGAGAGGACCTACGCCTCTCCCATAGGCCACAAAGGGAGGGTAAGGGATAACTGGGGACAAGAATAGGATTTGCCACACTCCTTGTTTTTAAATGTTAGCAACTGAATTGAAAGTATCATAAATGCTGGGCAGAGCCAACTAAAACACAAGAAACCATGAGCCATGGATGTACAACCTCTAATTTAAAAAGTCAGAAATGGAGTGAAAGCCTTGTTCTCTTCCTTGAGACACACACACTACCTCAGTCTCCTGAGTTTAACAGTCCTCTCAAAAAGGAAAAGTGGTTACTTTGCCTTTAACATTATGGGTGAATCTATACTAGTTCCTAGTGTAACCCAGCACCCCTGTTTTTCTAGAGGTGATTTAATTGTTTTTTTCCTTCTCTCTCTCTTCTTTTCTCATCTCCCTGGCCCCCTTAGCCCTTCAGAAATGCAAATATAACCATTCTCCTCCCCATCACCTGGCTTTCCCTACAGGGCAAGTTTTTCTAACTGTGTGCTCCAAGACGGATCTCTCCTTGAGAGCTGGCAGTCGATTTGCAGACCAAAGCACACCCACCAAGGAATTTTCACATCCAGAGGTTGCCTCGGAACTTCCATCTTCCCAGGGTTGCCTCAGGACTTTCATCCACCAGGAGGGGAAATCGAAAGCACACCCGCTTGGCCACTTTTTCAACTTACTTCTGCCCAGGAAGCGCCAACTCATCATCAAGCTAGGAGGGAGACCCCCTGCCCTTGCTCATTTCCTCCCTTACCTTATAAAAATCCCTGCTTTCTGCTCCCAAAGTGAAGCAGCACATTTTAAGGCAGGACCCTTTGTGCCCCTTCCCCAAGCTAACTTTGGAATCAATTTGCTTTTTTTTCTATCAGACCTTGCTCTTGTTAACTGGACTCCACATACAGCGAGCAACTAACCTGCATTTTAGTTACACTGGTAATCACTACTTCCTTTTGTAGGTGCTCATAAATTCTCTTTAAACAATTTATTCATAAATATGACCAGAATCTAGGTCATTTGCCGTTCTGTAATCTCCAGAACTCAACTTCTATTTCTTGCACTTAGGACATTTGCCTGGGTCCAGTGCTATGGCACCATTTTTGCTCACTACAGTCCCACAAAGATTATTGATAGAACTGAGCAATGCATTTGCAAGATCTCTTAGCACCCAAGGGTAAAATGTTTTTGGGCCAAGAAACTTGACACCACTTCCAATTGCATGAAGCTCTTTTACACTCCCTTAACTACTTTTTTATCCTGGACCCTATCATTGTCTTTAAGAACCATATGGGTAGAATCTGGAAGAAACTGCCATTCAAACCAGCATTACTTTTTGTTCAGAAAGAAGATGGTGAATTACTCAGGGTTGTCCAGAGGGACAGAACAAATAGGATACATATATATAAGATACATATACATTTGTATATATACACATATATATACATGTATCCTATTGGTTCTGTCCCTCTGGAGAACCCTGAGTAATTGTATATGTGTGTGTATATATGTATGTGAGTTTATTAGGGAGAATTGGCTCACACAATTACAAAGGCAAAGTCCCACAATAGGGCTTGCAAGCTGGAGAATCAGAAAAACCAGTAGCTTGTCTCAGTCCAAGACCTAAGCCTCAAAACCAGGAAAGCTGACAGTGCAGCTCCCAGTCTGAGACTGAAGGGCTGACAGCACCCCAGAGGTCACTGGTACAAGTCCCAGAGTCCAAAAGCCGAAGAACCTGGAGTCAGATGCCCAAAGGCAGAAGGAGAAAAGGAGGCCTGCTCTAGAAGGGAGAGAGAAAGAGAAAGCCCCAGCAAGCTGCATATGCCCCTTCTGCCTGCTTTCTTCTGCCTGCTTTCTTCTGCCTGCTTTTTTCTGCCTGCTTTGTTCTGCTGTGCTGGCAGCCAACCAGACAGTGCCCATCCACAGTGAGGGCGGGTCTTCCTCTCCCACTCCACTTACTCATATGTCAGTCTTCTCTAGAAACACCCTCACAGACACACCCAGAAAAAGTGCTTCACCAACCATCTAGGCATCCCTCAAGCCCATCAAGTTGACACCTAATATTAACCATTACAGAATTCATCTGAACAGTCAGCCCTTGGGTCACACTTCATGGGTATTTTTGTTACACACATATGCCTGGAACAAGTGCCCAGTGTGCTCTTTGGAACAATTATAAAGTCATCATTATTCTGGATGATGATTTTAGGTTTGGATGATAAATGTTTTGTTTTGGTTGTGTATGTTTTTGGATATGGTCAAGCCTGAGCTAAGTCTCTATAATTTTCTTGCTTTCCAGGAAGGAGTGAAATATTTCTTAACTCGGTAGGAATGTAGTGAATTACAGTGTTTGCTTATCCTTGCAGAGTGGAGAGTGTTTTTTGCCAGAGCAATTGTTTGCAATACCAGCCAGCCCAGAGGACTACAGAAGGACATTCAGGCAGAATATTCACCTCTCCCTAGAAGACAGCCTATAAAAGAGAACTAAGTGTGTTCAATGGACAGTTTCTGCCCTTCAAGTGGCATTATTGAAGTATAATGACCCCAAAGCCCTTGAGACTATTGTGTTCTGATGGGGCTGTTGTACTGGGTGCCACAGGATGAGATCATAGGCCTGGAGTGAGGGCTGGGTTTCCTGGGAGAATAGATGTCCCATCATTGGTCACCAGGGAGGAGCAGGTGTTGGGCAGAAATAAGTGCAGGGAGGCAGCTTGAGAATCCCTTCCCCTTTCTGGGTCTTGGGTGGGGTGGGGCTGGGATTCTAGGCAGAGCAGACCTGATTTGAGGGCACTTGCACTGTGTGCAGTTGTGCTGGCTCATGCCACATGACAGGATAGGAGCCCTGTAGGAAGACAGTGCAGCTTTGTCCAACAGAGTGTGGCCAAGCTGTGCACCCAAGGGCTGCCCTTGCTGGGAGAAAGGCACGCCTTCTTCTTGACACAAAGGTACCACCTACTAACCGAACCCTTACCTGACAAGGACCTGCCCACCAAGTGGGATCTCTGTCTTCTAATGTATCTGCCTGCCTTGCAGGTGGGGAGAGGGGACACATTTTTCTATTTTTTTCAGCCTGGTGAAGCTTTTTCTGCCCACAAAGACATCTTCTGCATGCCAAGCCATCAGCCTGCTTAAGGTGGGTACATTTTCATCACCGGGCATTTCTAAATCTGAGTCTGAGGATCCTGAAATTCACAACATCTTTTAATTGTTGTTAGTTATTATCCGCCTTGTTCTTTCTTTCTTTAGCTTTTTAAAAATTAAAATAGCGACAGCATCTCGCTATGTTGCCCAGGCTGGTCTCGAACTCCCAGGCTCGAGCAGTCCAGTCATCCTGGTCTCCCAAGTGTTGGGATTACAGGCATGAGCCACCTTGTCCAGCCCTTTCTTTCACTTTTGAATGTTTATTATACACTTGTTAAAGAGTCAGAGATTTACTGAGCTCCTACTGCCTACCAAACCTGTTTTAGACCTTGGGGTTACATAAGTGGGGGTGTGGGTGGGGTACAAAAATTCCTGCACTTGTGCAGCTTGTGTATTAGAGAGAGGATTGTGCTCTGGGGACTCAGGGAATGCTGTGTCCTGTGCTTAGGATGGAAAGCAAAGGGAAGTCCGGCATCCCTCATCCCAGGTGCTGGCAGCAGCAGAGCTGGCTAGCTATGCCCTGCAAAGGGTCCGTATCCTGAGTGTCATTAGCATCAGGGGATGATTTGGGGTAGTGAACAAGCATTTGCAGCTCCGCACCCAGAGAGAATCTCAGAAATATCTGAGGAACCCTTTGCGAGGGCTAAATTCTGGTGGGGTATTTAATGGGTGTGTGAAGTCTGCTCAGAGCAATTTTATGTGGCTTTGTTTCCCTCTAATCAGCACTAATTCTGCCCTTTCCAGTCTGAAGATGGGTCTTCTTGACTGAGAACCAGGATGTAAAGTACAATTTGAGGAGTTCTGCCTGTGTTGTTTTGTTTTGTTTTGAGACAGAGTCTCGCTCTGTTGCCCAGGCTGGAGTGCAGTGGTGCAATGTTGGCTCACTGCAACCTCCTCCTCCTGAATTTAAGCGATTCTCCCGCCTCAGCCTCCTGAGTAGCTGGGACTACAGGCATGCATCAGCACACCTGGCTAATTTTTTTTTATTTTTAGTAGAGACAGGATTTCTCTGTGTTGGCCAGGCTGGTCTCCTGACCTCAGGTGATCCACCTGCCTCAGCCTCCCAACATTCTGGGATTACAGGTATGAGCCACCGCACACAGCCTGAATTCTGCCTTCTTGCTATCATCTGTTAACAAAATACAATTAGCCCCAATTAGCCTCCCTTTTCTCTTGAGCTGTCTTCTCATTGAGAGTCTCTTTTCTGAATACTTCTGAACTCTGCTTTCCGAATGGGTTCTGCCTGAGCCCCGGATACCACCAACTTTGCAAAAACTGGCTCCTCTTAGGGTCCCTATCACTTCCACTTCTGCAGAGCACTTAGGTACAGGGTAGCAGTCCCTCTCATTTCTTTCTTTAAACTATGAAAGATGAAATTGTCAGCATGAGGAGAATTTATCAGACACCCAGGGTCTAGAAGAAGGAGATTCCCAGCTATCCCCACTCGATCTTGCCTCCGTGCCAGCGTTGTCAAATGTGTTGTCAGAAGGCCTGCTCATGCCTTTGAGCCCCGAGGGCAGAGCCACCTGCTTGTGGACAAGCAGGAAGAAAAGCCACAGCTCAGCAGCAGACAGCCATCTGGTGAAATTCCATGCGCAACTTTGTGTCTGCTGGCTCCTGCCCCTCCGTCCATCCACCCCAGCAGACCCCTTCTGGTTTCTAGCCTCTGTTCCTAGGTCCTCCTCTACCTGTGTCTGCCCACTTTTACAACTCTCTTTCTAGATTTGACTCACCTGTGTCACCTGGTTTCTGCTCTTTGATTGACCTTGAACCCATATTTGTCTACTCTTGAGTCAATCCATTTTGCTTCCAGTCCCTGAGCCCAGATGTGCCCACTCCTGGAACTGCCTACCAGGGTCAGCCAGTTGCTGCTGCCTGACTCTTGGCTTTCTATGTCTCCAGGCCCTGATTTTCCCTGCTAGTGAGCTGCATGTGGCTCTCTGCCCCAACCCAGCATGTGGACTGTGATTCTCAGGAGCGTGGCTTCCAGGCCTTAAATCTGGCTGCACAACCTCTTGTGCAGACCACAGTCCCCCTTCCCTCTCTCTCCTTACCTTCTCCATTACTCTCTCTACTAATGGTTTGTGGGTTTTCATGCAGGAGCTCTCATGATGGTCTCCTCCACTCCATTCCCTCCTAGCTCTGTCTTTTGAGAAAGGAATGCTGTTCCATTGCTGCCATCCCAGCTGCCTGGGCTCAGAGAACCAGCACAGGCACAAGGGCTTTCCTGAGCTATGATCTCAAGGTCACTTGTATCAGTGCCTATACTCTGTTGCCTGTGGTGCAGACATCCAAGACTGCAAAGTTTTATTCTCCCTGGTTTATTTTATTTCCTGTGAATTACTGGAGATTTCCTCCATTCTTCTTGTGGTTTCTATTTCTTTTCTTTTATCAGGCTCTATAATTTTGCTGCTGTAGCCAGTGCGTTGTTTTGTACATTCTCGGTTTTAAAAAAATGATGGAAATTCAATTCCAATAAGCGCCAATGGTAGAGAGGATTTGTGGGCTCCTGTAACCAAAACAAGAAGGGCAGAAACAGGGTTGGACATCAGTGGCCACTAGAACCAGAAGCTGGAGGCTCTCGGGACACGCTCTCCTCACCCTTTTTTCCTGCGTGCTGCAGGCAGCTCTATGCTCTCTGGCTGGCTTTCCTCTCAGGCTGGAGGCATGGATGCCAGCAGTTCCCATCTCACATGTTTCCAGTTTTGCATCCAACAGGGCAGGACTTGCTTCTTGGTTCAAAACACCTTTGAAAGCACCTGGTTAGGCCAAGTACGGTGGCTCATGCCTGCAATCCCAGCACTTTGGGAGGGCAAGGAGGGTGGATCACCTGAGGTGGGGAGTTCGAGACCAGCCTGACCAACATGGAGAAACCCTGTCTCTACTAAAAAGACAAAATTAGCCAGGCGTGATGGCACATGCGTGTAATCCCAGCTACTCGGGAGGCTGAGGCAGGAGAATCGCTTGAACCTGGGAGGCAGAGGTTGCAGTGAGCTGAGATTGCACCATTGCACTCCAGCCTGGGCAACAAGAGCAAAACTCCATTTCAAAGAAAAAAAAAAGCACTTGGTTAATATCTTGGAATATTAGGTCATCTTACAGTCCAAGGGAAAATGAGAGAAGCCCTTACAGAGCCTCATCATTGGGGGGATGTTCCTAAGTGAAAGGATGTCAGTGCCAGAAAGAAGGAGTCTTGGCAGATGATAAATGTCCACTGCAGACCAAGATTAAATACATCCTGGCTCTGACCATCTCTCATCTCTTTCCCTCTAAGTGCTCTTCCCCAAGTTAGGAGAAATCTTCTTTTCCAGAAGTCTTCCTGTTTGACAACTTGGTTATGGAGAATGTGACCCCAGTACACAAAGATTTCTGTGGGTAAAATGTGGAAGGAATATATATTGACAACAATGGTGGTGAAAAGAGAGAGGGAGAGGAGGATCAGAGTACACTGTAGTTTTCACATGCCGCTCAGCAAATCTAGACCAAGTCTCTAGCAACATTTTCATTGACATAAGCTAACTCAAGCACATCTTTGGGCTTTCATTATAACTGTGAGTGGATACCTGTTATAGAGACAGGCGGTTAGCGCTAGAGCAATGGTTTTCAGAGTTTCAGATGCAGCAGAACAGTCTTTATTTATCACAAAGAAAATAGCATGAACTTTAATATGTAGAACAGATCAGACCAGTTATACTGTAATTGAAGTTTCCCTTCTGCTACCCTCCACAGGAACCTGAGCTCCACAGGACTCAATGAAAAAGCAACTGTAACAGAAGAGATAGGTAAGTTATGTTCTCTGTTTACTTTGTTTATGTCTGAATTTACTTTGAAACGCTTCAGCACTGGCAGTGTGATTTGCTGTATATGTTATTTAGATGTAATCTGCACCCAAGGGATGATAACTTACTGTAATTGGGAATGCATACTCCAGGGATGGTTAGCTAATATTTACCAAAGCAGCAGACAACAGAGAAAATGAGAGCCAAGTGAAAGGAGAAATCCCTTATAAAATCATCAGATCTTGTCAGACTTATTTACCACCATGAGAACAGTATGGGGGAAATCACCGCCATGATTCAATTATCTCCCCCCAGGTCCCTCCTACAACATGTGGGAATTATGGGAGCTGCAATTCAAGATGAGATTTGGGTAGAGACATAGCCAAAACGTATCACCTGATAACAAGGTTAAGAAGGGGAAGAGGCAACATCCTCACCTGCTCAAGGTTGGATCCAACTTTTGTGGGGCCTGAGGCTTACATACCTTCAGGGTCTTCTTTGGAAAAGAAATATTAAAAATTATAAATACAAAATTATCTATGAAAATGAATGTTTATACAGAATGAGAAAAAATGACTTCAAATTTTTTTTTTTTGAGATGGAGTCTCTGTTGCCCAGGCTGGAGTGCAATGGCATGATCTCAGCTCACTGCAACCTCCACCTCCAGGGTTCAAGATATTCTCCTGCCTCAGCCTCCCTAGTAGCTGTGATTACAGGCATGCACCACCATGCCTGGGTAATTTTTGTATTTTTAGTAGAGACGGGGTTTCACCATGTTGGCAGCTGGTCTTGAACTCCTGACCTCAGGTGATCCACCCGCCTCGCCCTCCCAAAGTGCTGGGATTACAGGCGTGAGCCACTGTGCCTGGCCGATGACTTCAAATTTTAAAAAGTTTACAAATACCACAAAAATCCCCCAAATAACACAGTATTTCTATTAACTAATGGTTGATATGGCTGTGTAATATATTTTCTTATGTTTTTTGCTGCTTCCTCTTCGATGGCCTCTTCATGTCACCAGCATGTTGTAATACTTTCTATAGAGAGAATAAAATAATTTGGTGCTTCCTCTAACTTGGTTGATCAAAATTTTTCCCATGTTAATTTTTAAGATTCATAAAACATGCAACTTCAATAGACAAGTTCACTCTTTGTAGTTCTTCCACAAGGTTGTGCACTATAAACAGAAAAATTCTGATGAATTTAGTTTTGCATAATATCTTCACAAAAGAAAACATCATGGAGTGTTTATAATTGTATACACTGCATATAGAGCACACTCCTGACAGAATGTCCTTTACTAGAAATGGATGAGAACAGAATCCTCCACTTAGAATTGTTTATGTCTTAATGGAAAGACACTTCCAGAGATTAGTTTCTGGCTTTGCACAATTAAAACCTTGTTTCTTCCCCACTCCCTGTAAGGATCCAGTGCTGGGTGCCACAGCATAGGTTCATGTTCATAGGTACTCTGGTTCTGTATCTTCCTGTTATATCACTTGGTAAGTTTGCCCCGTGGGTGGTAAGAATATTCCTGCACAGGACAGCTAGGAATAAGTTAACTATACATGGAAATGTCTGCAAACCACATAAATACCTCCCACTAAACCTCAGCTAAATGTATCACCAACTCAACTTTCCTTGACTAGATCCCCAAAATGCTTACAGTCACTCCCCACCACCTGAAAGGGGAGACTGGCTGAAAGAAATTCATAATGGAAAGAGAGAGTGCCTTATTCCATTGTGGTTCAAATCTGTCCCTTGCAAAATTTATAAAACCATCTACCATATAAACAGATGGCTGGGGACTCTCCCAGGGCCTTGGAAGTGGTCCATCGCATGAGAGCTCTGATATTTAGCTTCATTTGTTTCATAATACAATGCCTCTCCACCAAACTATAGAGGGTCACCAATATTTACCTTGGGAACAGCCAGTTGAATTAGGTGGGTTTGCAACAAAGGGAATAAACGGAAGACAGGCTTTTTCTATTTATAAGCTTCTGCTTATAATCATCAGCAAAACAGTCACACATAAAATGACTGCCAAAAACTTAACAAAACTACATGGCCAAAAGTGCAATTTAATGTAGTAGAAATGAAATACAAATTACAACAAAGGGCGGGTGAATAAAGAGGGTGGATGGATTAATCATAGGAGGTTTTCTGGAAAAGATGAGTTTGAAATAGCTTTTGTAAGGAGTGAGGCATAGAAAGAAAGGAGAAAATGCATTTGAGGAAGGCCTGAAAGGTCTAAATACACTGAAGAACATCAAATTGTATATAGGGATCAGCTGAAAATTGACTGGAAAGGTGTGTTCATGAAAAACAGCATAAAATTAAATTTTAATAAGACTGTTTATGGTCAGAACGAAGTAACTAGCGCACATCTAGTCCACCAAGTGTCAGCAACTAGAAAACTACACAAAAATATTAATATCTGAAATAGTTATTTTCAGTTATTGAACAATAGGCATTTCAGGCGTGAGATCTCAGAGAGATGAGAAACAAGTGAGGTGAGCCCTGCCATAGCCCTAGCCTTTTATTTCAATGCATTTTCTGGACCAGTTGCAGGAAAGGGGAATTCAATCAGAGTATGGCAGTCTCATTGACTCAAAAAGTCAGAGACTGGAGTTCAGGAAGGCTGAGGCAGCTGGATGGAACTTGTGAGACAGAGTAGCAGAGTGAAAGAGCAACACAGAATAAGTTCCAGAAATCTGCAGAGGATCCTCTTGAATCTTTGGCTAAATAATAAGATGTATATGTTTAAAGTGAAACTCCATAAACCCTGGGAAATAATAAATGATTAAGGAAAGATAAATTATGGGGAACTATAAACTGAGCAACTACCAGAGCTTGCACAGGATTGGGAGATACTTGAGATCAGGCCAGCCAGAAGGGAAAGACCTCATTGGGTACTTGATGCATTCAGGTGAAATCCCAGAAACAGTATGTCTTACTAGTAGGGCTAAACTAGTCCTAGAGCAAAGGATACTCTAGACTCTTTCTAAAAAAGCCTCAAAGGGATAAAGCTGATCTGAAATTAATTTATTGCAAGAACAAAAATCAATAAGTTTTAAAGAAACACAAGAAAATTTAGGCAAACAATGGAATATTCACAATTGCCAGTATCCAGTCAAAATTATTAGACATGCCATAAGCAAGAAGTGTAACCCATAATGAAAGGGAAAATCAGACAATAGAAGCAGATCTAGAAATGACAAAGATGGAATTAGCAAACAAGGGCTTTAAAACAATGATTATAAATTTGTTCAAGCAATTAAGGGAAAACAGGAACATAATAAATAAGTAAATGGAAATCATTAAAAGAAACAGGCCAGGCACGGTGACTCACACCTGTAATCCCAGAACTTTGGAAGGTTGAGGCAGGTGGATCACCTAAGATCAGGTGTTCAAGGCCAGCCTGGCCAACATGGTAAAACCCGTCTCTACTAAAAACAGAAAAAATTAGCTGGGTGTGGTGGCAGGCCCCTGTAATCCCAGCTACTTGGGAGGCTGAGGCAGGAGAATCGCTGGAACCTGGGAGGCAGAGGTTGCAGTGAGCTGAGATTGCGCCATTGCACTCCAACCTGGGCAGTAACAGTGAAACTCCATCTCAAAAAAAAAAAAAAAAAAAAAAGAAAAAGAAACAAATCAGCCATCTAAAGCTAAAAAATACCCCAATATCTAAAATAAAAAGCCCACTAGGCAGATTTAAAAGCAGATTCTACATTATAGAAGAAAAAAATTAATAAAAGACACATTATATAAACCCTAGAGCAAACTATTAAAAAGGTTATAGCTAATAAGACAATAGTGAAAATAAAATGAAAAAATAAACTTTTTAACTCAAAAGAAGGGAGAGAGAAAGGAAAACAAAACAAAGAAAAAAATGAAACCAATAAGTCAATAGTTAACTGATTTAACACAGCCATATCAAGAATTGTATTAGGTAAAAATGGACCAAAATCATCTATTAAAAGGTATTATTATACTTGGTAGAAAAGTATAGTAGGACCAAAATCATCTATTAAGAGATACTATTATACTTGGTAGAAAAGCAACATCCAACTATATGTTTTCTACAAGGCTTAGTTTTTTAATACAAAGATACATACAGGTAAAAGTTAAAGAACAGAAGATATACCTGGCAAATATTAATTATAAAGCTAGAGTGGCCACTTTGAAATCTGACAAAGTAGACTTCATAAGAAATATTTCCAGGCTGGGCGCGGTGGCTCACGCCTGTAATCCCAGCACTTTGGGAGGCCGAGGTGGGCAGATCAGGAGGTCAGGAGATTGAGACCATCCTGGCTAACACGGTGAAACCCCGTCTCTACTAAAAATACAAAAAATTAGCTGGGCATGGTGGTGGGTGCCTGTAGTCCCAGCTACTCGGGAGGCTGAGGCAGGAGAATGGCGTGAACCCGGGAGGCAGAGCTTGCAGTGAGCTGAGATCGCGCCACTGCACTCCAGCCTGGGCGACAAAGCAAGACTCCATCTCAAAAAAAAAAAAAAAAAAAAAAAAAAGAAATACTTCCAGATTAAAGGGAAATATTTCATCATGAAAAAAGGGTCAATTGATCAAGAATACTTACAATATTCAATGTATGAGCACCTAACAACAAAGTTTGAACATACACAAAGAAAAAACTGGCAGAACTGAAAGAAAAAACACACAAATACAAAAGTATAGTTTGAGATTTTTAATAACCCCCTCTCAGTAGTTGATAGAACAAAATTTAAAACAAGAAAGTAAAAACTATCTTCTGATTTTTGTAGTCCCTCCCCAACCAAACTCCCAATACTATGCCAGTCATCAATTCCAAGCTAATGTTTGATGAATGAAAAAAATCCTCAAAATAAGCTTTGTTTTCCATTAAAGAGAAAACAACCCCTAAAAATAAAAAATAAACTTCTACTAGCAAGATGGATAAAGAAAGAAAAAGCAAAAACACAAAAATAAATATTAATAATAAAAGAAGGGACATCATTATAAGTCTTATAGACATTAAAAAATAAAAAGGGGATATTATGAACCACTTATGCCAACAAATTAAAAAGTTTAGTTGAAATGGATAATTCCTTTGAAAACATGAATAACTCAAATTGACACTAGAAGAAATAGAAAATTTCAACAATTCTATGTTAAGCCTAAATAAATTGGATTTATAACTTAAAATCTTCTGACAAAGTGGACTCTGGGCCTAGATAGATTAAATAATGAATTCTATCAAACATTTAAAAAGGAAATAATACCAATCTTAAGCAAAATCTTTCAGAAAATAGAGGGGGAAGAAATACTTCCCAACTCATTTTATGAAGTCACCATTATTCTAATAACAAAACCAGACAAAGACATTAAAAGAAAATTATAGTCTAATTCCTTATGAACATAGCATAGATAAAAAATTCTTAACAAACTATTAGCAACTAGAATCCAGAAATACAATTAAAATGATAATACATCATGACTGAATGGAGTTTATTCCAGGCATGCAAGGTTATTTAACATTTGAAAATCAATCATTGTCATTCATCACATTAATAGAATAAAAAAGAAAAATCCTATGATCATTTACAACAATGCAGAAAAATCATCTGATGAAATTCAGTGCCTTGTTATGATTTTTAAAACTCAGTAAACTAGGAATAAAAGACAACCATCTTAACCTAATAAAGGAATCAATGAGAAACCTGAGCAAATACTGTAAATTAATATTGGAAGACTCAACATTTTCCCATTGATATTGAGATCCAGGCAAGAATGTTTGTTTTTTCTCTTCTATTCAACATTAATATTGGTGTCCCACCAGTAAAATAAGACCAAAAAAAAAAAAAAATCTTACAGATTAGAAAAACAGAAGTTAAACTTTTTTTATTCACATAGTACACAATTTTCTTTTCTTTTCTTTTTTCTTTTCTTCTTTTAGTTAATAGAGATGAGGTCTTGCTGTGTTGCCCAGGTTGGTCTCAAACTCATGGCCTCAAGCAGTCCTCCCACCTCAGCCTACCAAAGAGCTAAGATTACAAGCATGAGCCACCATGCCCAGCCATGTACATAATTTTCTATCTAGAAAATACAAGTCTACCCTGAATGGCTACTACATTAATAAGTGAATTTAGTAAGGTTGTAGAATACAAAGTCAACATAAAAAATAAATTGTATTTCTGTATACAAGCAACAAATAAGTGAGACATTAAAATGTAAAACATCATTTACAATAGCATCAGAAATAGATAATATTTTGGAATTAATTTAACTAAGCATGTATAGGACCTATGCTAAAAACTACAAAAAAACTACTGAAAGAAATTAAAGACATTTAAAAAATGGAGACACATAACTGTTTGTGAATTGGAAAACTCAATATTGTTATGCTGTCCATTCTCATCACATTGATATATAGATTATATGCAACCCCAATCAAAATCCCAGCAGGCATTTTTTCTTTAAGCAATTGTAATACTGAACCTAAAATTTGTAAGAAATTAAAATAGCCTATGTTAGCCAAAACAATTTTGAAAAAGAAGTTCAAAACTGAAGGACTTAATTTGATTTCAAGACTTACTTTAAAGCTACAGTAATCAAGAAGTATTGCCTCTGGCTGCTTCCTCATTATGATGGTAGAGTTGAGTAGTTGTAACAGGAACCATATGGCCCAGAAGGCCTAAAATCCTATCTGGCCTTTCACAGAAAGAGTTTGCTGACCTCTGTGATACATGATGCTCATGTGTAAGACACTCCTATCTATAATTCCTGGCCTACCTGGTATTATTCCACCACTTTCTCTGTTACTCATTATAGCATATTAAAGTGCAGATGAGGGAAAATAATTTTAGAAATAATATTTAATCCCTTCTAATTTATTTAAAATCAAAATTGTTCATAGATTTTGGCACTTTATGGTTAATAATATGTTATTTGCAATATCCCTTACAACTGTATACAAAGCCATAGTGGAAAACCAGTCCTACCAGGATGAAGATAATTACACATTAAATTTGTATTCTATGTAAATATGTATATGAGGCATTATAAGCATTATTTGACCCATTTTTTAAATGAGGAGGCTGACTGGCAAATGCATCTATTAGAGCCTGCAGAAAGTGAGGAAGGCATGGTTAGGAAAAACAGACCAATTGGACAGTGGAATTAATAGGTTCAAATTGGTGATAGATTGGACATAGGTAATGAAGACAAGAAAGTATTGGAAAAGTAATTTTGAGAGTTGTTGTGAATCTGGGTTTTTAGACAGGGTTGCCATTGACCTGGTAGGAAAATTGTGAAAAAACATTTATTTCGCCACTGAGAGCAGGTTGATTATGAGTTCCATTTCTAATTGCTTAAAGTGGTGCTTTCCAAATTAATGGATTTACAAAGTACCTGGTCATCTTGTTAGAATGCAGATTCTGATTCAGTAGTTTTGTGACAAGGCCCAAGATTCTGCATTTCCAATAAGCTTCCAGGTGATTCTGATGTGACTGGTTCAGGAACCACACTTTTTTAGAAAGGCATTAAATGTGACTAAAGGAAATCCAAGTGTAGATTTCTTCTGGAAGGTAAGAGGAGGGTCCTGACAGGGAATACTGTTTATGCAGTTGGAAAGAACCTATTTGTCTTCTCTAGAGGCAAGATACATAACTAAGGGCCTGTAATCTTGAGGAGATTCTCAGTGCAGAGAAGAGAAGGATCCAGAACAATCAAGGAGACAGAATAAGAGCTATCAGAAAACTAGAAGAACCAGGAGCATTTAGCATCATTAAGGAATCCTATGGAATATTGAATTTCAAGGAGTCAATCAATGAATTCCAACATGCAACTCATTCATCACACAATCTTTCCTGGCCCCCTTTCTTTGCCTCCTTTGGTCTTTTTTCCAGCGCTCTCTAGAATGTAGTAGATGCTTACTGGACTGTCTGTCCAAAGCTTCCCCACTCCTTTTTTTTTTTTTAGGAAAGCCTCCCATCATCAATATGACTACCATAAGAGCTGCCATGTTTTTATGTGACTCTCTGTCCTCTTCCTACAGTTGATTGGTCCAGGCATGGACACCTGATCCCAGCTCAACCAATCATAAATTTCTTCTCTGGGATTATTCAAACTAGGATTCTACAGAGACAAAAGTTGTCAGGTGCAAAACAGTCTTTATAATAGGAAAAGTCGTTTGGCACAAAATCTACTAGTCCTAATATGCAGCCATGTTAGGAGCCAATAGAGAGAAAAAGTAAAGACAGGTGATGGAAGACAGTCCTAGAAGTGTTCCAGTTTTTGTTCCAACTGTTCCCAAGCCCAATTACTTTCGTTCCTTTCCCATGATTTGGTTATTCAATGTTCCCTTCAGTGACCCAGAAAACTCCCCCTGTTGCCTAAGTGAGTTTGAGTCACTTGCAACAGAATCCTGACTAATACATGGCAAACTTTATCCCCACTCATTTTGTCTTATACACCATCTTCCTTTGGGCCCCTGCACCCTGTTGACTGCAGCTTTCCCAGGTTTTTCCTCAGAATGACACCAGGCCAAAACCAGCTGCTGGGCAAGGACCATAAACCCCACTGTCGGTCTTGGTGGATGTTAATGTGTCACTGAACACCAATGTACCAAATCGATGTATTCATGGCAACAGCCGAAAAGAGCCCACAAAAGTCTAATCTTTGGCACACTGGGGGCTTCACTGGCAGATTGTTAAGACCCTGGGGGCAAAACTTAATTTGCATAAGTATTTGCAATGCACAATTTCCTTTTTATTCATTTACACTAAATTAAATTCATTTTGGAATCCCCAAAGTTATTGCTGTTGACTTCTCTCCCCTTACTTTATGTTCTAGGTATATTTCCCCAAAACTGAAAGCCATTTTCATCTCTTGTTTTCTGGATGCCTCAGATCCCAAGTGAGGTTTTATCCCTCCACAGTTCTTTAAGATTAGCAAATTAAATTAACTCCTTAACTGCTGGGAAATTTAAAAAACAAAAAAACTGCTGTTTTGCAAAAATGCAAATATTATTAGAACGCCCTACTCTCTTCCCTACCCCCAACACACACACACACACACACACACACACACACACACACACACACTGGCACGCACACAGGCCTGGCTGCGCTCGAGAAGCCCACTTCCACCACCCCTTCTGCAGACAGAAATGCTGGCATTCGTAAGCTGTCACACTGAGGAAGACAGCAGCTGTGTTATTCCATGATTTATAGAACAGATTTGCATTTCCTTGCCTTTGAAGCTTGCCTATAATCTGACACATAAATATTTGAAAGACAGGATGGTGGAAACAGACCTAAGCAGCTTAATCGAACACTCGGCAGGTAGAGGACTTGGGCTGGTGTTCATTTCAAACACCCCCTTGCCCTGAGGCCTCTTGGTGTGTGTGTACAAAATTGAAATTCGGTGTTCAAACCCAAACCTACAGTCACAATTCCACTTGAAGGAAAAGTCAGAAGAATGCCCCTCTGAAAGCAGGTTTTGTTTCGTCTGGTCTCCTGAGGCAAAAGCCCAGTAGTCTTCCTTAAATTCTGCTCCAGGAAGCAGGAAGCAGGGAGTATAAGTGTCTCAACCACTCCAGAAGCCCCAAGTGTGCTCATGCAGGGACAGGAGCTCTGCCCTGCCTCACAGAGGCCCTGAGGCCACAGAGAGGCACTTTCACCAGTGAGGAGGCACATTCCTGTCCTGGAGACCAGTCATAGCTCTGGCTGCCCCAGAGAACCAGGATTCCCTGGAAGGGGATCAGGCAAGCCTTCGATTTTCCATGCATCCACCTTCATGCAGCTTTTCCCAAAATATCGTACGGAGAACACTTTTTGAAGTTCATGTTAAATGGCCACAGTCACACTGCTTTTTTTTTTTTTTTTTTGAGACAGAGTCTCGCTCTGTCACCCAGGCTGGAGTGCAGTGGGGCGATCTCAGCTCACTGCAAGCTCCGCCTCCCGGGTTCATGCCATTCTCCTGCCTCAGCCTCCTGAGTAGCTGGGACTACAGGCACCTGCTACCACGCCCAGCTAATTTTTTGTATTTTTTTTTTTTAGTAGAGACAGGGTTTCACCGTGTTAGCAAGGATGGTTTCGATCTCCTGACTTCGTGATCCGCCCCGCTCAGCCTCCCAAAATGCTGGGATTACAAGCATGAGCCACCACACCCGGCCAACAGTCACAGTGCTTTTTTAGCCCATTATAAGCTGTAAGTCCTGCAGGAAAAATAACAGTCTAAGTTGATTTAATCTGATTATTTAAATGAAAAATACGCACTTTCATTTTCACAGTAGTTCTATTAATATACTATTGGAGAATTAAAAAAAAGAAAATTGGCCAGGCATGGTGGCTCATGCCTGTAATCCCAGCACTTTGGGAGGCTGAAGTGGGCAGATCACCTGAGGTCGGAAGTTTGAAACCAGCCTGACCAACATGGAGAAACCCATCTCTACTAAGAATACAAAATTAGCTGGGCGTGGTGGCAGGCACCTGTAATCCCAGCTACTCGGGAGGCTGAGGCAGTAGAATTGCTTGAACCCGGGAGGCAGAGGTTGTGGTGAGCCGAGATTGCGCCATCGCCCTCCAGTCTGGGCAAAAGGAGCAAAACTCCATCTCACAAAAAAAAAGGAAAATTATGCCCTAGTCTGATTCAATAAATATGTGTTGATCCCGCATATGTGCTCAAGGAGGCTAGCCACAAAGGTGTCTTCACACTCAAGACAGCCCAAGAATGCCACTCATGGCCTAGGTGTCTTATCAGAAGTTCTACAAGGTAGAGGGTGGGCAGGGGAACAGAAAGAAGAGGCTCTTGAATGTAAAGGACCTTTTATAAAATTCAAAAGGGACAAGGGCAGAAGGCACATTGAATGGAGACCCAGACTGAAAGTCAGGAAACAGGGTCAGTCTAGCTCTGCCATGAGGTGCATGTTCTTGGTCCAACCACTTCACCTCTCTGGGCCTCTGTTTTCTCATCTGCAAAATGAAGCAGTTGACCTAATAGCCTCCAAAGTTTCTTTCATGCTGATATTCTATAGCAGGCTGGGGCTAAATTTAGATTTAGATTTGTCCAAATGATGGAATGACCTCTTTTCCCATCACTTCCCAGATGTCTACCTGGATTCTGGAGCTCCAGGAAAGAACCCCCCTGTGTTCACAATGGCGGTCCCTGGTGCCTGCAGAACTTAGGACAGGGAATTGGGGAGGTGGGGTGGTTAGGGACAAAACCCAAATATGGACTCCTTAAGAGAAATTTCAACCTTAAAAAGAAAGGAATCTGTCCCAGGCAGCAGCACAGTTGCAATTCAGAGGAAGCTGCGGTTCCGAGTGTAGGGTGGTGGACTCTACTGTAATCAGCCCACCCTAATCAGCCACCCTGAAGTCAAGCAGACATCTGGGGTGTCTCACCAATCTCCCAGCCCCTAGAATGCCAAACAACCCTGCTCTGAGGCCCTGTAATATTATCACATGGGGGTCAGGGAGCTACTCTCCTTCAATACTTCCAAGCAAACTGCCTAGAGCCAAAAGTCCAGGAAGACTAAGCACTTTGCAGATTTGAGTGAGAAATCCCCAGGGACTTCCATAGAAACTGGGAGTCTCAGAAATACCTACCAGGTTGGTTTCCTGAGGCAGTGAGCCAGGGAAGGAGGACTGATGGTGATGTTGCCTCATTTGGATACTCCATGAGCCTACGCAAGTTTCACAAAAGCTTCAAAGGAAAACAAAATATCAAATGAATCCAGTAACAACATTCTGGGGAAAAGGCTACCTGGAAGAGGGACAAAAAGGGATGAGTTTCCAGAGGAAGCCTAGGGAGGATGCCTGATGTCACTGCTGACAGAGGAAGCAGGAGGACTCAGCGCTCTCTGGACTGACCAGGCTGTGATGGGTGTGGCAGGCCAGAACTGGACAGGATCATTAAAACCCTCGGAGAGGTTTTCACTGCAAGAAAGAAGAGCTACCAGGCCTGGAGGGGAATAAGATTGGGGACCCAGGCTGCCAGTGAACTTATGCCCACCCAGAAACTCAGCCGCAGAAAAGTGGTAGGGATTATTACACCAAACTGAGAATTACAGTCTCTGCCTCCTCAGCCCCTGGCAGAGCTGCCACACATGGCAGCAGCACTGTCCTGCCTCCAGGTGAAATAGGAGCCACTGGGATCACCCACCACGCTGCAGGAGCTATGAGGCGTACAGGAGCATGGGGAAGGGATATCAACACACATAAACAAAGTAGTTCCATCCTTGCCTTATGTCTGTCTTTTTTATACCTCCGTAGATGTGGCCAACAAAATTGCTCCATAAATTGGACACTGCCCAAAGAAGTCTTTAACGCCATTCCTGGGTTCTTTGTCAAAACCATGGTGGCTTTTCCTGTCTTCACAGAGCTAAGCCCATTGTTTTGTGGTCCCTGCAGCTGTACCTCTGACCTGGGTGGAGCTGCATGTCTAGGCAGGAGAGGCTTGGGAAGCTAGAGTTGTTGCTGGTGATCTGTTTTCAGCTTGGGGCAGGAGCCAGGCTGGGTGCCAGAAGCAACTTTTGATTAGTCATTAGGCACAGACTTTGCTTCAGCCACACAGCCACCTCATTCCTGCCTCAGGGCCTTTGCACTTGCTGTTGGCTCTGCTTGGAGTCCTCTCTCTTGATCTGCACTGGACTTGTTGCTCCCTACTTCATCAAATGTTACCTTCTCAGAGGACCTTCCATGTCCGCCTCCAGTGCAGGCCCTGTTCACACTCTGTCCACTGCTCTGCTGATTTCCTTATGATAGTTACGGCACTCTACAAGGATCTTGTTTATTTGTTTACATGGCCACCGTCTCTTTCCCTACGGGAACGTCTGGAACCTTAGCTCCACCAGGGTCATCTGAAGGCTCCCAGGGTGACCCACACAGACCAGACCCCAGCCTGCACCCCAGGAGGCTCCTGCTCCCCACATACACAGAGCTCACCTCAGCCTTACCTCGCAGATGAGGAAGACTTTGGTGCCCACACAAATGCCCATGTGTGCCACGGCCCAGACAGCAGTGTTCATGCCTGCGAGAGGTCAGGGCAAGCCTATCAGTCCCATGCTGAGATGCGAGGCCCTGGACGCCTCCCCACCTCAGAGGGTGAAGGGGGGAGGCCTGGACACCCTCTCCATCTCAAAGGGCAGGGGGTGAGGGGAAGGTCTGGCAGGGGAGGGATCTTGTCTCTCATGTTCACTACTGTCCACAACCTCCAGCACAATGCTGGGTATATGATAGATAATATCTGTTGAATGAATAAATGAATAAATGCACACAGCAGCAAGCTGTGTGGCTGCTTATCCAATATAACTGTATCCCTGCGCTTCTCCCTTCCTAACATAACTTCAGTCTGCTTGGCAACATGTCCTATTCATGACCACGTGTTTGCCCTAAGCTGTTCATAGTATTCCCTCTTTCCCTGTGCTAATAACTGATTTTTCAAAAGGACCCATGACTTAGTTCTGACCAAAACCATGAGCAGAAGTCTACTAGGTAGGGCCGGGGGTTCTAAAAGAGGTTTTCCCCTTTGTAAAAAGAGAAGCAGGCACTGTCATATTATCTGGATTAGATCTGCTTAGTACAGCTGTGCCTCACTTCTCACTCTGAGGAGAGTTACCGTGAGGAAAAGTGCAACCCGATGAAGATAGCTAGGGTGCGAGCTGGAAGAAACTGGGTCTTCTATGACATTACTGAAGAACTAAATTAACCATCTCTGGAGCTTGCATACCTCTGGATTTCTTGTTATGGAGCATAATAAATTTTCCTATTATTAAGCCATTGTGAGTTGCATCTTTTGTTACTTACAGCCAAAGGCATTTGAACGATAGAGACTATGGCATACACTGTCCCTTAGTCCTGGTGGCTGCCACTGGCCTGTAGAATAGAGCCACGGCTTTTATCCACCAGATATACTGTAGGTAAACATGAATTAATGAATTAGTTTTTTCTTTACTTCATTCATACACCCAACAAACTTCATTGAAAACTTATGTGTGCGGGCACTGCACTAGGAGGAGAGATCAGAAAGGCAAGCTGCCAACCCCGAAGAAGCTCAGAGTCCAGTGGGAGGAAGACTTATCAACAGAGAATGACAATCTAGCATGGACACATTACAACAGAGGCATGCAGAGGTGCCACAGCAGCGGCGAAGAGCAGCAGGGACATGGCTTGAAAGAGGACAGGCAGGAGGGTAGCTAAGTTGGTTTCACAAGAGGTTGTGTCTGAGCTGAGTCTTGAATGAAAAGCAGGAGACGCCCAGGAGGACCAGCTAGCCAAGAGTCTCTCAGGCAGCAGGAACAACAATATCCCACATCGCAGAGTAGGCAAGACCACTTTTTACAATGGGCCAGGCACTGTGCTAAGTGATTACACAGACACTGCGCCCTCAGATCCTTAACAATATGCACACAAGGTAAATATGGTTATCCCATTTTATAATATGGAAACGGAGGCTTCAAAGGGTCAAGGAACTTGTCCAAGGTCACATAGCCAGAAAGTGGCAGAGCCAGGCTTTGAACCTAGATCATTCAGAGCCCACATTCTGTTTACCACCCTAGCACTCCTCCTACACTAGTGGACCCTGTTAGGGAGGTGCAGTCTGTAGAGCAACCCAGTGTCCTGCCCATAAAAGAAAGCACACCTCCGTAGGCAGGTGAGAGAAGAGACTGAGCACACAGGTAGGAAAAGGTGTACTCTGAGAGGGCTAGTGTTTAGGTGGGTGGGCAATGGAGAGAGCAGGCAGAAAAGAGAGAATGTGGGTGGTCTGAAAACACCCGTTTCTCTTCTGTTCTGTTTATTTTAACTTGAATGGCTTTACTCAGTGTCACCATCTTCTAACCTTTCTCCTTCAAATCACTCTTACAGTTAAATTAGCCTGAAAATTTACCAGCCCACAAATTTTTGTTAACCAGCCTGCCACAAATATTATACAGATAGCAGAATAAATAAAATTCATTGGTAGTTGCTACTAGCCTCCCTGAAATGGTAACTGGCCCCGGGCCCACAGGGACTCAGCTTTGAGAAGACTGCCTTAAATAATGAACAGGCAGATGAAACAAACAGTCAGTCTCTGGGCACTGCATGGCACTGCAAGTTGGCACCCCAGGTCCTGCAGACACCCTCGGTTTGCAGGCTGTCTTTTTCATGAAACAAAGGGGGTATCACAGACACCCATCATCACCATAAAATAATGGCACCAGCTAATTTCCTGAGGCTTCAAGCTCAGCAGGGAAGGATATAATATTGCAAGCCAGCAGAAGCCAAGCAAGTGGTGATACAGTAGTTCTGTTTTACATTACATTAAATGTTACTATTTCTGAAGGGAATATCTGCGGAGCACTGGTGTAACCCATAGCAACCAGCTAATAAATTGTAACTTACACTGGCTCAGCTTATTGTAGGGGTGGAGAACAGCAAGAAAAAAACGACTAAAAAAAAAGGCAAATGCTGGCAAAAATGCCACATTTTTTTCCCTCTTACTACCTCCTCTACACACACACACAAACATGCATACACACACACACACATACACACACACACACCACAAATACAGGCTGCATCAGCATTCTCTAGCAAAATTACTTAAGGTGAAGTGGGACAATTAGCAGTCAGGATTTTAGAATTCTTGACCTTCTTGTTGATCTATACATACAATGTCTCTTTTAAAGCTCAGAAGTTGTACTTTAAGTGTTGCCAGCACTGGGCCCTGCCCTCCACCAGCGTGACCCTTGGCATCATTTTGCAGCCTGTATTGAGGATGACAGTCCTCTGCATCCAGCCTGCACGTGGAACTAAGCCTAAGCCATTTAGTTCACTGTTTTTCCTTCTGTCTACAAATAGCTCATGCCTAATTGCCCCCCTACTTCAAATTCACAGCAGGGTGGTGAGCCTGGCTCTCTGCTACATTGAGCCTACTCTTTGACCTCAACCATGATAGATTCCTTCCATCCATTAATTCTTGTTCCCTGAGCCATTCAGTCTTTTACACATTCAATCAGTCTCTCTGAAGTGTGGGCATTGGATGTGTATTTACAGGGAATTATTCATGGGGCACTTTGTGGCCTTCAGACAGTATGTTCATCTATTTGGGTTGATTGCACATGCACACCTACTATCTGTCCATGTGAATAGTGCTAAACTTAATGAAAGTGCCCTGTATCCTGAAATGCACACCACTTAGCCACCAAGGGGGAAGTGACCAGCACTCAGAGCACCTGAGTAAGCGTTACTGGGCATCTTCCTTCTGTTTAGCCATCTCTGAACTGTGTACAGAAGAGGAGAGCCAGGGAGTCCATCAAGACTTAGACAACAGGGGCTCTTCCTGTCTCTTCCCCGAGGACACAAGTGAGGGACTTAGAATCAAGCACCCATGATCAAGAACCATCTCGGGCATTTGCTAGCTGAGTGTCATTTGGCAAAATCATTTTACTTCTGGGGACTTTGTTTCCTCATCTGCAATGTGAGAACATTGAGAGTATCAGTTAGGATGCACTTGGCTGCAGGAAACAGAAAACCCAACTCACAGTGCTTTAAAAAGGAGAGAAATAGAGTTTCTCATGTGACAGTGGATAGGGCAGGCTGGAGCCTCAGTTTCTATTTCTCTATGCTTCTCTTTTCAGCTGGTTCCTTTCATCCCCATGTTCTCTACCCCAGAGCTTGTCTTACCACTGCAGTGACACTGTTTGGGAAGAGATTGCCTGTTGGTCTCTCCACCTAGATCTGATCCCTTCATTCATTTATGAAAGCCCTGGCTTCTGGACCAGTGGCTGGCATGTGGTCTGGATGAAAGGATGGGTGAATGAACAAGTGAATGATTCTAAGCAGTCTTACTTCTTGGACAATGAAAAGGAAATTTGGGGAAAATCAAAAGCTGCAACATGTGCAAAAATGCTCTATAAACTGTAAAATGCTACTAGACATTAGGAAATGTTATGATTATTAACGATTACAATCATGAATCTTCATGCTATGAGAGCAGCCTCTTGGATGCTCCTGTCAGCCATAAGCACACCATACTGGCAGTGGGGTTTTTGATGAGACAATGGAAGAAAGATGGTTTTTCCAGGAAAAATAGATGACTTTTGCCCCTAAAAACAGTTTTAACATCCACAGTGTGACTATTAATTACAAAGGTCAAAAGGTATCTTTACAATGGAGAGATCTGATGGATATCTCCTTAACCAAATAACTGAGCATCATAAACATGAAGGGCCTCCTGATATGTGCAGCAGGAAGCACACAGTAACGCCTGCAGAGTGTTCTTGCCTCAAGCATTTAGCCTAAATATCATCACGAGGAAACCATCAGCAAAATCTAGATTGTGTGATGTTCAACAAGACAACCAGTGAGCTCTAATAATGCCAGTGTTGTTTGGGCGTGGTGGCTCATGCCTGTAATCCTAGCACTTTGGGAGGCTGAGGCAGGAGGATTGCTTGAGCTCAGGAGTTCAAGACCAGCCTGGGCAACATAATGAGACCCTGTCTCTAGAGAAAACAAAGAAATTAGCTGGGCATGGTGGTGTGGGCCTGCGGTCCCAGCTATTCGGGAAGCTGAGGTGGGAGAACTGCTTGAGTCCAGGAGGTCAAGGCTGCAGCGCACTCCAGCCTGAGCAACAGGGTCTCAAAATAAAAAAAAAAATTAAATTAAAGTACATGCCAGTATCCTTAACACAAAATAAATAGTAAATAGAGGCAGGAAGATTCTTTTAGGTTGAGGGAAACTAAGAAGATATAACAATCAATTTTCAATGAGTAAAGTTGAGTGGATCCTGGATTATTAAAATGCTATAAAACAGATATTTTGAGATAGCTGGACTATATATCAAAGAATGCTATTGCATTAATGCTAAATTATTTTAGCGTGATAATATTTTAGAAGTGTGTTATTTTTATTTATTTATTTATTTTGAGACAGAGTCTCAATCTGTCGCCCAGGCTGGAGTGCAGTGGCGTGATCTCAGCTCACTTCAACCTACGCCTCCCAGGCTCAAGTGATTCTCCTGCCTTAGCCTCCTGAGTAGCTGGGATTACAGGCACGCGCCACCACGCCCGGCTAATTTTTGTATTTTTAGTAGGGATGGGGTTTCACCATGTTGCCCAGGCTGTTCTCGAACTCTTGACCTCAAATGATCCACCCGCCACAGCCTCCCAAAGTGCTGGGATTACAGGCGCGAGCCACCAAGCCTGGCCTTGTTTTGCTTTTTGAGACAGAGTCTTGCTCTGTCTCCCAGGCTGGAGTGCAGTGGCGTGACCTTGGCTCACTGCAACCTCCACCTCCTGGGTTCAAGCGATTCTCCTGCCTCAGCCTCCTGAGTAGCTGGGATTACAGGCACCCATTACAACGATCAGCTAGTAATTTTTGTATTTTTTGTAGAGACGGGGTTCTACCATGTTGGCCAGGCTGGTCTTGAACTCCTGATCTCAAGTGATCCATCTGCCTCAGCCTCCCAAAGTCCTGGGATTACAGGTATGAGCCACCGTGCCCAGCCTGCATTTGTTTTTCGACTTCTACCTAGGCCAAACTGGGGAGCCTAGGATAACATATCAGAGTACACATATTTGTCAGGATTGCATCATTCTTTCAAAAACATTAACTGGTCCCCTGCTGTGTGTTCCTACTGTGTCTCCTCCCTCTCCCCCTTTCCTTCTCCCTCCCAGTCTTCTTTTCTCTCTTCACTGTCTTCCCACCAGTGATCTCAAAGGCCCCCGCATTTAAATGACTGTTGTCCCTGCCCTCCAGCCCTGCATATCCTAGATAAGACATCCTTTGAGCAGAAAGAAGGAGAAGAAATGCCGGTTATTTCTTCCCTATCATGTGAACATCACATACACACACACACACACACACACACACACACACACACACACACCTGAGGCTTGGACAAAAAAGGACAGATTAAAGTTAAGCCTTAGTGAATCAAGTCCACATTAGAGGCAGTATTTGGGACAGGGTCCCAAGGGGCTCTGAATTATGAAAGGCTGGTTCTGGCCCTGGCTGATAAAATGCAGAGCAGAACAAGCCTGGGATGCTAGGCCATCTGGCAGAGTTTCCAGACAGGGCAGGTCCCTGCTGCTTCCTGTCCCTGGGGCTGGATGTGGCCAGCAGGACCTGCCAGCCATTGGCAAGTGGCCCTTCACCCCCTGGAGTGTCTAGTCCTGACTGTGCTCATCTCCAGATGTGCACACCTCTGTGGTATTTGGCCATCTTGTGAATTCATTCCTCAAGCATTTATTCCTCTAATATGATCCTTGTTCCCCAAGCAGGGCCAGACTTCTCCACAGGCAGAATGGGGAGGGGATTATGGTGATAAGGAAGACTTTTTGGACCCCACCCTACTGCACGCTGCCTAAAGTTTAGAACGGGCATGTCTTAGGCACACAACACTTTTAGGGGTCCAGAAAAAGGTTTTACTTGTTTTAATGTCAGAAGAAAAATAATAAACTTTTGGAGGTCAAAGATTATAGTCTTCCTTATACCAATGTAGTCATAAACTAGAATCTTTAGTATTTTTTATGGAGAAAGTCCTGCTCACTCCTGGTACTCCCCAGGACACAGTGCCTAGGGCCGAGGAAGATCATGTGACCCTGGGGACAGGTTGTTGGTTCTGCTTCCCCAAACCCAGAGTGGCTAGAACCTCAGCCCCAGGGAAAAAATGAAGACCAGATGCCTAAGGACCTCTGCCCATGTCCCTTTACTCTGCTCGTGGCAACTTCTCCAGCTTCTCTCCCTGAAACAAGACAAATAAAGACAATGTAATGAGTTCTTCACAAAACTAAATTCATACCAATTGAAGGACACTTCATTTTTGCCTGATATTATGTCCATTTTATTTATTTTTTTCTTTTTGGTTTGAAAATGTCCTTTCTTCTATAAAATTATAATGATGGTGGATGATATTCTCAATAAACATTATTTCACAAATGTAACAGTTGATAACCTTCTCTTAGTCCTGGCAACCCCGACCGCCAATTCCACAGACAATTTGCTGCTCTACGAAACCCCACACTCTGAGAAGCACTGGCTTAGATACTTTGAGTCTATCTTCCAGGCTTACCGCTAACAGTTGTGGAAACCTAGCATGTTGGGAGGCCGACCCAGGAGGATTGCTTGAGCCCGGGAGTTTTGAGGTTACAGTGAGCTATGATCGCACTACTGCACTCTAGCCTGAGTAACAGAGTGAGACACTGCCTCTCAGAAAAAAAACTTACCTCTTATGACATCCTCTCTGAAGCCCTCTCTAACCCCAGAGCTCTGGAGGGCCCTGCATCACTTCCACCTTAATACTCACTTTCTGTTTGCTCGTTAGCATTTCTTGGCTGTCTCCCCTCCTAGACATCTCTGGAAGACAGGACTGTACCTTACTTCTTCGTGTCGCCTCTCCTTAGCATGGTGCCTGCCACACAGTAGCTGCTCAATCAATCTTTGTTGAATGAATAAATATACTAATTCCCAGAAAAATTAAGTTAATGGATAGAGTATCTTCAGCTTTTAGTTTTCTCTCTCTAAATTTTTATTAAATCTTTGGCACCTGTTATTCCTTGTCCACTGGCCAGTGCTAGCAGATGACAGAATTAGCAAGTAACAAATGAATATTAATGGACACAGACATAGCCAACAGTGCTTAGTTTGACAGTTTTTTTCTATGGACAGGTGTTTGGGCTTACGGTTGTGGTTTTATATTATGTGTTAGTGTCTGTAAGTTTAATTAAATTTAACTTTTCTTTCCCCCCGAGACAGAGTCTTGCTCTGTTGCCCAGGCTGGAGTGCAGTGGCACAGTCTCGGCTCACTGCAACCTCTGCCTCCTGGGTTCAAGCAATTCTCCTGCCTCAGCCTCCCAACTGGCTGGGATTATAGGCATGTGCCACCAAGCCTGGCTAATTTTTGTATTCTTAGTAGTGACAGGGTTTCACCATGTTGGCCAGGCTGGTCTCAAACTCTTGACCTCATGATCTGCCAGCCTCGGCCTCCCAGAGTGCTGGGATTACAGGCGTGAGCCACCATGCCTGGCCCAAATTTAACATTTTTAAGCAATTTAAGCACAAAGTAGCTAAATATGTAATTTTGTGCTAATTCATAGGCAGTATTTTGGATTTAAATACATCAGTATTTCACGATGTTCTGCAAAGGGTACCATCACTGATTGGAGGAGTCCCACTGTATGAAAATGTTGAAGGTCTGAGTGTGGTGGTTCAGGCCTGTAATCTCAGCACTTAGGGAGGCCCAGGTGGGAGGATTGCTGGAGCACAGGAGTTCGAGACCAGCCTGGGCAATATAGCAAGACCTTGTCTCAACCAAAAAAATAAATTAAAAGAAAATTAGCCAAGTATGGTGGAATGCATCTGTAATCCCAGATACTCCTGAGGCTGAGGTGGGAGGATCGCCTGAGCTGAGATTGAGGCTGCAGTGAGTTATGATTTGCACCACTGCACTCCAGCATGGGCAGCAGAGCAAGACCATGTCTCCAAAAAAAAAAAAAAAAAAAGTGTTGGAGACCAGAGAAATAGAACTACTGTCCTCGTGCAAATTTGGACTCTGGGGGAAGATTTAAATTGGAATGAGGGCTCTCTGAAGTTCCAGGGAGCCTAAATGAAGTGGGTGGGACACAGAGAAAAGGGCTGAAGAGGCTTGCCTGAGGCCAAGGCAGATTCTCTGTCTTGATGCTGCCTCTCATTCCTTGGGTCTAAGAATGTAATTCTCTCGTGTTTATTCTTGCTGAGGCTTCAGATGTGTTCATATTAAACATCTGCATATACTGAGGGTGTGGTAAATGACTAAAATGATTAGTTATTGTTGGATAAAAAAGAAATGCCTTCAGTCCCCCTGCTAAAGATGACTTTTCCCAGACTCAGCTCTGGCCATGTTACTTTCCTATTAAAATAAATAAATAAATAAATCTCTAGGGGCTGCCATTTCCAACCTAAGCAAACCTACATTTCTTGGCCTACCATTTAAGGCCTCTCAAATCCTGACCCAATGTAACTTTCCAACATTATTTTCATTACCCCCCTCCGCACTCTGTAAGTCAGCCAAACCAATCTTACCACGAAGTTTTCCAGACCAGTCCACTTTCTTGCCTGTATGTTTATTATTATTGTTCCTTATTTATTTATTTTCTTTCTTTTTTTTTTTTTTTTCTGGAGACAGAGTCTCACTTTGTCACCTAGGCTGGAGTGCCGTGGCATGATCTCAGCTCACTGCAACCTCCACCTCCCGGATTCAAGTGATTCTCGTGCCTCAGCCTCCTTAGTAGCTGAGATTACAGGCGTGCACCACCACATCTGGCTAATTTTTGTATTTTTAGTAGAGACGGGGTTTCACCATGTTGTCCAGGCTGGTCTCGAACTCCAGGCCTCAAGTGATTCACCTGTCTCAGCCTCCCAAAATGCTGGGATTACAGGCATGAGCCACCTTGCCAGGCCTACTGTTCCCTATTTTCTAGTCCTTACTTCCTTGATCGACACTACCCCAGTTTCTCCAAATGGATGTTATCACTATCTTCTTTGACTTCCTATATCTCTTTCAAGGCACTAAACATATTCTGCTTTCTAAAATAGTAATTTTGATATTTTTATTATCCCCAGTTTACAATGCACACACATATATATTTGTCATAAGATATTCATGGTGAGGAAGTTTTATTCTTCTGTGTCTAATACTGTGCCTGGTACATTGTTCCCATTGTGTCTATATTGCACTGAATTGAATTTGTGTTCTCAATGGTCCCAAGCTGAATTCTGCATCCATTTTGCTGATGATCTATGCATCACATTTATTCCCACTGTAAATCACAGATGAACCAACAAAAAAAGGCATAGTCAATAAGGAAAATATATAACAATATTTCTTTTTTTTTTTTTTTTTTTTTTTTTGAGATAGAGTCTTGCTCTGTCGCCCAGGCCAGAGTGCAGTGGCGCAATCTCGGCTCACTGCAAGCTCCGCCTCCAGGGTTCACGCCATTCTCCTGCCTCAGCCTCTCCGAGTAGCTGGGACTACAGGCGTCCGCCACCACTCCTGGCTAATTTTTTGTATTTTTAGTAGAGACGGGGTTTCACCATGGTCTGGATCTCCTGACCTCGTGATCCGCCTGCCTCGGCCTTCCAAAGTGCTGGGATTACAACCGTGAGCCACCGCGACCGGCCTACAATATTTCACGTATTAAGAAGTCTGCAGGCAGGCAGGCTCCAGGATTGAATTCAGTGGTTCAGGGACTCATTACAGAACTGCCTTCTTCAGCCTGTGGGCCACGCTTAGTCCTGGTAAAACATGGCTGCTGCAGATCCAGTTTCAACACATAGAGCAAAGAAAAGAAACAGAAGAAACATTCCTTCCATGATTCTGTTGTTATCAGAAAGGAAAATCTTTTCTAAGAGACAACCGGCAGATGTCCTGTCACATATTATTGGTCAGAATTGTAACACAGGTTTGTACCTAAAAGAATTGCTGGCCAAGAAAATAAAACTATCTTGATTGGCTCACACTAACCAAGATTAACAGCCTTGGTCAGGGAAAAGACTCAGATTCCCCTAAGCACATGACCACCACATGAACAAAAGAGAAAGTAAGAAATGGCTTTGTTTAGGCATAATAGTGCCAGCCAAGATCTCATGACATTACAGGCTATATCAAGCCTGGGCCCATCAGAACAGGAGTCTTGAGCTCTTGGATGTAATGAGTAAGTTGGGAGCCCTTGCCTCCTACAGGAAGATAATAACAATGGATACTGTTCATTTCTAGACGAGAATTTCTTATCTTCTTTCTCCTCAACGTTCCAACAACCCTCCCCCATCCTCAAGCTCAGCCAATGACCTTGCTGAGAAAACATAAGCAAAAAAATTTTATATTCTTCTATCTACATGTGCCCACCAACTTATGTCAGTGCCCACATATTCTGCCTTTCCTCTCACATTATATAAGATTCATCCTTGCTCCCAGCTAAAGCCAATGCCTTCAACAGGTCCCATTCCCACTCATCTATTCAAGGATATCATCCAGCAAATCTTTGTTCTGTATTCTTCATCACTTGATTTTCCTCTCTCTACTAGATCTTTCATATCTATAAATAATATGCTCTCAATCTTAAAACCTGTCTCTTAACCACAGATGCTTTTACCACTGTGGACCCATTTCCCCATTTTTCTTTATATGAGAATTCCTTAAAAGGGTTATCTATAGCCCTGGCTTTAATTCTTCTCCTCTCATTCTTTAACTCCTCCTAAGCGGGCTTCCACACTTCGGACTCTAGTAAAATTGTTTCTCTCAATGTAACCAAAGACATGCCTCGACTAAATCCAATGATTAATTCTCAGTCCTCATCTTAGTTGATTAGGTAGCAGTATCCAACACAATTGCTTACTCGTTCCTCCCAGAAACACATTCTGTACTTCGTTTCCAGGACACCAAACATGCCTGGTTTTCCTTCTGTTGCACTGGCTCGTCCTTTTTCACTTTTAGGGATTCCTCTTCCTTTCTAAATGTTATGCTTCCCCAGGGCTCAGTCCTTAAACTTCTCTACCTTTACTCACTTCCTTGCTGTTTTTATCAGTCTCATGACTTTATCATCTATATGCTCATAATTCCTGAACTGTCTTTTCAGCCTGGACATCTTCCCTAGATTCTAGACTCAGGCATCCAACAGCCTACTTGACATCCTAATCTGAATGTGCACAAGGCATCTCAAATTTAACATGATTGTACCAGTTACATATTGCTACATAATTAAACTCTGAAGTTTAGTGGCAATTTAGTCTGAGCTCAGCTAGGTGGCTCTTCTGTTCTTGCCTTGGGTCATTCACGTCACTGAAGTCTTTTGGAGCTTTACTGGATGGTTTAAGATGTCCTTGCTTATGTGTCTAGATATTAGTTGAGGCTATTGACCAGGGCATTTTGGCTGTCCTCCATATGGTTCTTCAGTAGGATTCCTTTTAAGGCCAAGGCAGCATTCTAAGAGGGCAAGCCCCAGTATATAAGGCCCAGTACATGACTCACTGGGGGCTATTAAGGTAATAATCTCTCACAATGTCCAAAACATAATTCATAACATCTACCACCCACTCCATCTCATCCCCACCCCCAAATTTGCTCCACTTACAGTTTTCCTCATCTTAGCAAATAGCCACTCCATCCTTTCCATTGCTCAGGCCAAAAACCTCAGAGACATTTTTGAACTCCTCTCTAATTTTCACACTTCCTGTTAAATCCATCACCAAACTCTGACAGCTCTTCCTTAAAAATTATATCCTGAATCCAACCCCTTATCACTACCTCCTTCTCCACTACCTAGTCCAAGCCACCACCATCTTTCACCTGGCTTATTGCACTGACCTTTAACTGGTTTCCCTACTGACACTCTTGATCCCCATAGCCTATTTGCAGCACAGCAGCCAGAGCAATCCTCTGAAAACATGAATCAGATTCTATCATTCCTCTCCTTAAAACTCCCCAGAGTTTTCAATGGCTAACAAGTTCCTACATGATTGCACTCCGTGCTGCACTTCCCCTCCTGTGCGCACGCACCATTGCCTTTCCTGCCCCACTTCCTACTGCTCTCCCTCCCTCACTGAGCTCCAGCCCACCAACCTCCTAGATATTTCTCAATCTTGCTGGGTGTACTCCTGGCTCAGGGCCTTGCAACTTGCAGTTCCCTCTGCCCAGAATGCTCTTCCCTTCAACATTTGCGTGCTTGGCTCCTTCACCTCCTTTAGGTCTTTAATCAAAAAATCACATTTGCAGGGAGTCTGTGCTGCTCTGTTTAAAACTGCAACCCCTCTTCTCCTAGCACTCCTTTATCCCCTTTCTGGCTTTATTTTCCTCCTTTCACTTTTCATCATCTGATGTGCTATATATTTATTTACTTGTTTATTGTCTGTCTCCCCCTACTAGAATGTTAACTCCATGAGGGCAAGATTTTCTTCTTGTCTCTTTTGTTCACTCAGCACCTGGAATACAGCCTGGCATGTAGTAGGTGTATAATTCACTGAGCATTTACTATGTGCTATATATTTCACCTAGTGTATTATTCCTGTATTCCTCACACTAACCCCAATATCTACAATATGGGGAAAAAGCACTACTATATCTCCTTATATAAAGCAGGTGCTATTATCTTCATTTTGCCAATGAGGAAACCAAGGCTGGCTATGTCACCCAGGCTGGAGTGCAGTGGCATGATCATAGCTCACTGAAGCCTTGACTTCCTGGGCTCAAGCCATCCGACTAGCTAGGATGATAGGCACATGCCACTAACTTTAAATTTTTGGGAAGGATGAGTTCTCACTATGTTGCTGAGACTGGTCTTGAACTCTTGAGCTCAAGGGATTCTCTTGCCTCGGCCTCCCAAAGTGCTAGAATTACAGTCATGAGGCACCACACCCTGCCTGAGCTCTAAACTAGTAAGCTGAACTATCATTTGTCTTTTTTACATTATCTTTTGCCCCAGAGGAAGGGCTGGCAGCTCTGTGGCCTTCTGATCAGCATCTTTGTGTGGTGCGACTTCTGACCGCCTTTCTGTGGTTCCATTGCTGACTTGAGTCAACAGTTATGAAAGAAAAGGAGGAGAAGGAGGAGGAAAAAGAAGGGGAAGAGATAGAGAAGAAAGAACTGGAAGAGAAAGATGGAAGAGGTGGTGGGGTGATGGGGTCAGGAACCATCAGCTGCCTCTCGTTCTATGGTACAGTACTGGACTGCACGGCCAGTACCCAGGGAAGGGGGACTCTGTGTGCCCCCCTCCTTGTCCCCAGCTCACAGTGCTCCTTTCAAATCCCACTATTATGTCTGTCCTTTTATTCTCTCATGCTAAAGACTGGATTCCCAGGCAGAAAACAAGCTTTTTAATAAGCAGCAGTTGCTGAACTTTTGGAAGAAATATAACTCCATCCCAGCTCCACTCCTAGGTGGCTTTGTTCCTTCCCTTCCCCCACAGCTGTCCTCAGGCAAGATTAGGCCCCACTCAGATCTGGAGTGGGGCTCAGAAAGGGCTGCAAACCCCCATCCCTACACAGGCTGAAATGGCTCTGCGGTGGGTGAGGATGAAAGGGAACCACTGACTGTCTGACATCTGGTGGCCAGAAGCAGGCTGGGGGAACCACTGCTGAATCTCACAAGTCGGCCATTGTTGCAATGGAGGCTACTTTGGTTCTGTGGCTGAAGCATACGCACACACATGTTTAAAGAAAAAAAAATGTTTTTAAACAGTCTAGGACCAAGACAGATGGCTGTGGCTGATAGTTTCTGGAGAAAAATAGCAACTCCTGTGTTTGGGTTATCATATGATAGGTCACAAAGAAAAGGGGCTTTGTTCTATGATTGGTTTCTCTAGTCAATTAAATGTTTAATATCGGCCACGAGGTTCCTGCTGTTTAAGTAGAGATACTTCAGATAAATTTCACAGACGTGTGTGGATGCTTAAAGTTCTCTCTTTGTTCTTTCTCTCTTTACTTCTGTTCCTTCCTTCTTTCTACTCCCTTTATTTTCCTCTCTCTTCCCCTTATTCTCCTTTATTTTTTCTTTCTCTTTTCTCTCTCTCTCCTTTGTTCTCTCTTCTCTCCTTTCTCTCTTCCTTCTTTCTTTTTTCCTTTCTTTCCCTTCTGGTCCTCCCTTTATTCCTTCCTTTCCCCAATTTTTCTTCTCTGGTTCATCCTCTCTCTTCCTAGCTGTCTCATTTTTATGTTCCTCTGTATTCCTTCTTCTATAAATAGCATATTATAAGTGAGGGGAAAAGGGGGAAGATGCGGGGGTCATGGACTATAGTAGAAATTACACATGACTATGAAAGATAAGTGTTAACATTCATGTGTGATAATTTGTGCTGTGAACTTAAGGTACATCTGTGGGACCCTAAATACTGTCAGCATCACCCAAGCTAGGAGGAAATGCTGCTTCAGGGTAAGTCCTAAGGGCTGGGCATGGGATTTGTGTATGGCACAAAAGAGGGTAATCAGTAACTAAGGCTCTTGGGTACAAGTAGCTACAAAAATTTTGAACTCTTACTTTTTGTGTGAACCATCCATCTAAAGCAGCTAGAGAGCGAGGCAGATGCCATGGCTAGAGTCACCCAAATGAAAGCTCATGAAATGTCCCCAACACTGGTTGCTATAGCTTTCCTCTAGGGGCTGGAGATCTGCTCTGTGAGATTGAGTGTATAGTCTGGTGTATTTGTTCATTTGACGACTCCTTCATCCATTCCATAAAGCTTTAGTTGAGGCTAGGTGCAATGGCTCATGCTTATAATCCCAACTCTTTGGGAGGCCAAGGTGAGAGGATTGCTTGAGCCCAGGAGTTCAAGACCAGCCCTAGCAACATAGTGAGACACTATCTCTACAAAAAAATTTAAAAATTAACTGGGTTTTGTGGTGCATGCCTGTAGTTGCAGCTACTTGGGAGTCTGAGGTAGGAGGATCACTTGAGCCCAGGAGGTTGAGGCTGCAGTGAGATCACACCCCATGTCCAATCCAATCCACTGCACTCCACTCCTGGGTAACAGAGCAAGACCCTGTCTCCAAAAAAAAAAAAAAAAAAAGCTTTAGTTGAGTGCCTGCTATGTGCCAGGCATAGTGTAGGGAGCAGAAGACATAGTCATATCAGGCAGCCTCTGACCTCAAGAAACTCAGTAGGTAAAACATACATTAAAAAAAAACCTAAGTAAAAAATAACCTAAGTGGAAAAGTGCTACCCTGGAGGGAGGTCTATACTAAACACAGAGCTTTCATAGATGATTAACTCAATTCTGGAAGGACAGGAGGAGGGATACTTCTTAGAGAAACTTATGCTTCAGTTGTTCCTACAAGAAGGGTGGGAGTTTGCCAAGTTGACGGGCAGCAGAAGGAGGAAGGGCATACTGGCAAACTACCTAGCACATGCAAAGGCACGTCCAGGAAGCCATAGATAACTGGTAAGAGCAGGATATAGTAGGATCAAAAGCATAGAGAAAATGGAGAAAGATCAAGAGGGGTTGGAAGGCCCTTGTAACCCATTTTAAGGAGTCTGAACCTTCTTTAAGCAATTGGCAGCCCCAGAAGTGTCACCTCTACACTTTAGTAAGATGCATACTTTAGACTAACAGATGGGCAGGGACTGAGATCATCACCTGGGAGACAGGTGGGAGACTATGACAATAGTCTAGAGAGAGGTGATGAAGGTTTGATCTAGGGCAGAAGCCATGAAAATAGAAAGAAACTGACAGCTTCCAAAGAAGTTAGGGAGGTAGAATTGCCAGTCCCTAGTTACCAATTGAATGTGGAAGTGAGAAGTCTAAAATTGATCCAAAGGCTTTGGCTTATATGATTGAGTGAAAAGTGGTATCATCAACTAAGATAGGAAATTGAGGAGGAAAAAAACAGTTTAGAGGGGAAAATAATAAGCTGAGTTTGGGGCATGTTCAGTATAAGGTCTGGTGACATTGAGGTGGAACATTTCAGAAGGCAGTTGGCTCTGTAGATGTAAAACACAGAAAAAAGGCTTGGGCTGAAAATGCCAACTAAAGAGCTGTCTACTGATAGAAGGAAAAACCATGTGGGTTGGGGGAGAATGGGGTCATACGGAAAGTACATGGAGGTGAAGAGCTATGCCAAGCTTTCTGTCACACCCCGTGTCTAGTTCAATTCACTGTATATTCTGAATTCATTTCCCACCACCTCCATCATCACCACCTTACTCTAAGCCTCCATCATCTCTCACTTGGACCATTCAGTAACCTATTAATTGGTTTCCTTGCTTCTATTTTTGCTTCCTTACAGCCTATTTTCTATACAAAAGCCAAACTGACTTTTATAAAATTAAGTAAATTAAGTCATACCACTTCACTGCTCCAATGGCTTCCCTTGACACACAGACTACAACCTAAAATCCCTTGAGACCCACATGATCTGACCTTCACCTTTACCTTCCTCTCGGAACTCACCTCCCACCTCTAACTCTTGCTCCCTCTGCTCCTGCCAGAGAGTTTCTATCTTTTTAGCATGCCAAGCTTATTCCTGCCCCAGGGCCTTTGTACTTGCTCTCTTCTTGGCCTGGAATGTTCTTGCCCCAGATCTTAATATGATTTTGAGTTTCTGCACAAATTTTCAAGTCTGAATTTTATGTCTTTGAAGAGGCAGCCTCTGACCTCAAGAAACAAGCAAGCCTAGTTGTTTTATTGGCTGCGTTGGATAATGTCAATATCTCAGGGTTTTGTGGGCCTTCCTGGTTATACGTGGCTACATGCTAGAAATTCCATTTAGAAATAATTTGCAGCTCAGAGTGATAGGGTTTTCCTCTTGATTCTGCCAGGTACCTGGCACTGCTTCTTGTCTAGAACCACTTTAACCCAAGTTCTAGGCTCAAGGTCTCTTGTACTATCCAGGTGACTTGAATCAAGTTGCAAGTCTGAGTAAGAACTGGTTTATTTCTGCTTCACATTTACCCAGAAGATGCAGCTCCTAAGGGGCCCCAGCTTCAAGTACAGAGTCCCCATCTTCTTCCTGGGCTTTGAGGTTCATTCCCCTTGACTTATGACGTCAAAAGACAGCTTGGTTTTGCAGATATTTATTCCAATTCATGGACGTCCGCATGGCAACAGTGGCTTTAAGTGATGGTCCTCCCCTTCTCCTAGTTTTTGCCTGGCAATTCCTCACCACTTTAATAACTATTTTTTCACATTATTTAAATTTTTTCTAGGTATTTTAGTTGATCTCAGAGGGAACATCAGTATAAATGTCCTGGGCTGATATTAAAAGCAGGAGTTGGCCGGGCGCAGTGGCTCACGCCTGTAATCCCAGCACTTTGGGAGGTCGAGGTGGGTGGATCATAAGGTCAGGCATTTGAGAACGGCCTGGCCAACATAGCGAAACCCTGTCTCTACTAAAAATACAAAAAAATTAGCTGGGCATGGTGGCGGGCACCTGTAATCCCAGCTACTGGGGAGGCTGAGGCAGGAGAATCACTTGAACCTGGGAGGCAGAGGTTGCAGTGAGCCGAGATCACACCACTACACTCCAGCCTGGGCGACAGTGCGAGACTCTGTCTCAAAAAAAAAAAAAAATAAAACAAGACTCCTTCTTCCCTCTTCTCTCAGATCTTCCATGATTCTTTCTTTCATTCAGATCTCTGTGCAAGTAGTATTTCTTCAGAGATGCCATTCTGACCACCCCATCAAAAATAGCCACCTCCAAAATTAGCCAGGTGTGGTGGTGTCAGCATAGCACAGTTACTTGGGAAGCTAAGGCAGGAGGATCACTTGAGTCCAGGAGTTCTAGGCTGCAGTGAACTACGATTGTACCACTGCATTCCAGCCTGGGCGGCAAAGCAAGACCCTAGCTTTAAAAAAACAAAAACAAAAAAAACCCCAGCCACCTCCATTCCTATGATCTCTGCTTCATTTTTCTTCATAGCATTTATCACATCTGCAAATGATTGCATATTTGTCTGCTTACTTGTTTATTGTCTTTCCAACTAGAACGTATTCATTCAACAAATATTTGTTGATCACATCCTATGTGCTAGGCATTATTCTAGGCATTGGACCAACACCAGAGAACAAGACAGACCAGATTCCAGCCCACAGACAGCTTACATACCCAGGGGAAGATGACCATAAACAGAGAAACTAATAAAGAATGTAAACTCATGAGGATAGGAAACTTGCCTGCTTTCTTTACCACCCCAGGGCATAGAACAGTGCTATATGTTAACTGAATTTATTAAGCTTTTGTCCTGACGTTATTTTTCAGTATTATTGAATCCCTGGTATTTTGACTGTATTGTTGGTATACTGCTTTTTCCCTCTGAAATATGTAGCATTTCAAGCATGTTAAGGGTTAAACACACTTGCATGTCAGCCTGGAAATATAATCACCATTTATTATATTACTGTTATGGGAAAATATGTTCTGAGTTCCAAATAATTAACTTCCAAGTGAACTTTTGGAAACTGACAGCCAAATTCATATATATTTGGGTGAGATTTGCCAATGTCTTTGCACTCTTTTACAGGGAGAGGCAACATGCCAGCCAGATCAGGCCAGACAGCCCTGGCGACTAGTGGGGTAACAGATGTCTCAGAAAAAACATCCCATCTACAAGGCTCCATTCTGCTGTAATATCATGGTTGTTTGGATTCTTAGAATCTCAGATATATGGTGACACACTTTTCCTTGTGCAAGGACAGACGCTCTGTGATCAAACTAACATCTTTTCATTGGAGAGGCCAAGTCAAATTCTTAGAGTCCTCCACCTGGACCACAGCATGGTTGAAAGTGGCAGCCAGCCCAGGCAGACAGCCCAGCTGCCCTGGGACGTTGAGAGAGAAAGATTGGGGGTCAGCCAATCTAATTCAGAAAAGCTACTCCAACGTGACAAGCGTCATGGCTTTCAGCCTACCCACAGGTTTGGGTTCTTTAAATTCTTTAGCAAAGGGAGGGAGGCCATACAGGGAAGAGCATGGGCCAAGAGCCAGAGCTGGATGTAAGGAGATGCAGATGCAAGGCTATTGAGTTAAGAAAAAAATCAGGATTTGCTGAGATTTTGGAAAAGACGAATGGAGAGTCATTAAATGCTCAAGGTTTGGGGCTGGGAAAGATCGGGAGCCTGTTGACCGTGGTGAGAACTAAGTTCAGAATGGAATACTGGTAGAAGAGATGAGCTCCTCTGATTCTTTTGATCTGGGGTCAAGCTATGCAGTTGAGGGAATTCTCAATCCCAATCAAAAATGGACTTGGACAGAGGGGATGGGATCATGAATCTGTGAAAATCCATCATAAAATTTTGACCTGAAAGATCCCTTTTAAAAGTCTTCTTAGACTAGTCTCAGACATATGTTCAGAAATAGGATCTTCTAAATGGGGCCTGGGAATCTGCACTTTAAATGCTTTGTGAGTAACTCATGCACAGCCAGTTTGGGACTTTCTCACTAGTCTAATCAACCTCTTTTCTTTTCTTTTTTTTCGAGACAGAGTTTCGCTCTTGTCACCCAGGCTGGAGTACAATGGCGCAATCTCGGCTCACTGCAACCTCCGCCTCCTGGGTTCAAGCGATTTTCCTGCCTCAGCCTCCCAAGTAGCTGGGATTGCAGGTGCCTGCCACCATGCTCAGCTAATTTTTTGTATTTTTAGTAGAGACAGGGTTTCACCATGTTGGCCAGGCTGGTCTCGAACTCCTGACCTCAGGTGATCCACCCGCCTCAGCCTCCCAAAGTGCTGGAATTACCGGCATGAGCCACCGTGCCTGGTCATCATCCTCATTTTACAGAAGAAACTTAGGTCCAGAGAGGTCAAAACACAGCATAAGCAGCAACTGGAAGCTAGAATTTCTGACTCCTGGTTTCCTCTCCTTAGACCATGTAAAGTACATGATTAGTGAAGAGAATAGCTAATGAACACTGAGAACTAAATACCAGGCATTTTGCTAAGTTCTTTCCATATGTCAACTTATTTAATCCTTCCAGCCTCCCTTCGAGGGCAGGTGGTATTTGTTATCCCCTTTTACAAATGAGGAACCCAGAGTAAGAGAGGTTAAGTAACTTGACTGGGGAGTTAGGTGTCAATAAGTGCAGATCTGGGACACAAGCCCAGGCGTTCTTCTTCAGATTCGCTCTTCGCCGTCATCCAAGAAAATAAGCTAACACAGCACAGGGGTTTTGTGAGGAAAGAAGAACGTTAGCTGAATACAATCTTATTTCCCCCTGTGGGATAAAGTCATCTTCGAAGCTCCATCGGGGGCGGGGGCGCAAATCCAGACCCTTCTCTAACGCTAGATGGCGCATCTCAGGTTCTGAACACCCACCTGTGGATAAAGCCTTTGGGGACTACCCACTGGCTACCCTGATCTCAAGATATCATAGTCAATTCTCTCTCTCTCTCTCTCTCTCTTTTTTTAAAGACAGATGGTGGGGGCTGGGCGCTGTGGCTCACACCTGTAATCCCAGCACTTTGGGAGGCCGAGGTGGGTGGATCACCTGAGGTCAGGAGTTCGAGACCAGCCTGACCAACACGGTGAAACCCCATCTCTACTAAAAATACAAAAAAAAATTAGCCAGGCATGGTGGTGAGTGCCTGTAATCCCAGCTATTCAGGAGGCTGAGGCAGGAGAATCACTTGAACCCGGGAGGTGGAGATTGCAGTGAGCCGAGATTGCACCACTGGACTCCAGTCTGGGTGACAGAGTGAGACTCCGTCTCAAAAAAAAAAAAAAAAAAGACAGATGGTGTCCTGTGTAAATTATTCCTAGTCTTCGGCTCTGGGGATCCTTGCCTGTGTAGGAGGGTAATCACCCAGAAGAAAGCTGGCTCTCGGGAGAATTGTTGAGTGGGACACTTTTAGCTCCAACTTGGCTGTTTTGTGAGGTAGGGAGGTTTGCTCTTTTCATTTGGCATTTTGAAGTACATTAAGTACAATTAACATCAGTTGCTTGTGAGTACACAGTATCAGCCTATCCTTAGACAAAATGCCTTGGCTTCAATCTTCTTTCAAGTGATGAAGGATAACTTGGCTAACACCCTTCATTTTTTTCCCCTTAAAACATGTAACTCTATGCCATTTGTGGTTTTATATTAGCCTTTTGGTTATAGCTATTGGTAGGTCTAGAAACCTCAAACTGATATAACCACTTGGCCATATCTTATCCACGAAAAAATTTTGTGTTGGCCCCCCCAAAGTGTTTAATTAGTTAATTAATTAGTTAATTTGTTTGCCCTCTCAACCCAGCTTTTCCTCACTCTAGGAAGAACTAGAAAGAGAGGGATTAATTTATTTTTGAAACACTAGTTTCCAATGAGCAAAATTAAGAATAATTTTTTTTTAATGTGGATTTCCTGATTCTCTTAAAAAGTAGGAAAATCAGGCAACACCACACCTTCCTTCCCAGCAGCAACACTTTGCTGAAGCTGTGCGTGCTCTTTCAGGCTGTGCTCTGGGTGCACAGGCCCCAGTACTCCCTGGCACTGTGCTTCAGCTCGGCTTCTGCAGGCTTCTGCATTTAACTCCCTGATGGACAAGATCAAGGAGTCTTCCAAAATGTCCAAAATAAACAACTGATTCCAGGCCGGTGCAGTAGAGGTTTCAAAATTCAAATGCAGAATGTTTTGAAGCAAGCTGGAATGTTCAGCCCGGGCACCAGACATTGCTGACTGGGGACTTCGGTGCACTCCTCTCCTTTGACATCTCTCCTTCCCTTAGGACTCTCTCTTTCTCTCTCTCTCTCTCTCTTTCTTTCTTTCTTTCTCTCTCTCTTTCTTTCTTTTCTTTCTTTCTCCTTCCTTCCTTCCTTCCTTCCTTCCTTCCTTCCTTCCTTCCTTCCTTCCTTCCTTCTCTCCCTCCCTCCCTTCCTTCCTTCCTTTCTTTCTCTCTGTCTTTCTTTCTGACAGAGTTTCGCTCTTGTTGCCCAGGCTGGAGCTTGTTGCCCAGGCTGGAGTGCAATGGCACGATCTTGGCTCACTGCAACCTCTTCCTCCCGGGTTCAAGAGACTCTCCTGCCTCAGCCTCCTGAGTAGCTGGGATTACAGGCATGCACCACCATGGCCGGCTAATTTTTTGTATTTTTAGTACAGACAGGGTTTCTCTATGTTGGTCAGGCTGGTCTTGAACTCCCAATCTCAGGTGATCTGCCCACCTCAGCTACCCAAAGTGCTGGGATTATAGGGGTGAGCCACTGTACCCAGCCTCCAATTCACTTCTCTGCCTGCTGATGAACTCCTGAAGGGGCCACCATCACATCACTGTTCAGGACTCATTTAATCGTTTCTATGTCTGGAGGGCAGAGGCATTCTTTTAAATTATACTTTTGTCTCCCCATCCAACACTTTGCACAGTTCTTTGCATATCGTAGATGTGGAAATTAGAAAGAATGCCATGCTGGGAATCAGCCATAACACATCTGGGTGGTGATGGAAGTCAAGGGTTGAAAGATCATCCAGAAGGATGCAAGGGGCCAAGTAGTATGAAGAGGGGCAGGTTGAGATTGAAAGAACGAGTAATAGAGAAGGGATAATTGAGTATAGGGGTTCAAGGATGAAGGCCTAGGCAGAGGCCTCAGAAAGTACAGTCTTGCACCTTGATGGGGGTACACCTTGGTGGGGGTCAGAGAGTTCCAAAGCAGGCTGAGATGCCCCTTCTGGAAGATTCCTTGACTCTTCTCTTTCTCTCCCCCTCCATATTCAGTTCTTCAGAGAATTTCATTGACTCTGCTTTCTAAATGCTTTCAGACTCCACCCATTTCCACAACCTGCATCAGCACCACCCTAGTTTAAGCTGTGATCATCTCTCACCTGCGCAATGGAAAGAACCTCCCATCCAGTGTCCCTTGTCCACCCCTACCATCTGATGCTCTATTCTTACCCAGCAGCCAGAGTGAGCCAAGCTCCTCAGGTTAGAAGGTCCTACTAGATTTGGCCTCTTTGACCTCTCTGATCACATTCCTCCTTCTCCTTCTGTTTTATGCCATTTCAGACACACTAACACACCTTTAATTTTCTGAACATGTTATGGGGCTTTGCACTTGCTGTTCCCTGCACTTGGAATCTTCTTACTCCAGAAATCTCCAGCGCTCACACACTCCCTGTAATCAGGTCTCGCTCAAATGTCACTTCCTCTGAGGGGTCTTTTCTGACCACCTCACCTAGCAAAGAGTCCTTCTTCCCACTGGAACCCCCAAACATACACACTATTTCTTTTCCTTTCTGTTTTTTATTTGTTTGTTTGTTTGTTTTGGAGATACTCTCGCTCTGTTGCCCAGGCTGGACTGCAGTGGTGTGATCTCAGCTCGTTGCAACCTCTGCCTCCCAGGTTCAAGCGATTCTCATGCCTCAGCCTCCCAAGTAGCTGGGACCACAAGTGTGCACCACCACGGCTGGCTAATTTTTGTATTTTTTGTAGAGACAGGGTTTCGCCATGTTGGCCAGGCTGGTCTCGAACTCCTGACATCAAGTGATCCCCCTGCCTTGGCCTCCCAAGGTGCTGGGATTATAGGCATGAGCCACTGTGCCCGCCCACACATTTCTATACTCCACTTTTCTTCAGAACACGTTACATTATATTATATACTTGTTTCATTGTCTGTGTTTCCCACCAGAATGTAAGCTTCATGAGAGCAGAGACTTTTCTTAACACGTAGTAGGTGCTCAATAAATAAATGAAGGAGTCTAGCAAATGGGAACTGAGAGCTGCCAGAGTCACGGGTGTCTCTGGGAAAGAGGTAATAATTAACACACAAGGAAAGATTCCTGGTTGGGCACAGTAGCTCATGCCTGTAATCTCTGCACTTTGGGAGGCTGAGGCGGGCAGATCACCAGGTCAGGAGTTCAACACCAGGCTGCCCAACATGGTGAAACACTGTCTCTACTAAAAGTACAAAAATTATCCGGGTGTGGTGGTGCACGCCTGTAGTCCCAGTGACTCAGGAGGCTGAGGCAGGAGAATCACTTGAACCCGGGAGGTGGAGGTTGCAGTGAGACAAGATTACACCACTGCATTCCAGCCTGGGTCACAGAGTGAGAACCTGTCTCTTAAAATAAAATGAAAAATAAAACGTATATCTGATAACCATAGTCCCTTACTCAACACCTTCAGTGGCTTCCCAATGGTCCCAACCCCTTAACACACCATACAATGCCCTCTAGGTTCTGGCACTCGATTTCTTCTCAGCTCATTTCTTGTCACTTCTCTCCTACAGTCAAGTTTGGGCCCAGCAGACTGTCCTGGTCCTCTAACTGGGCTCCTTTCTGGGCCTGCAGAGGTGCTGTTTCTTCAGTCTGCGATTCCTTACCTCCCCTCTGTCTCTTCCTCTGCTGCTGCCTTCTGTTCTTTGGCATTCAACCGAGTTTTCCTTTCCTCTGAGAAGCCTGGGACCTACCCCGACCAAAGCTCCCTCCTCCTTGCCCCTCCCCCAATAACACAGGGTTGGGGTCTCTGCATTTGCTTCCTCAACACTGTACTTTTCTTGTCATGTCTATTTTATGGTCTGTGTCCCCACTAGACTGCAAGTTGCATGAGGGCAGGGCGGTCTATTCTGCTTTGGTCGCCTCGTGACGGTGTCTACCCAGCAAGTTGTGTGTGTTGGGTAAGTAGTGAGAAAACGAAAAAGCACTTGCTTTACAGGGCGGTTGGTCATAAAATAATAATAGCTTATATTTACTGACCACTTGTGATGTATCAGGCACCATTCTAAATGCTTTACAAGTATGTCACAGATTTCTCCCATAACCCTCTTAAGTAAGGGTTATTTCCTCCACATAGCAGATGGGGAAATTGAGGCACAGAGAGGTTAAGTAACTTGCCAAGGGCCACAGCGAGGAAGTGGAGGAACCGGCGTTAGAACCCAGGCTGTTTCCAGAGTCCAAATTCTATCCAAGAGTGAAGTGCAATATGGGGTTCCACTTCGTGAACAGATTCAAGTCTCCAAAGGGCTTTGTTTTTGTTTCCAGGAGGAAGGACGAGCTTCTGTGCCGCCGGCTTCCCAGGTTATGGGTGGCCAGCTGGGCTTTGGGAAGGGCCTGTACATCTCGCCGGCGGCCCCGGAGTCTGGGTGTGAAGCCCTGATTAACTTGCCGGGCTGCTCGGCCCACACGCCAGCCCTGCCCAGGTCCTCCGGTGCCCCGGGCCACCCTCATGCCCCCGCCAGGCCCGGGGCCGGGACTCGCGTCTCCAGGGGCGGGGCCGGGGGCGGGGCCGGGCCTCTCTTCGAGGCCGCCGCCCTGGCCCCGCGCTCGCCTCGCCGAGTGCGGCGGGCCGGGCTGGAGCTGGAGGGGCGGGGACTCGGGAGGGGCCGCAGCGCGGCTGCTGGTGCCGTTGCGGGAGAAGAGGAAGCGGCGCGTCCCCTGAGGCGTGCGCCTGGATGGACTGAAGGACGGTCCGACGCGCGCGGAGGGAGAGGGCCAGGGGCGAGGTCAGGCTCGGCGGGGGCGCGGGCGGCGCCCGGAGGGGGCCCCGGGGAGGGAGGCGGGGAGGCGTGGAGCGGGGAGCGGGGAGCGGGGAGTGGGGAGCGGGCCCGCGCCGGCTGAGCTCCGGGTCGGGCCCGAGACCCCTCCCCTGGCTGGGCGGGCGCGCTGCGAGCGCGCTCCGGCAGCTGAAAGCGGAGCTCCGGACTCCCTTCTTCCCCGGTTTCTTTTCTTTCCAATCAGCGAGATATAAACACCCTGCAAGGTAAAACAATAGCGGGGCCACCTGGGACGCGTCGCGCGCAGAGCTCCCACGGTTGGGGCGGGGGCCGGGAGTCGCGGCCCCACCGCGGAGCCCCTTCCCGATTTGCCCTGGCGGAGGGTGGGGCTACCTGCGGCGCCCGGGCTCGGTAGGAGGTGACGGGAATTCCCAGGAGTGAAGCATTTGGTGGAAGTATTTCAGGAACAATCGGGCTTCCCACTGTTGCCCTGCTCTGGGCAGGGAAACTGAGGCGGAGGGAAAGACAGAGACTTGCCCAAGGTCAGAATGCAGAGGTTGACTGTCCTGGTCCAGGAACCGGACCCAGGTGTCCGGACCAGCTCAGCGCTCAGCCCCAGTGGGTTTTGCAGCTTTGCCTTTGATAAAAATCTCTGTTGTGTTTGTTTTAGAAATCTGCTCGCGCTGGGGTACCGCTTCAGGGCTGCCGAACGCCAACTTGCTTCGTGTGCCCTAGGCAGGCGTGGGGCAGGTGGCGCCTCCGTGACCTACCACCATGGATGGAAACGGACTTTTTGGTGAAGAAACCCAAACGGTTGATGCCAGGCAGGGTGATTTGGCCGTCAAAGGTTTTGACGAAACCTGCCCTGTTCTCTCTGGGGAATCCGAATGAGGGAGATCACAGACACCTTCACTGAGAAGCCAAGGACATTTCTGTATAATCAGTGGATGAAAGGATTTTCTCAGACCCTTTTTTCCGTGCTTCTGGAGGATTAATCCACTACAGTCTGCAATTTCAGTGGAAACTGCAAGGCACACGATGTGGCAGGAGCCGGGAGCGACTTCCGAATTGTTGTGGACCCTTCCTGTAGCATAGGGGAGTTTTCACACTTGCCTCCACTCCTCCCCTTCCCCCCAACTCCCTCCTTCTGATCTCTTCTTTTTAATCTGTTCCCATTTTCCGAGTTAAGTTCTATTTCCAAAACTGTTCTCTGGAGCTATAAGTGGATTGCCAGAAATGAGAGATTAGGAGCTGGGAGAAGAGGAAGCGCCTTGTGTTGTGTCTCCTGGAGGCTGCCGACATGAAGTGCTTTTTCCCGGTGCTGAGCTGTCTGGCTGTGCTGGGTAAGTGGCTCTGCTTATCAGTGCAATCGATGTGAAAGTTTAACCTGCTCTTGGTTCCTGTAATTTCTCGTGGTTCTTTTTCATCAACACTAGGATTTGGGGGACACCAGGAGGCGGTCGGTGTGTGTCACAGGTTGGAGTAGAGTACGAAGAGGCCCGTTTCTAACCCAAGAGCAACGGTGGAATATCATTTGTTATCTATAAGAAGGAACATTTGCTGTTCTTAAAGTGTCTGTCTTGGCCCCTGGGGTGAGGTCCTGCATCTGCACATCTGTGGTTTAGGGACTTCACATGGCTGGTGGGCTGCTGTCTTGTAGCATGTCAAACATGGATGCTCTGGTGTTTTCACTTCTTTGTTGGGCTGCATTGATTCCTAATTGGGAGTGGGAACATCATTCCCCTCTGTCTCGAAAGTTGGTTTGGGTGATAATGATGGTGCCTTTTTTGAGGTGGAAATGGGAGTAAGTGGGATGGGGGTTGAAGGGATGCTTTGCCTACCTGAGTGGTCTGAAGGCTAAAAATGTGAGGGCACTAGTCCTGTGTCTCCTCACCAAGGAAGCTTAGATCGTAGTTCTGGGAGAAGGAGAGCCTGAAGAAAAGGAAGCTGCCTGGTAGGGGAGATTTTAGGATTGGCTTTTGTGCTCCCACAAATCAGAATGCCTAGAGTGGGAAGAAGAAACTATGGCCCTGAGAGGTGAACCTTTGACACCCCTCTTAAGGTGCAGATGCAGGACCTTCACCCCAGTGAAGAGGCCCCTCTGCTCAACAATTGCCTATTCTTTTTATGCCATTGAGCACTGTCTTCAGCGTGCTGTCTTAGAACACATCTCAGGTCTAGGATAAACTTCATTGCCAGGATTTGGTGCCATTCTCTTTCCCCATCTCAGACCTCATACATGAGCACACCCCCTGCCCTCTCTGTAAGGCTCGGTCCTCTGCATTCAGAAGGGATTATGATTGTTGCCTACAGGGTTCACGTCTCCAAATCTAGGTGTCTTGCACGTAGGGAACTTAGGGTGATCTGTTGGCAGTGGAGATTGCTTCCATGCATTGTCTACACCCTTGCAGTAGGTAACAGGTGTGTGGGAAGAGAATGGACTTTAGAATTAGAGGACCTGAGTTCCTATCCCAGCTTCACCATGATTGACATCTGAATGTCAATAAAACAGAAACAATAAAACAAGGGAAGGTGTGATAACTAAAGGATATAAGGTGTCCTAAATGCCTTGACTGCCTTAAATAATGTCTGAAACTCATAATAGATTTGTGCAATCAGTGGTTCTCAAACTCTCGTGTGCATGTTGGAATCACTGGGGAAGCTTTTAAAAATTCTGATTTCAGGCAACAACCCCAGATCAGTGAAACCAAACTCGCTTAGGGAGTGGGACCCAGGTCTCAGCCTTTGAGCTATCTCAGGTAATTCCATGCATGGTTCAGTAGAGAACCAGTGGGTGAGTTCACTAGCGCCAGTGCCCTACCACCCAACGCATGCAGACACCCTGCTGGTAGTTTAGTTAGTCTTCTGTTCAGCTGTGGGCTGGGATACAGGCAGTGTCTCCATGTCACCTGTATGCTCAGGCAGAGTCAAGAAGGCAGGGAGCCCTTCATTTGCCAGTCTCTTCATATTGGATCTGTATTTGTTGTACTGTATGTGTCATTCGCTTAGTGTCTGGGTTTAAATCAGCAATTAGTGATTCATGTGGATTCAACAGGACACAAACAAGGAAAGCCCTTGGGGAGGTTTGGATGTGGGGTGGGGTGTGTGGCTAAGGCGGGAAAGAGGGCTGAGTGGCAGGGTGGGGCCCAGGGCAGGAGAAGTAACCATCAATGGGAAAACAAGGCAATGTGACATTTGTGCCTTTTGTTTCTTCTGGCTGCTCAAGTAATGTAAGGCTGCATGCTGGTCCCCCTGCTGTTCGCTCTCTGGGCCACTCTGTGGAGTGGAGCTCGGGCCCTGGCACCTGGCAGGTGCTGTCATTTTCCCTCCACCCTCATCTTCATGTGTAAACAGGTGCCATGGAGGAAAATGAGCATCAAGGTGGCTTTAAAGGGGCACAGTGGCAGACATCCAGATGCAGGCTGAAGTGGGAAGGTTTGGAACTGTAGGCATGCATGTGGATCTCTGCCTGATTTGGAGCCCCACTGGTGGAACCTCATCTTTCTCTTCACCTGATGGCTCTCAGTATGGCAGGAAGGAGGCCTGGCTACTACTTTACTAATCTGGGAGAGGTAGAAGGCGTTTGGGGAGGGAGCAAAACCCATGTTGGGGTCTTATTTCCTGCTTGTCTTCTGATGTGGTCTGGTTCATGTGTCAGCATTCTTGCTGCATAATGTGAATTAATGTGTAGTATGAATTTAAAACAGCGAAGAATCCCAAGGTTTTAAGCCCATATAGGTCACATGCCTGGAATAAAATTTTGTTTAAAAAAGTTGGATAAGGCTAAGTGCTCTGAAAGTGAGACCGATGCAGGTACCAGCCTCTAGAAATGGCAATTTTAGTTAGAAAACCCTGGACAGTATGTGAGGGGTATACAGGGTAAATCTCGGAGACGCTTTCATCTCCCTCAACATGACAGACCTGTGCTTTTCTGCACCTGTCCTTTGCCAGTGTCTGGGATTGGAATCAGATTCCTCTTTTCTGTCTGTTGGGATACTGATTCCTGCTTATGTCTTTGTCCTACCCTTTGTCTTTGTACCTACCCCCTTGACCTCTGTGTGTTGTTTCCTTCTGTCCTAACCCTAGGTGCCTCACCCAATAAGGGTTGTGGTGGCAGTGCATGGCTCTGCCACCACAACCCTTGGTTCCAATTACAAAGCCATTTAAGCCTGGCTCTGGTTGAACCATGAGGGTAGTAAAGTCTCTATTTGAGGATAGATGTGGCCAGAGGGGCAGAAGATTAGAGAGAGAATAGAGGCTGGTACAGTGGTAGGAAGGGAAGGGTGACTGGAAAAGTGCCTCTGTCTGGGAGCAGCCTGCATGAGTGACAGTGACATGGGAAGATGACAGCAATGTGGGAAAGAGAGCATAGGATTTGTGTCTGTAAGAACAGGAAGGAAATTCTCAGGAAAGATGAATATAAGCTTTAGACACATACAGCACATTTTGATTTTGTGTAGCCAGGAAGAGTTATATACCTCCCAGACCAGTGCTGATGTTGCAAACAAGATTAAATAGCTTTAAAAGTGTTAGCAATGAAAAATGTAGGAGATTGGGACATCTGAGAACCTGTAGATGGCAAATGATCATTTGTGTTCTGCTCCAGAGGGAGAGAAGTTCATTTGTAGAGTTTGGGAAGTCTCTTCTTTGAATACGGTAAGGCTGAGGAAGCCATCTCTTACTTCCCAGTTAGTTAGAAAAGGCTTCTGAAAGGGATTGAAAGAAACTTTGAAGTACTATGGGTGTGACCTCAGAGGCAGGGCTGGAGTGATCAAAGGCAGAGGAGAAAGAGGAGGCAGAGAAAAGTGAGATGGTTTGGAGCAATCAGGAGAAGGGTTCTGAAAGAAGGGGATGAGGATTGTGATTTATGGATGAACAAACACCACTGTCCTAATAGTTGTCCCAGAGGTAGTGCACTTCCCTTTCCTGGGGACCATTTGACAAGGGTGCAGGAGAAGGAAATTCTTGTCAGGAGGACTTGGCCTACTAGGATGCCTTTCAGCTGTGAGAATCATTGAGCTACCTCCAGGTACCCAGGGCTGTGTTAAGATGTTGCCATCTTCTACGGTTTTCATGGCAGCAAGACTGCTGGTACTTCCATAATGGCAGTAATACCAGCTCTCCTAACTCTAGCCCTTACTGTGACCCAACTATATCAATCAGTCTTCAAAACAACCCTGTAAGATAGATACCTTGCATTATCACATTTTTATAGATGGGGAGATTGAAGCTTAGGGAGGTTAAGTAACTTGCCTAAGCTGGGCATGGTGGCTCATGCTTGTAACCGCAGCACTTTGGGAGGCTGAGGCGGGTGGATCACTTGAGGTCAGGAGTTTGAGACCAGCCTGGCCAACATGGTGAAACACCGTCTGTACTAAAAATACAAAAATTAGCCGAGCATGGTGGCACATTCCTGTAATCCCAGCTACTCGGGAGGCTGAGGCAGGAGAATCGCTTGAACCCAGGAGGCAGAGGTTGCAGTGAGCCGAGATCGCGCCGTTGCACTCCAGCCTGGGCAATGAGCAAAACTCTGTCTCAAAAAAAAAAAAAGAGTCACTTGCCTAAGATAGATTGCTGACAGTGTTAGGGCTCCAAGCTCCTGCTGTCTTGCTCCATGTGCATGCTCTCTATTCCCAAGATGACTTCATGGTCCAAGATGACTCTTCTAGCCGCAGCCATCAGGAAGGAAGAAAAGGCTAGTGAAGGGTAGGACCTCTTAATGTAAGGATACTTCCTGGAAGTTATATACATCACTTCCACTAACATTCTCATTGGCTAGAACCTAGTCATGTGACCATATTTAGCTGCAAAGAAGGCTGGAAAATATGCTTATCCTGAGGGTCCATGTGTCCTGAGAAAAACTTGGGATTCTATGACTGTAGGGAAAGGAGAGAACAGATTTTGGGGGACAGCTGCCCATCTCTGCCATAGTCACAAAGCTAAAAAGTGGCAGAGTAGGGTTTTGAAGCCAGGACCATTTGGTTCCAAATCCTGTGTTCTTACATCTAATAAGCTATTCCGTTTGACTCTGAAGCCGAGCCTCTGGCTTCTAAGAAGGCTTGTTAGGAAGGCATGAGTTAGATGAACCAACGTTTGTTTCATAGGAAGCAACCTAAATCAGCATATAATTAAACACTACATTTTGTGGTTTTATCAGTGAGTATTAAAGTGTTTATAGAGTGCTTATGTGCCAGTCACTGTGCTAAACACTTTACATAGCATGACCTTCTGTATAAAATTCTTGAAGACCATCTGTCATGTTCATTACTGTAGTCCCAGAACTCAGCCTTGTGCCATGCAAAGTAAGCAGGTGTTCAGTTATTTTATTTTTTTTGAGATGGAGTCTCACACTGTTGCTCAGGCTGGAGTGCAGTGGCACGATCTTGGCTCACCGTAACCTCCGCCTGCTGGGTTCACGCGATTCTCCTGCCTCAGCCTCCCGAGTAGCTGGGATTACAGGCACACACCACCACACCCGGCTAATTTTTTTGTATTTTTAGTAGAGATGGGCCTTCACTATGTTGGCCACACTGGTCTCAAACTCCTGACCTCGTGATCCGCCTGCCTTGGCCTCCCAAAATGCTGAAATTACAGGCGTGAGCTACCACACCTGGCCCAGTTAATTTTTTGATGAGTGAATGGTTTCACAAGGTAGGTGTTGTTTCTGTGTTGGCTTCCTTGATCAAGATAAGGAAATTCATGACACTTTTCCCTTGAAAACAATTATGTTCAAAGGAAAAGAGCTGGAATTTGGCAGAATCTGAATTTGAATTCACATTTGTCTGATTATAGAGCTTCTTAACCTTTTTTGTGTTATGGATCCTTTTGGCAGTCTGGTGAAGCCTATAGACCCCATCTGAGCATAACATTTTAAAATGCATACGTGGCCGGGTATGGTGGCTTACGCCTGTAATCCCAGCACTTTGGGAGGCCAAGGTGGGTGGATCACCTGAGGTCAGGAGTTTGAGACCAGCCTGGCCAATTAGCTGGGCGTGATGGTGTGTGCCTGTAATCCCAGCACCTCGGAAGGCTGAGGCAGGAAAATCCCTTGAACCTGGAGGTTGCCATGAGCTGAGATTGCGCCACTGCACTGCAGACTGGGCCACAGAGCAAGACTCTGTCTCAAAAAAAAAAAAAAAAAAAAAAAGAAAAGCATACATAGGCCAGGTGTGGTGGCTCACTGCTGTAATCCTAGCACTTTGGGAGGCAGAAGCAGGGAGATCACTTGAGCTCAGCAGTTCAAGACCAGCTAGGCAACATAGTGAGACCGCATCTCTATCTACAGTTTCCTGCAGAGATCGAAGTAAAGTTCAGTGTAGGTGGTTGTTGCTGGGGAAGACACTCAGGAAGAGGACATGGGCTGAGTGTTCAGAAATGGTCAGGATTTGATGGGGAGGGCATTCTACTCCCAATTAAGTCCTGATAATGCAAAGGCCTCAGCAGGCCTTTTACAGATTGGAGAAATGACTGTCAGTGGTTTTAAGGACCAGTTCAGGTGGGATGATGCTGGACACAGAAAATTGGTTTGAATTATAATGAGTTTGGGATTTAGGCTTAAAGTAAGTCCCCAGAGCCCAGGCCACTGCTGCTGAGCCCCAGCCTGGGAACTGGAGGAAGCAGTCCCAGTTGCTGACCTCTCGTGGTCCCTGGCTTTGGGTGTGCAGTGCATCCTTAGTTATGACTCCTTGATTAATATTTTTAGCTTCTGGCCGGGCATGGTGGCTCATGCCGATAATCCTAGCACTTTGGGAGGCTGAGGCAGGAGGATCACTTGAGCTCAGGAGTTTGAGACCAACCAGCCTGGGCAATATAACAAGACCTCATCTTACTAAAAATCAAAAACATTAGCTGGGCATGGTGGTACACACCTGTAGTCTCAGCTGCTTCAGAAGTTGAGGTGGGAAGAATTGGTTGAGCCCAGAAGGTTGAGGCTACAGTGAGCTGTAATTGCACTACTGCACTCTAGCCTGGGTGGCCCCCATCTCACACACACACAAAAAGAGCGAGACCCCGTCTCAAAAAAAAAAAGGGAGTTCCTCATTTGCCATGAGTGGACACCTGCTTCTTTACTGCTTCAAAGTGAACACAGCTATTCCTTGTAAAGGGTTGGTTTTTACTTTAAGGAAATCTAGAACACCTGTGTGTGAATGCCCCCTGATTTTCAAAGAAATGAGTGGTTGCATCAAAATCAAGCTTATATTTGTGGAAAATCACATGTTGCCAAATTCTCTCATCAAGAACCCTTTATTAACTGACTAATTGTGGGCCATGGTGGCAGGCACTTAACAAAGACCATGGCAGCAGACCTCCCTCAACTGGAACCCTCAGTTAAGTGGGATTTTGTTTTTATTTTTGAACTCCACCTTCAGAAGGGCAAAAATCACAAGATGTGGTAGCAAGGGTTTATTCTAGAAATTAGCTTCCAAGCAGTCGTCAGCCCAGTCTGTATGTCTTCCGCATCTATAATTATAGTAGCAGAAGAGAATGGTGAGCCTGGGGCACTGCAAGATCCTAAATCAAAGATTAAGGCATATTAACTCTACCCTGCCTGGAAAGTGGTCAGTTGTATTTTAAAAAGCTTTACAATAGGCTTTCTAATAACGAGAGTTGAAGCAAAGTTTCCACCTAACCCTGTAATTAAATTCACCAGAAGACCCCATTTCCCATTATCCAGACGACCAAGGCTTTGCCGAACACCACCCGTCCCTGCCCTCTAGGAGAGGTCATCCAAGGCCAGCAATGAAACAGTCAATCAATTTGCAAATGGACAGGAGGACACTGACAGGATGTGTTCACTGAGGGTAGGTGTCTACTGGGGGAGAGAGGCCAGGCAAGTCTGTCCTTGTTTTCAGTTTAGCAGGAGGAGTGAAGGGGAGGCCAGAGTAACTCCTGAGTGGTCAATCTGGAAAGGCCTTTTGGAAGGGCTGGAATTTTAGGCATTTTTCTTAAGTAAGAGGAGAGTGACGTCCTGTTGGAATTGTGGGGTAGAGGATATTCTGGGCACTTCTAAAGGGGTGGAGAAACCTGAATGTCCTGGGATGGGAACCCTAAGGGTGTAGATTTGTAAAAATTGCTGCAGTCAGTTGCCATGAGGACTGGGTATCTGGGCTAGAGACAGGTGGGCGACATCAGAAAGCTGTGAGTGGATATCCTGGAAGACCACTGAGAGGAGGAGCCAGGAATGGCACCAGACATTTCTGAAGGTGGGGGGCCCAGAGGTCGAAGCAAAGGGGGGCCTGTTTCTGTACCAAAGCAAGAGCTTCTGTATATCCATCAAAACATAATCAGGCCAGGCGTGGTGGCTCATGCCTGTAATTCCAGCACTTTGGGAGGCCGAGGCGGGTGGATCGCTTGAGGTCAAGAGTTCAAGACCAGCCTGACCAACATGGTGAAACCCCATCTCTACTAAAAACACAAAAAAGCCAGATGTGGTAGCGGGTGCCTGTAATCCTGGCTACTTGGGAGGCTGAGGCAGGAGAATCTCTTGAACCTGGGAGGCGGAGTTTGCGATGAGCCGAGATTGCACCATTGCACTCCAGCCAGGGCAACAAAAGCAAACAAAACAAAACAAAACAAAAAACTCCATTTCAAAAAAAAAAAAACCATAATCAGAGCAAAGACATTCTAACAAAACTGTGAACTCGGAGAAATGAGTAATGCCTGCTTCCCGTCAACTTTCAGGTGTCCAGGCCTTCTCTTTATTAAAACAGAAAAAAAAATCTGATACCAGTTGTGTGTTCTTTCTTTGATGTAGTGCAGTTTGCCCAGGCTTGCCTTAAGTTGGTGCTATTTTTGTGTATTTAATTCTGTTTTTGCATGTGACCCATTGTCTGATGCTTCAGAATGCAGTCTGCGGCCTCCTTTTTGATAGCAACTCTGAGAACACTGTCTCTGCTCTCGGCAGGGCACTGGGTACACCTGTGGCATCGCTGGTGCCATGGCATGAGGCAGGCTTCCCACTTCACTTCTCAAGGACCCATTTTATTAACTCTCCTTCCCCCAGGAGCTCCGTATTTTGAAATCTTTGGTTTCCCAGACCATTAGGGAGTAATTAAACCTTTTTTCCCACATGATAACCAGTATGATCGTTCACACTTGATATAGTCCAGTTCTAAAGCAAAATTAGTCTAGTGGTCTGGGTTGCGGATGACCAAAGCACACATGTTTGATCCATTAGGTTGCTTAGCCCTGTGGTTAGGGAAAGTGGGGTTATTGTTAGGTGATTTTGAAATCTCTAAGGTCGTCAGCTTCCCAACCCCATGTGCTGCTTTGGGCCTTAGGAACCTTGGATAACCTGGGTGGTGTTTGCCCACTACTTCTTTGCATTGGTGACCTTGATTGACCTTGCTAGGTGGCACTTTTCATCAGGGAGAGGAAAGGAGATGCAGAGTTGAGCAGCCATCATTTGCTGTGGGTCAGATCACACCTACCCTATCCCAGCCAGATACAATCTATTCCTTTTTAAAAAGACTTTCAGAGAATGAAATTTTACAGTCTTTTTTGTATAACGCCCCCAAAAGGAAATCTTGATTTTCACTTAAGATTTGATTTGAAGTAAGTCATGATTTAGAACAGCAGACAAAATGTATTGGGGTAAAGTATTATGTAAACGTAAGATGAAGAGATACTGGTTTCTACTTCAGGAGGTAGCTTATATTTGTTTGCTTTAATTAATTAATTAATTCATTCATTCATTTTTGAGATGGAGTCTCGCTCTGTTACCCAGGCTGGAGTGCAGTGGCACAATCTTGGCTCACTGCAACCTCCGCCTCCCGGGTTTGAGTGATTCTCCTGCCTTAGCCTCCCGAGTAGCTGGGATTACAGGTGCCCTCCACCACGCCCGGCTAATTTTTGTATTTTTAGTAGAGATGGGGTTTCACCATGTTGGCCAGTCAGGCTGCTCTCCAACTCCTGACCTCAGGTGATCTGCTGCTCCAGACTCCCAAAGTGCTGGGATTACAGGCGTGAGCCACTGTGCCTGGCCTAATTTTTGAATTTTAATTTTTTGATGGAGGTAACAGTGACTATAATTCTGTTACAAGAATGTAGAAAGTCACGCCTGTAATCCCAGCACTTTGGGAGGCTGAGGTGGGCAGATCACAAGGTCAGCAGATTGAGACCATCCTGGCTAACACAGTGAAACCCCAAATACAAAAAAATTAGCTGGGTGTGGTGGCGGGCACCTGTAGTTGCAGCTACCCGGGAGGCGGAGGCAGGAGAATGGTGTGAACCCGGGAGGCGGAGCTTGCAGTGAGCCGAGATTGCGCCACTGCACTCCAGCCTGGGCAACAGAGTGAGACTCCGTCAAAAAAAAAAAAAAAAAAAAAAAAAAAGAATGTAGAAAGTAAAATGTGAAAGTTCCCCTCCTTGTCTATGCTCCTTATTGACTTTGATATAGATTCTTTATAGTTTGGTATATGTTCTTCCAGACCCTTTTCTATGTATATACTTACACAAATATATTTTTTCTGATATAAATGGAATCATGCGGAACATATTGTTCAACAACTTGATTTTAAAGGGATGATTTACTTCACTATTTTTTCAGGCTTAATTTTATGGCTATATCAGAACTGATTTGGTTATTTTATAGCTGGTTGAAGCTGTAATTTGTGAAATCATTGGGGAGTAGTGAGCCTCCTTCAATAACTATATAACAATAAATTTTGCTGTATCAGGAGAGCAAGTCATAATAAAAATATTACCCTTAAATTTTAATGTATTTAGTGAGAATAATTGACTTGTTTATTCTGCATATTTTCTTCAAAAAATACATAAATTCATCAAATTAAGCACGTTCGTATTTTATTGACTATTTTGCTATAATTTTGAAATTATGTTAAATTAAAATGAAGCCTGTTTGAAACCTGTTAAGATGACAACCATAAATACTTAGTTTTGTGTCTAATTCAGTTAAGTGTTCTTGTTTGTTCATGGACCAGAAAAAAAGTTTTCGTGTGTTTTCAATTCCCAAGTGACTCCTCCAGATAGAATGAACTGGACCCGAGTAGCCTTTAAGGTTGCTGGCTACGGGCTCAGCATTTAAGACTTTAACCCAAAGGAAGAGAACTTTTTTTTCTCAACCCCTGCAGCAACAGTTATTGCTGTAAAAAGATTATCATTTCACAGCGTTGGGTTACTTCTCAACGTTCACGGGAATGACTTTCTTTAAAACCTCTGGGAGCAAGAGCAGTTTCTTGGATGGCTCACCTTTAGACCTGATTTTTAAAATAGTTGTTCTTTTGGAGAGATGGCTGTGGGATTCATGTGTCATAGTCATCCCTTCTTAAACATCAGTGTTTGACTTTCTATCCCTTGTCCTGAGACCTCTGGGGGTAGCCCCTGTTCTAGTAGAATCTACTTCTAATACTTTTCCTAAGAAGGCTTTCCCAAGAAGTTCATTCAACAAATAACCGAGTGCCTGCTACAAGCATTCATTGTTCTGTTATCTCCGGTGCCACAGAATTCACAGTTAAAATCATGACTAACATTTTAAGTTGTCACCTGATATGTATTTTTAATCTTTAATAAATAGAAGGATTAATTAAATACACTGTGACATTGGGGAACTCTTTTTTATTCCTAAGGTACATCTTTTTTCTTGCCATTACTTAACCTCTTTTCTTCCTGTTTTGTTCTCAGCTCTCCTTTACAGCCATGAGTTACCAATGCCCGGTGCCACCAGGAAGAGGGGGTATCTGTAGGAGTAAGATGATGAATAGCAGTGATAAGGGGAGAGCGAGGAGAAGGGAGGGGGCTCTGAGGAGGCTAAAGGGCAAACTTTTATTCTTGAAAATACACAAATATCCCAAGTCCTGGGTGTGTGGAACGTCCTTATTACTGCTGGGGATGTTGCTTGTGTGTGGGAATTGGGAATTTCACACCTAGCTCTGAATTTCTAGGAAGCCCAAACAAAAGAGAAATAGAAATAGAGAAATCACATACTTCCCACCAGAGAGGAGACACCGTCCATACCAGAGGAGCCTCGTATGGGGGGTGGTGAGTATAAGGCCAATCCATCTTCCCCACCTCATACTTTGCCTCCTGCAGTGTGGCCTCCCTGAGGGCGCCCTGGCAAGGGAGGGTGAGGGACCCTCATCAGTATGGCTCTTACAAATTCCCAGAAGCTGCTGTAGCAGCTCGATGAAGGGCAGGCTCTTCCAGGTCTGTTCCTTGCCAGATGCCCTCTCCCAACCTGGGGTTAACCCTAAGGAGGCATTGATCTGCACTTTTCTCAGAGACACTGGTGACCTCCTGGGTAGCCAAGAGCTTCCCCCTTCTCCGTGAGCCCTCTGAGACTGCAGGTCCCAGACGGTTGTAAATTCTGCCTGGTGGAAATTGCCAAGGTGCCAAAGCAGGTGCCTGCTGCCCTCAGGAGCCTCTGTGCAGGGCCATTCTTCTCCCTACAAGCAGCACTTCTCAGAGACCTTTCTGGTTTTCCTCTTCAGCTTTGTTTGGCAGTGGTTTGGTGTTGGTTTGGAGATGGTGGTGTGTTGGGAATTCTGCTTCACATAGATGGACATGTTTGTTAGTGTGAGGAATGATGGTGCAGATATTCATTCCGGGCTTACCCCAAACTAGGTAACCCTTTATGACATTGTTTAGAGATGATTTGCTGAACAGTTTCATAATGCCTTCTGATGTTTCAGTACAAAAAATAGCTTGCTGAACAACGTTACAATCTGTCTTCTGATATTTCGTTACAAAGAAGCAAGAGCACATTCTGAGCACGCTGCCCAGTGCTTTCGCCTTCTCTCTGTTGGAGCAGGTGATTGGTTCCAGTTCTGCGTTTCGGCACCTCTGTGGCTGGGCATCCCTCTGAACTGTGCACTTCTAGAAGGGAGCAACAAGATAGAGAACTAATATGCCTCTAGGCCTGAGTTCATTTTAGAAAAATCTTTGTAGATTTCTTGCCCAGTCCTCTTATTTTAAAGGTGAATTGTCCTAGAGGGAAGAAAAAGACCATGGTGACCTGGGTGGGTAGAGGGTGGAAGGAGTACTGGAAAATGCCCCTAACAGGAGATGAGAAAGAGACTCTGATGCACGTCATCTTTGTTTTAAATTAAAACATTATGCAATACAAACATTCGCCTTCCCACTCTTCCCCCTACCACAGAGGAGCTGTAATTTCCCATATTTGGAATTTGGGGAGAGCTGGGCCTCATTTGAAGATAAGGCCAGATTCAGTCTCTGATTTGGGGGGAAGTAAGTAACTGAGAGAGCCTTGAGGACTGTGGTATTTATGGTGAATATATCAGAACTATATGTGCCTCCTTGTCATCATTTATTCAACACCTCTGATGTCCTAGAGCTGGTGCTATGCCCATCAGTAATCTGACTCTTGTTTTCTTCTGCATATTTTCCCTTTTGCAAATGTATAGGCATTCAGCTTTAATCAAGTAGGCTTTTTACTCTGTGATCTGTAACGGGGATGACTGAAGTCATGTGGAGGATTTTAAGTAACTAATCTCTTAAGACATTCAGAGCATAATCTTCCCTAGCCCATGATCATCCTGCCTGCATCCGAGAGATTTGTGAGGCTCTGCAAAGGAGGCTGGATGGGGACTTTGGCATCCTTTGGAGAGACTGGGTGTCTTCCTTGCTGGGGACAGGTTTTTGTTTGCTTTTGGCATGGGGACAGAGCCTGCTGTTCATTTACCATGTCAAGAGAGTTCAAGATGCCCCATGAATGTGACCAGTGTGTTACTAAATCTCCGTACGGGTACAGAGAACAATGGCAGGCCAAACACACATGAAGACACTGTCTAGGCTCATTGATGTTTATGCAGTTTGTGTCCAGGGCTGGTTCTCAGGGAGAAAAATGGATAAGATCTGCAAAATAGATAAGAGAGGACTGCTGGTCAGTGGTGTTCCCTGACATTTTTCCTTGAATGATACCAGGTTAATCAAAAGATAAGGATCTAAAATTTTTTTGTGCTCTGCTTATAATTTGAATGTGACTTCATATGTGTGTCATCTGTTGGACTAAATTGGATTGCAGTTGCTCTTCAAATTGTCATTCCTTTATTTTCTATTTCTACCTACCTCCTGATGTTAGCCCAGGTTCCTGCTACCAAGGTGTCTTGCAAAAGAATTTGGTGACTGTTACTCTAAGTGAAGCTTTTGATACTTTCTCTTAATATAATGGTTCAACCTCTAACAATGTAGACTAATGAGGAAGATTAGTTTGAATTAGTAAAATGTCTGAATTACCAAATATTTTTCAAGAACTTCACTGTTATTACTTTTAAGTAAATACTGTAACTCAAACTAGGCTAATAGAATGCCTAATAAAGATCCTTAGGGGATACTGCTTTAGGAGAGAAATAAGAATGATTTGCAATTAGTGCACCAATTGTTTATGTAAATGGAATTTCTGAAATACTAGACTGAGCTTGAAAACCGTTTGTTCTCTTAAGTATTTTAAATAGTCCCTATGAAACCCCTGTGCATGCTGGTAGTTGTTTATATGCTGTATAGAGACCTGTTTCATGAAGACCTAACTCAACCTTATATCATCAGTATCAGAAATTCCAAGTTAGTGACGTCCAGGATCCTCACCTTCCAAGATTAGATTAGATCTCTCTGCCAAATGCTTCCATAGCACATGCAATTGTCTGTTGTAACACTAATCAATACATTTAACAAATATATGATGTGTTCTGCTATATGCTTGGCCAGTGTGTGAAATGGAGGAGACATAATCCTCATCTTTGTGTAGTTTATAGGCTAGCAAAGAAGTCAGGCAGTAAACAAATAAATGCATTTATAATTAATTACAATCCTGAAGTTGGATTGTACTTTTGTGAGTAATGGTTTAATAAACTAGATTTTAAGTTCCATTAAGATAGGGGTTACTTCTGTGTTGTTTGTCATGGTGTCCCAAATCCTTCCTTAGCCTACTGCTTGGAATAGAGTAAATATTAAGTTGAGCTTTATTGCCATTTTGATAGGTCAGAAGCAGTCGAATGTCAATAATGTCACATAGTTCAACCTAATAGTTGCTCAGTCAATATGTATTGAATGTTGAATGCATGTTGTAATCAACGATCCTATGGTAGGCTGCATTTAACACAGTTTTCTCTAGCCAAAGAAATGCTAGCTATGGTATTTGAAAAGGAATTCTAAAACTTCAAACAGCTAAAACTGGTGATCTGTGATATAGACTGTGGGACTGGATATCTGTGAGACTGGAGTGCCTTTTGTCCAGTATATTTTCTATGCAGTTCTTGGTACATTTCCCAGCCTCAGGTGGGAGCATGTGTATTTGGGTCTGGAGTGCTTGTCAGTAGCCCAAAGAACCTGGGAAGAGTATGCTGGAAAGCTAAGATGGAAGGCAGGGATAGGAGCCATTTGGCCTGAAGAAGAAAGAGGCAGGAAAGAGATACTGGCATAGCCAAAGAAGCCTTCCCTTTAAGTCTTAGTGTAGGGAGACTTACTTTTCCAGACCAGAGCTCATGAGATCATGCACTCATTCCACAGATTTGTGTGAGTCTGTGATGTGCTCAGTTATGGCTAGGCATGGGCGTTCCTTATTGTGAGCTTCCTTTTTGTGCCTGGAACTTCTGTCTGAAGGGTTGTGGGCTGGACTGTAGACCACTGGTCCTCAGAGGCAAGGGTTGAACTGAGGAGAAGGCCCCAGCTGGATCCCGCTGGGAGAAGCCCAGCACTCTGGCCTGGGGCCTGCTCCCTATCTGTGGAACTGGGAGTAGGGCCCAGGCTAGGGCTTAGATCAGAGCTTCCCAAACCTTCTGTGTTAAGAACGTTTTTGCATCTGTTTGGATTTCATGGCTCTTTTTCCATTTTCTGTGCACACATGTCCAATTGTAGCACCCTATTATAATGCACACTCTTTTCTCACACCCACAGGATAATTTGTAGTTCCACAGCTATTTGTTGAGCATCCTTATCTGCCAGCACAGGATGGGGGTGGCAAGTGAGGGGAAACACAGATATGTGGTATTGGTCCCTGCCTGTGGTAGACGTGATTGGTTACCTACAGTGGCTCTTCTTTTCTCTTCCTGTTGGCAGGACCCAGTTGGGTTGGATGCCACACCTCTCCCACATGCCACTCAAGGAAAGGTGACCCTGCCTCCAGCTCTAGGGTACGTGCTGATTGAGCTGAGCCCATCCTGGAGGCCCGTAATTTAGACATGGGCGTGTGACATGGTTTTGGCCACTGAGGTATGAGAAGTCTGCTGGGAGATTCTGGGAAAGATGTTTTTCATTGTAAAAGGAAATGCAGAAGGGACAGCTTCTTTCACTAGATTCTCGGACATGAAGCAGCCATCTTGTTGCAATGAGGAAAGCAGGTTTGTTGAGGCCAGCAGACGGGAAGAGATGGGAAAAACCCTGAGGGCCAAGCCCCTGAAGACTGAACAGTCCAATCTCCATACATTTTGTCCTCACTGTTGAAGCCAGTTGAGTTGGAATTTTCTACTACTTATAGTGTCTAACCTATGTTAGACACTCCCTCAAAGGAGCATGAAACAGGATTTCTTCTTGTACCATTCAGATTATCATCAAAAAGCACATTATTCAGAGACAGAGCTTAGCTTTGTGGTAAGGCAGAAAGGAGAGGGGAAAGCAAGTTGGTAGGAAAGAGTTGAGTGAGGAGATTGTATTTGAAATGGATCCTGAGGTAGGATTAGGATTTGTGTGGGAGGAGCAGAAGGGCGTTCTGGGGAAAGGAATGGTGGCATGAGCAAACCTGTGAAGACAGGTGTGGATGTGGCGCTGCCAAAAAACAGGGAGATTATGTCCTGACTAATTCCACGGACAGATTCTAGAGCACCTCAAATTGTGAGTTTATATGGTGACACGTGACTTATGCAGCCGGAAAAGTATTACAGGCTTATGAACAGGGGAGAAAGGAATGAAAGTGGGCCTTGGGAAGAAGGATAAGGATTAAGTAGCTGGGTACCAGGTTCTTTGGAAGGGGAAGAAAGTAAAAGGCCAGTGACAAGTTCAAGCTACTGGAATAACTCACATTTGAGTTGATAGCAGTGCGGGGAGGGAGTGAAGCTGTCAAAGGAAGATTGTAATAAATTAACTGGTGAAGAAGGGTAAGATGGATATCTAGGGGAGGAAGATGGAAGAGGAAGATTTTAGGAAGAGGAAGATTTTAGGAAGATGCTGTTTGCCTTTTGCCACTATGGCTTTGAGGTAATGAGGAAAGATCTAAGTAATGAGGCGTTGAATTCATTTGAAAATAGGGCTAGACTTTGGGAATGAGAGGCCAAGGGTTAAGAGGATGTGGTAGAGGCAACTCACTAGACATGCACATACTCCAGATTTTCCAGCCTCCCTCACAGTTCAGTTGGGGCCATGTGACTAGCGTTAGTCAATGAAGTGGGAGAGGAAGGAACCAGGGAAGAGCCATGTATTCCTCCATTGATTCCTTCCATGCCACAGCAGCCTTGGGCTAGGGCCAGAAAGTGTGGCTGCCAAGACGGGGAGGGCTGTCCTTCCAGGACCAGACTTTGACGGTTCTTGCTCAGCTGGGAAATCCTGGTAGAAGCGAGATCTGAAGCTGTAATGGGTGGCAGTGCTGACAGCTATTTGTGTTGGGTCTGGGTGGTATGTGGTCTTCATGGTACAGTTGTCTACCTTCTCCTGACTTGATTTGCTCAGGGGTCTGCTGTCAATGGGCTGGAGCTTGCTGGCTGACTCATTCTACCTCTAGGACTCTCAGTGTTTCTGGGGGCAGGTTTACATCTTGGCTGTCCAGGGAAGGGCATCCTTGTTCATGAGCTGTGCTGGTGAGAAGGCTGCTCTCTCCACAGGCACCAGAATGCCAAGTGCCTTGCAGAGGAGAATGTTTGGGTGGCTGGGGTCCAGTGGTGACCAGGTGGAGTGTCTCAATTATCTGGCTAAACATGGAGCTTCAGGAAGAAGTTCCAGATCTCCAGACCTGAATAGGAATAAGGTGCAAATCCCATCTTTCAAATCTTTCCCACTCTCAGAAGAGTCAAAATGTGCCTTTTCTGCAAGCAGTCCGGAGCTAGGCACTTTGCACACGCTTTGTTACAGTGTTGCATCAATCTTGCCTGGCTGAATCATGGTGTTTTCCTAAGGGCAAAGGGCCTTGTGAGTGCTGGGAGGCCTTTGGCTTTGGCATCTGGTTTTCGTCAGGCAGCAGGTAAAAGTGCAGATGGCGGGTCTGACTGTGCTTTAAACAAAGCAGAGTTAGACACGTGGGAAAGGCATTTGAGAGGCACCTCTTACTCTGTGTGTGATCTCCCGTGCATCCTGTTTCTTCTCTAACCGAACACCTCAACTCCTAATACCCAGAGGAAAACCCTTCAGACTTGGGAGACAGCCGGCATTGCTGGCATTGTCCTCTCTGGAGCTTTTCTTGATAAGTTTGAAAATTTAAAGACAGTGGTGGCACTGTTTCTCTGTTGAATGGAGAGTTGACATTCTTATTTTTCCTTCCTCTTCTACAAAACTGGGGTGTCATCAGATCAGTGTTTGCTGCTGCTGTTGCGTTCTTGGGTAGCCACTCTTTTTTTTCTTTTTTTGAGAGGGAGTCTTGCTGTGTCGCCCAGGCTGGAGTGCAGTGGCCCAATCTCAGCTTATCGCAACCTCTGCCTCCCAGGTTCAAGCGATTCTCCTGCCTCAGCCTCCCGAGTAACTAGGATTACAGGCGTGTGCCATCACACCCAGCTAATTTTTGTATTTGTAGTAGAGATGGGGTTTCTTCATGTTGGCCAGGCTGGTCTTGAACTCCTGACCTCAGGTGATCCGCCCGCCTTGGCCTCCCAAAGTGCTTGGATTACAGGCGTGAGCCACCGTGCCCAGTCAGCTGCTCTTATTTTACACACTGCTTCTGGCTGATAGGCCTACAAGGTCTAAGCTTAATCCCAGAAAAAGTGCTACCCGAGTGGTCTGTCAGTCGGCCTTTCGTTTGTTTGTCTTGTTCCGGTCATCCTTGCCTCTGTCCGCCCAGACAACATTCAATCAACATTTGTTATGGAGCCAGCAGTATGATTTTGCAAGTTACTTTTCTAAACTCTCATTTCCTCATCTGTAAAATAATAGGAAATACTCATTAGGGTGATTTTAAGAGTTAAATGGAAACATCTGAGGAAAGCACTTAGCATCGGTCTGGCACATAGTAAGGGCTCAATAAATGGTGGTTGTCATTATTGTTGAGCAGAGCCAGGGGTTGCCACCCCGGTCAGCTGATTGGCTGTAGACATGGTGTGACCATTTGGAGCTGGAATTTGGGCCACACTCAGCACATAGTTGCGAGCCATAAAGGCACGACCTTTGGACCCCATTGTCACCTCCCTTGGAATATCTTGGTGTTCTTGTTTCAGTCTGATAAGGCCATTGTAGCTGGGTTCTAGGTATCTCTGAGCATGGAGCACTCACGCCAGCCTCAGACATCGCTGTCAAGGGCATCGGCAGCAGTGAGGTGATTCCTCAGCCGGTCATTTGGGCATCGCTGCCTGGGTCTCTCCTGACCTTCAGCCTCATCTTTTTTGTCACCTGCCATACCTTTGCCTCTAAGTGTCCCCCAGTTTTTATTGCTGCCCTCTCCATCTGCACCAGTGCCTCTCTCTGCCAGTTCCACTGTTCTCTCGCCTGCTCTTTAGGATTTCCTTTGTTTTGCCTCCTTGCCTGGTGCTTTCAGCAAGCAGCGCTGACGTCATCTCAGGAACTGTGCTGCGTCTGAGAGAAGAACCTGCATTAGCCGTTTAAGTGTGCGGTGCTGGCAGAGTACCTCCCTGAAGGTGTCCTGGGGAAAGTGAGTGATTGCTCACTGGGTGGTGAGCCAGGGGCAGGGTTTGGGGAGACATCTGCATTAGCAAGTTAGCATCACTTGAAACACAGGCATGTAACAGGCAAGGACGTGCTCTTCAGCTACCAGGCTGTCCTGGCTGTAGCCGGTGGCCACAGACCTGAGGGACCCCGGCTTTGTTCCCTTAGCTGGCTTTGTTCCCTTAAGCTGCCTTTGTTGTCTCAGTGTAGCTCTCTCTACCTCCTCTGTATTTCACCGCTGACAACTCACTCGATTCTCCCTCTGGCAATCTTAGTTACCTATGAATACTCTTTAACGCCATCTTCTGCCTTCTCAATGAATTAAGGAGATTCTCTCCTTGACTGTTTGTGAGCCAAAACCTAACCTTCTCTTGGCTGATAAGTATTAATATATTGTGCTGAGAGGAACTTTTGGAGTAAAATTAGACATCAAAAAGAACTGGCACAATTAGTTTCCAAGGCTTTTAAGGTTCCTGGAAGTCTTCTGAATCCATCCTCTTTGTGTGGACCCCCCCCAATTCTCCATCTTCCTCCTAAAAATAACGATAATGGCGTTTCACCAGAAGCCGGACAAAAGAAGGCTCTGTCTGTTTCGCCTGTGGGAAGTGACAGGAACTGCTGAAACTTGTGTTCCGTGTCACAGAGCCAAGGGTTCACACGGTGCAGAAACAAATCACAGTGTGTCACGGAGACTTTTTCTGTCTCCGGCCCCACTCTGTATTTGAGCCCAAATGTGGAGGGAGATGCTGCAGTTGTGGGAAGGCACTTCTATGACCCCTCATTAGGGTAGAGGAAGTGAGAGGCCTGAGGCCACAGCCAGGCTGGCCTTTTGCAAAATGGTCAAATCAGCAGCAATTCGGCCCTGGCTCCCACTTTGTGCCCCACCCACCAACTCCTGCTACCTCCCATCCCCACTCCCAGCGCAGTCGCGTCCATGGCTTCCAGGGCCCCACCAGGCTGCCCTCCCTGTCTGGCTGTGCTCAGCCGCTGTCCTGGTTCTCCCCAGCATTTCAGTACTTTCCTGAGTCCTCCTGCTGGTCCTTGACTTGGCTGGTTGGAAGGTTTGTGGATCATTAGAGCCACTTACTCACACTGAGGAAAGAAAACAGAAGTGGATATTTGGGGAAGGCCTATGTGTTGCTTGCTCTGTGTGTTCACTCACATTTTCTGATTTCCTCCCTACAGTTCCCCTGCCCGGGGAGTGTTATGCAGCCACCTGTACAAATGAAGCAGTTGAGACCCAGTAAGCTTATGTGATTTCTCCAAGTCATAGCCAGCATGGGCCACTACTTTGAGCTCTAGATAAGGAAAAGGAACCTAGTGTTTTAAAGATTTGCTTCATTGTGGTATAATTTGCTTACATACAACGGAACTCACCAGTTTAAAATATGTAATTCTTTGTTGACAAACATGAGCAGCCACATAATCACCACCTATCAAATATGGACCATTCCTCTGTCCCCAAAAAGTTCCCTTGTGCCTTCTTGCTACCAGCCCCTTTCCTGCCTCCAGGACCCCAGCCTCAGGGGACCTGAATCCTGCCACTACAGTTTTGCACTGTACAGAATGTGATGCACATGGCATCCTACAGTGTGTAGCCCTTTGAATCTGGCTTCTCTCACTCAGCACAGTGCTTTTGAGATCCCTCCATGTTCTTGTGTATATCTAGTTCACGCCTTTTTATTGCTGAGTAGTGTTCCGTTTTATGGATATACCACATTTTGTCCATCTCTTCACAAACTGATGGGCATTTGGGTTGTTTCCAGTTTGGGGCTACTATGAATACAGCTATTAGGATGTGTACAAGTCTTTGTGTGGACACAGGTTTTATTTCTCTTGGGTAAATACTTAGGAGTGGGATTGCTGGGTCATTTGGTAACTTTGAAAGAAACTACCAGACTGTTTTCCAAAGTGGCTGCACCATCCTACCTCCCCACCAGCCATGTATGAAGGGGACCGGGTACTTTTGATGCCTAATCTAGGTTCTTTTCCCTATATCGTAGTGTCACTGGCTGCTGAGGTGGGAATTGCTGACTATCACATTCACATGCCCTGAGCCTGTCCTTTTCACAGGAATTTCTTGGGAAGTCTGACCATTTGGAGCCAGTTGCTGGTGGGGAGGTTTCCTGAGGAGGTCCTTTCATCACACAGGGCCGCCTCCTCTGATGGCTGATCGCCACACACACCCTCCTTTGCTGCCCATCCTCTCTGCTGTCACCTTGGTTCATAATTAAGATTCACCTGTGGGTGACGTGGGACCCACTTGCAGCCCATGGACACTGGAACAGTCCATTCTGTGCAGTTCGCTTCCTGGCTTTCACGGCACCTACTATGCTGGCTCCTGGCCAGAGATGGAGTTAGAGGTGTCCTGTCCCAAATGAACCTGCATGCAGAAGCCACTGGGGCAGTGGGGACACTGCCTCAGCATCATCACGGCTGCCAGAGGCTGAATTCCTGCTGTGCAGGGCTGTGTGGAACTGCTGCTGTTATATGGCGCATCTCCCGTCTGGAGCTTGCTGCTCAGGGCTCTCCTTAACAAGCGGCCAAATGACTGCAGTTTTCTGCATTGTTTTCCTGTGAGGTCCCTGATGTTTTGAAAGAGCCAAAACCAGACAGGGATGCTATCAGGTTGCAGTTCTGCTCTGCTGTGGTGTTTCTGTGAAATGGAGAGGAGGATTTTGAGGAATGTGTAGTTGGGTTTACTTTTGTCTTTATTTGTGGGCACGTTTCCTGAGTGGGGACCACTGATAATTAGGTGTTCTTTGGTGTAGGGGCCCAGATGGACAGCGTGGGACCCCTTTCTAAGGGATTGTCACAGTGAGAGGGCTGAGCACTGAAGTTTATCTTGCAGCATGCGTGCTGGGAGCAGCCCCTCCAAATTGGTGCACGTGTTTGGGGAGGGCAGAGACCAGGGCATAGACTGGCTGGCAAACTCGCCTGCTGGGCTGAAGAGTCCTGACCTTGCAACTGGAAGCTCTGCTTTCCTGCCCTTTCCCTGATTCCTGCTAATTTTATGACCTTTCATCAGTCACCTGACCTTTCTGGACTTCAGCATCCTCACTGTAGAATAGAAACAATGATCCCTCTTTCACAGGGATCGGAGGATCTGTCGCATGTCAAAGCCCTTTCTACACCTGTGACAACACAAGACGTGCCCGTAGACACCTGAGCATGGGCGTGGCAGAAGGCCAAGCTCACACCCAGGAAGCCACCTGCCCTTCTGCTCCTCATCCTTGTCAGTCGCTGTGCCTGCATCCCCAGGAGGACCTCACGGGACTGGGAGGGCCTGGGACAGGCTGGCCACAGGCTGGCCTCAGATCACCAGGCATTGAGACCTCCTGCTAGCCTCAGGCTGACAGTAATAAATGTACAAAGGAGGACAGAGCTGCTGAGGAGCAGCTGGGAGTCCAGACACAAACGACTGTCGGAGGAGTGAGTCAGGGCCTCTGAAGGTCACTTGAGGAGTGTCCGCCCTGAATCATTGACCTGCGGCATGAATGGAGAAGTAGCTGGGATACCAGCCCTGGGGCAGTTCCGTTGGGTGGATCTTTAGAAGAGAGAGGTGGCGTGGGAGGGGTAAGAGCACTGATTTGGGAATCAGAGACCTGGGTTCTTTAAGTCACTTTATCCAGGACTAGCTGTGTGGCCTCAGACAGGTTGATAGCAGTTTCCTTTCTGTGAAATGATCAACTCCAGAACTATTGATACCTGTCACATTGTGTTTGGGGAATGAGACTCAACAGCGGAGCCTGCACCATGACCCTGGTGCCTCTCCCCCATCCCCCTGCGCCTTTTGGACCAAGAAGTGCAGGCATAGATAGAGCTTTGCAGCCTCTTTTGTTCCTGGATGGTGGATCCCTGTGGTTAATGAATAATTGCTTTAGGGGCAGAGGTGAGGGGAGTGAGTATTGCAAGTGAAGATGGGTGGGACAGGGAGGTTCCAGGTGGTGAAATATTTTCAGGCAACAATCTGCAGAGAAACCTGACCATGACTCAGCTAAGCAGTGGGCTCACTGGCAGGTGGCCCTGGTGGCCCCCTGCTGACATCTGCTACTACTGTGTGCTTCCAAGTCCCAGCGAGCAGCAGCGGTGATTGATGATACTACAGCGCATCCCAGGAGCTGGTATCCCAGGGCAGCGCTGCACCTGCTGGCAGCCAAGCTCTTCAGGGCAGGACACCGGCCCACAGCCTCGGAGCGCCCAGTTCCAACCATCAATTTTAATTCTTGTGAGGCTTTTCTTTTTCACATTTGGTTACCCTGTTGAACCAATCTGCTTCTTCCCACCACTATGACAGTTTTTAGCTCCGTTCTAGGCCAAATTTTGCTCTGGCCCGAGTCCCACTGTTTGTTTCTTTCATGTGTATCTTTTACATTCTGGGAGCCCTGACCGACTCCCAGTGCCTGAGCCCCTTCCCCTAAGCGTGGGGACTCCCGCCTCAGGTCTGCCCTGTTCCAGCTGCTGGAAGGCATCCAGAATTCTAATGTTATTCATCATAGTTCCAGTTTCACTACAAAGCATATGATTTGACCTCTTATCCTTACTAAGTCATTTCAGACTTAGGGAAAAAATACCCACTTAAGGATAATTCTTTTACCAAAAAATTTCGTGTTTTTTTTTCTAATAAGAGGTAATCCATGCACATGTTAAAAATCAAAAATCAGATGCGAGGTGTGTGGGAAAAAAATGAAATGTTCTATATTTCAAAGTAAAACTTTGGGTGACAAAAACTTCAGTGATTTTTAATGGTGATAATAATATCAGTAGTACTTTTGAAATCTGATGTTGGGCTGGGGCACAGTGGCTCATGCTTGTAATCCTAGCACTTTGGGAGGCTGAGGTGGGAGGATCACTGGAGCCCAGGAGTTCGAGACACTGTCTCTCCAAACAAACAAACAAACAAACCAAAAAAACTCAGGAGTTTGAAGCTGCAGTGAGCTATTATTATACCCCTGCACTCCAGCCTGGGCTACAGAATCAGACCCAGTCTCAAAAAAAAAAAAAAGAAAGAAATCTGATAACACTTTATTAGGTGCTACAGTGTTGTAAAGGATCATCAGACACACGAATTTGATAATTAAATAATGTTCCTAAGTCTTCTGATTGAAATAATAACACAGTGCAAAATCTCTTTTCCTGGCTTCCCTTCCTGGTCTTCCTTTTGTTCTCTCTTCCTGCCAGCTCTGCTCTCTGCCTGTTCTGAACGGCTGTCTGCTGCAGTGATCAGTGCTCTTCTTTGGATGTTCTTTGCTCCTGATGCTTTATGGCATTTCCTTCTTTTAATTTTCTTTCTTTCCTTCTTTCTTTTTCTTTCTTTCTTTTCTTTTCTTTCTTCTTCTTTTTTTTTTTTTTTTTTTTTTTTGAGACAGAGTCTTGCCCTGTTGCCCATGCTAGAGTGCAGTGGCACAATCTTGGCTCACTGCAACCTCTGCCTCCTGGGTCCAAGCGATTCTCATGCCTCAGCCTCCTCAGTAGCTGGGATTACAGGTACACGCCACCATACCCGGCTAATTTTTGTATTTTTAGTAGAGGTGGGTTTTCCCCATGTTGACCAGCTGGTCTTTAATTCCTGACCTCAAGTGATCCTCTGCCATGGCCTTCCAAAGTGCTGGAATTACAGGCGTGAGCCACCACGCCCCGTTCTTCTTTTAATTTTCTATTGTGAAAAGTTTCAAATATGTACCGAAGTGGAGAGAACAGGATAATTAACCCCCATACACTCACCACCTAGTTCCAACAATTATCAGCTCATGTCCAATCTTATCTGTACCATCACTCCCCTACCCTCCCTGTAGAATTTTCAAGAAAATCCGAGGAACACCTGGTGTATTCCCACGTGTTAATGAAAACTCTTGTTGATTAAGCTGCACTTACTAGTAATTTATTTTCCCATTTAAAATTAATTTTCAGAATACCAAGAAGGCACCATTTCATCCTTATATCTGATTGGTGAAAAGTGTAATAGTCAAATAGTACCAAGGTTGACAAAGGCATCAAAGAATAGAAACACTTAAACATTGATCTTGGCAATGTAAATTGGTGCACTGATGTTGCAGAGCAATTTGGGCAATGCCTAGTGTGGTTGAAGATACCCTTGGATGAAGATTTACAAGAATATTTATTGCAATAAAAAGTTGGAAACCACTTAAAAATTTATCAGTAGGAAAATGAATACATTGTGCTATAGATAATGATTATTCAGACAGTGGACCATGGTATAAAGCAGTTGAAATGAATGCCCTGGAGTGACATATGTCAACAAGGATTACCCTCAAAAATGTTTTGTCAATAAAAAAAGATGCAAAAGGGTGCATACAGTGTGATGCCATTTTAAACAGTTTTAAAGCATCCAAAAACTCTGTATATTGTTTATGGCTACATACATAGGTAGTAAAAGCATAAAAATGTGCAAGAGTGATAAATACCAAATTTGGGATGTTGTCATTTCTGGGATGGGTGGAATAGTGGGGCTTGAAAGGGGGTGAAATAGGGATTGAAGCACAGCCTGTAATGCTTTCTTTCTTGAAAGGAAAATAAAAAAACTAAACCAGGTGTGGCAAAATGTTAAGATTTGACAAGTCCTGGATGTGCACAGGCATTTGTTATACATGTGTCTGTGTAAATGGTTCCTTATTCAGAAATGAAAAATCTGTAATTGTCCATCTTCTGATAAACTTGCAATGGCTGCTGTTGTCATGTGATGTCATTTTCTTGACTGGAGCTAAGAAACTTGGCATTTTTTGTTATTTAATCCTGAGAAAATGCATATTTTCTTCTTCCTTCCTTTCTTTCTTTCTTTCTTTTTTTTTTTTTTTTTTTTGAGATAGAGTCACGCTGTTGCTCAGGCTGGAGTGCCGCGGTGCCATCTCGGCTCATTGCAACCTCTGTCTCCTGGGTAAGGGTTCAAGTGATTCTCCTGCCTCAGCCTCCTGAGTAGCTGGGGTTACAGGTGCCTGCCACCAAGCCCAGCTAATTTTTGTGTTTTCAGTAGAGACGGGGTTTCACCGTGTTGGCCAGATTGGTCTTGAACTCCTGACCTCAAGTGATTCGCCCAACTTGGCCTCCCAAAGAAAGTGCATATTTTCTTTGTCATCTTATGATAGTAGATCATGGAGCTCCTTTAACTTAATGGATTCCTAGAGGCCAGTGACTCCTGATATTTTCCAGACACTTATAGCTAGAAAAAGCCAAGTAATGAAGCTCTAATGCTTTGACTTGCTTTGACTTAACAAGCTTAGGGAAGAAGCAATGGCACTGTATTTTCTTTCTTTTTGAGAGAAGGTAAGAAGAGCATGAAAGGAGAAGGCAGAGGAGGAGGATCCCTTCTTGCCTCTGTGTAGACTGATCCCAGATGCAGCTTCCTTCTGTCATCTGCAGGTGGTTGGGACCTGTCTCCACACCTGTGGTTTGCTTAGGAGTAGGGAGGACAGGCCTGAAAGGAAAAAGGACTTGAGCTGGGCTTTGCAAAGGCACAGTAGAATTTAGGTAGAAAATGAGGAGTGGTTGAATAGATGTTTCACGGAATTAAGGGTCCATCTTTAGCAAGACACAAACCCTTTAAGACCTGGTCCTGCCTGTCCATCTTCACTTCTTAGTACCCATCTCTGTCCACCCTCCCCTTCCAGCCAGACCCAGTATTGGCCCTATTGGCGAGCTCACCTTTGTCCTCTGGCCTTGGCTTTGCACGTGCCCTGACTTCTCACATGGAAGGGAATGAGTGCCTGTGCCTCACCTGTCCCTGGGCTGCCTGCCAGGCTCCTGCATACTCCCAGACTCTGATTGTGGCAGTCTCCCAAGGAATGCCCTCCTGATTTTCCAGGCTGACCACCCTTCCATAGCACCTGGTACAGTTAGTTGCTTTGTTCTTAATTCTATGCTTGTCTTCCTACCTGTGACTTTTTTCCTGGGCAGTGGCGCAGCTGGAATGGTTCAGCATGCATGCAGACTTTGCACGTGACCCTGGGCAGATACTTAACCTTGGGGTGCCATACTCATCTGCAGGTGGGGATGGAATGGTACCCACCTCCTGTTGTAGTTGTGAGGGTTAAACATTGTAACACATATAGAGCAATTAGGGGAGGGCCTGGCAAGACTCTGCTGTAGGAGTTAGCTGGTCCTATTGCTGTTTTCCCCATTTCTTCCCTTTCTCTTTTTCTCTCTTCCTCTTCTCTTTTCTTTTCCATCTTGTTTTTAGCTCACCAACACAAGAGATGGAAAACGATGTAAGCATAGCCTTTAGGTGTGAATGACTCCTGGTCGACTTGGGGGAAATGGCAAAATCCAGTAAGACGTACCGGGGATGTTTGGAGGGAGTGGTGGGTGTCAGACTGAGTAGGTGGAATGGGGCCAGACTTTTGAAGCCTTGGATACCAAGACACGGAGTTTGGACTTGATGTGATTGGCAAAGTGGAATCTCTGGCCATTTGTTTATCTGGTGAGAAACTGCTGTGGGAGACCTGTATGGCAGTAGTTTACTGAGTGGACTGGCAAGAGTAGGGAAAAGAGTAGCAGTAGGAGACTAATTTTAAAATATGCTGAAGACCTTTAAAATTGAAGAACAGCGTGGCTGGATTAGGCAGTTGACAAGTGGCAGTGACACAGGAGAGACTAGGGAGAGAGGAGCAGGAGTCCCTGGCTTGATGAAAGAACAAAAGAGAGGGAGCTACAATCTTTGGCTTTGAGATTTGTAGCTAGTTAGACTGCAGGAAACCACAAAAAGAGTGAGGGTAGCTGGAATAACACATTTTTGGTTTATTTTTAAGATGTGTGGGATGGCATGGGATTTGGCATCAAAGTTGGTGTGTTTATTGAGTATAGTTACTGTGGATGCCAGCAAGAAGGAGAGCGATCCGATATACTTATAGGCAGGACAAGAGCAGTCCCCATCCCTAAGCAGGAAAACAGTGTGGCCAAGTATTGTTTTCAGACTTCTTTGGCTTCATTAGCATGCTGGAGGGTTCTGTCCTTGACCTTTCTGAATTGACTGTTGTGTTTGGTGAAAGTAGAGGTCACACTCATCTGAATCATCGAAAGTCATCTGTATGACTTTAAGGCAAGAAGGAACAGCAAGTGTGTAGGTTGGCAAGTAAGATAAAAAACAGTCTGGATGAGATAGACTGATGGTCTGGCCCTGTTGATGGAACAAGGGTGAATGCAAGGTTTTGAATCCAGCTGCAAAGTGTAGGAGGGGGAGGCCGTGGGAAGGATGGAGGGTTTTAGTTGGCAGGTGTCTGCCATGTGATGTGGCCTCTAAACAGCCATCTTGTCTGCACTGAAAGAAGGTCGTCTGCTTGCTTCATCCTTGTCCACAAGCTGGTCAGGCCACTTGTGGAGAAAAGCATGCAGTTCTAGGCAGTACACTCTGAAGGACGGAAACAAACTGGAACCTGTTTGTAAGACACAGGGAAAGGAAATGAACCCATAGAACATGAGCTCCTTCAGGGTAAAGATTGTTCATCTGCATCTCTCTGAAGCTTTAGTGCCTACCTACATCAGTGTCCAGGCCTAGTATGTGCTCACCTGTTGTCCATTGAATAAATAAGAGATTGGGGTTGTCCTGTATCCAGGACCCCTGAGCCCAATTTCAGTTCAAAGTAAAGAAGAACTTTCGAATAGTGCTTTCCCCTGGCTGCCATTAGTGGGAATGTGCATCTATCTGCACGCAGGATGTCCACAGGCACAGGGGAGTCAAGCTTAGGTGAGTGGTTAGACCAGTGGGCCTCAAGATTCCATCACTCTCTGCATGCGCTGGACTCGTTGATGGGAGAGAGTAAGGGAGCGTGAGTAAAAGTCTGTGATCAGTGAGGGTGGCCAGGAACAAGTCGATTTGTAAATGAATCTGCTGGCAAACTTCCTTACAAATGTACTCCCCCAACAATTTTTTATAATTTCTAGATAAAATGCCCTGATTTGAAAGAATGTCAAGTAGAATTTGAGTTAATAGTGTGAATTGCAGTCCCATCTGCTCAGCTCCATGGCCCGGTAGATCTGTGGAGCCATTTGTCACAATTTGTTTTAAAGCCAGGAAGAAAAACACTCCTGGACACTGCCCAACACTTCTCGCGGAGATGCTGTCTTTGGAGTGTGGAAGGGGTGGGGTGGGTGGTGAGAAAGCTGGGTGGGACAGAAGGAGGGCCCTGTGCTTCGAGGCAAAAGACAGGGTTCCAGCCCCTCTTCACTGGCTTGCTCGTGACCTTGGGTGAGTCATGCAGCTTTTCAGGCCTCGCTCCTGGTGTAGAAGGGCTAGACAGATCACAGCTTCTCCAAGTCTGGGCCAGATGACTGTTCATTCTTTCCTCCACTCAACTAATATTTTTGAGGTCTGTTCAGGTGCCACACACCATTCTAGGAGCTGGGGATCCAGCAGTGCCAATACTTTTTCTAGTTTTAAGACTGGATGCTAAGAACATCATTGTCTACTTCATGCTATTGGAGAGCAGCAGTTCTTCCAGGCATAAGAACCTGGAAGAACCAGTTTGCATGAAAACTGTCCTAAGCTCAGGAAAGGTTGTCACCAGCCTTCCTCGTGATGTGCTTGAGGCCAAAAAGGGGAGATAGGGCCAACTCAGAGTGCATGAAAACCAAGCCGTGAAGAGTGGATAGCTGAACAGATGCCTGTGAAAGCAACTTTGATCAGGGAAGGAATGGTAGACTCGGTATGGGGAATTCTTCTTGGGAAGGTGATTGTGGAGCGGCTCTCAGGAGACAAGAGGCTTTGTTTGATGACTGGCAAAGGCCTTTTGAGAGGGTGTGGTCGGGGTGATGGCTGGCACCTGTGAGGAAGACAGTTGTTCTGGCGAGTGGAGGTGTACTGGGAAAGGGTGTTCAGGAGAATAACCGGTTGATTCATCCCACAAACACTTATTGGGCACCTACTGTCTGAAATGCAAGGGGACACACAAAGATGAGTTAAGGATTTGACTTAAGGCACTCACACAACACAAGGCAGGAATGGTTGCCTGCATAAGGCACTGAGGAAGGTTCCCTAGCAGAGATGACGGATGAGCTGGGCCTTAAAGTATGAGTGGGCATTGGCTGGGTGTGGGGTGGAGAAAAGGCCTTTCCAGATGAAGGGCTTTGAAATGCTTTATGAGTTTGCCTTGGCAGAGACCAGAGACCCCATAACCAGATGTTGTTCATTTGATTCTTGGAATCATGGGAATACTTCAGTGTCCCAACAAGAAGATGCCATTACAATGTTTGAAGATGACATTCTTTGTGCTTAAGCTGCCTTAAGCCTTTTCTTAAACAGCCTGGATGTGCAGCAAAAAAGAGTCCTGTCTGCCCCGTGTTGTAGGGCATTGGAAAGGATGATGTACTGGGAGGTGGCTGATGCAGCCTCCAGTGCAGAGGCCTGGAAAAGTGGACAATCTGTGGCTACAGGAGGGAGAGGTTAGGGTGGGTGAAGAAGTATTATGAATGAGCAGAATCTAGGGACACTCCATGGGTGAGGGTCATATTAAGAAATGAGAGAAGGGCACGGACTACTCTATGCCAGGAAGAGAACTGGGGAAGGCCAACTATAACAGGGATTGTTTTGGAGGAATAGACAGTGTGGACCGTCACAGTGAATTTGTTTAAACAGATATCTGGAATTGGTGACTCAAGGGCTTGGTCAAGCTCAGTGGCAAAAAATCAGTGAGAATAGGAACATGAAGTAAGTTACAGATGGGGCCTAGACATTTGGGATTCTACTGTTTAGAAGCAGGTGTTGCAGTTATCCAGTGCTGCATAACAGATCATCCCGAATCATAGTGGCTTAAAGCAAAAATTAGTTTATTCTCTTTCATGAAGTCTGTATGTCAACATCAGGAAGGGCTGGGCTCGTGGTTCTGGCTCAGTCTTTCATGGGGTTACAGTCAGATGGTGGTTGGGGCTGGGACACTAGACAACTGGAGCAGTGGAGACTGGCATCTCATTCTCTTCACCTTGTCTCTCCTGTGGGGTAGCTTGGGCTTCCTTATAGTGTGGCGGGCTCGGAGCAGGCAGATGGCTTACACCGCAACTCAGGCTCCAAATGTGTGTCCCAGGAGAGCTGGCAGAAGCTGCGTTCCCTGTTTGTGACCTAGCCTTAAGGTCACAGAGTGTCACTTCTACCAGAGCTGTAGCCCACCTAGATTCAGGGAGAGGAAACACAGGTTCTGCCCTCTCGATGGAAGGAGTGTCAAAGCCATGGGTAAGCAGAGCAGGCACGGGAGATGTCATTGCAAGCCAACTTTGGGAAATACATTTTGTCTCAGGTGGGGAAATTGCATGAACAAATGAACTCCCTCATAGCAGGGAATGGAGAGTGCCACCTGAGATTTGATGGGCAAACTGAGAACTGGGAGAGAAGCAAGAGAGGAGGCAGCGAGTGACTGAGGAGATGTGGGCAGGGAGAGAGGAGGAAAGCCAGGTGATGTTCTGGGCATGAAGCCAGGCTTGCTGTGGGTGCTCCAAGGCAGATGTGAACGAGTGAGGATGGGAAAGAAGTGGGGTTGGCCAGGACCATGGGAACACGTGGCTCTTGTTTTTTAGTTGTTCTCTCCGCTAGCTGGAGCCTACCCTTTTTTCCTCTTAGATTTTTAAACAGCGTTTTATTAGGAGAAATTTAAAATTATCCTTGTCTTTTTTATACTGTCTCCTCATTTTGCCTTGTCGTGGCATGTGTTTTTACTCATTTGTTTTTCGAATAGGTAATACATTCACATGTGTTCAATTAAAAAGGATACCGAAGGATGTACACAGTGCAAATTAAGTCTGCTTCTGACCTAATTCTTCCAGAGACCATCACCGTTACTGGTTTCATGTGTGTCTTTCAGAAAATATTCTCTACCATTGTTACCTCTTTGATGCTGACTGTACACATTAGCAGGGCTGATTTGCTCCTGCTTTGGTTTTAGCCTCGATGGCATAGAGGCCCTTCCATAGCATGAACAGCCCTCTCCAGACCCATCTACTCACCTTTGTGAGAGGGCAGAGCCTACAGACTCAGGGCTGACCTCAGCCCTGGATTCTGTTCAAGCTTTTTCTGAACCTGTAATTTTAAGTGCTGCTTCTAATTCAAGTCAGACTTTTTCTATGTTGGCTTTTCATTTTTGCTTTCTATGGTTTCTCAGTGTTCTTTCACCCCTAAGATCATGATTTTGAATTTTTATTTTTTATTTTTGGTTCTAAGGCACAGAGAGTTTAGTAGACAAGAAGGAAGGGAGAAGACAGAAGGAAAAAGCTGCCCCATACAGAGACAGAGGGAAGGGGGCTCCAAAGCTGAAAGAAGAGGTCCCCATGATTGTGAAATTTTTTGTTCTCTCACTTACATGCACCTTTCCATGGCATAGGGGAATATATAGTTAGGGAAATGCAGGGGCTTTCAATACTGGTATCACAGAATTACACAGTCTTGGAGCTGAAAGGGGATTTTAAGGATTGTCTAGGTGTTTTTCTTCTTTAAAAAAAATTTTAAAATTTTGCTTATAGGGAATCAGCCTTAGAGAAAAAGTTAAAAGATTATGTAAGGTCTCTTCTTCCACCCAACTCAAAAAACACCCCCAAACCAAAACCAACTCTGCTGGACTTCCTGGAATGGTTGATGACCTACTGAGATCTGATTTCCCAGAGCAGGAGGTGGGAAGTGCTTGATCCGGCAGTGGGTGGGAATGGTTGAACCCAGGACATCCCAAATGGCTGGAATGTAGGACAGTGGTACCATGCCCAGGCTGGGACCAACTTCTTAGCTGGCCTTCAAAGGGACAGATGGCAGCTGAACTCTGCATAAAGCCCAAATACAGCTCACAGAACCCAAAGACTGTGTCTCTGCAGCGTGCAGCATTGGTCTATATAGCATTTGAAGCTATTTTTTTCTCTGTAAGTGTCCACAAAATTCGTCACTTTACAATGAGCCTGGCAGGATAGCTGCAGTGAAGAAACTCTCCACACAGGTCCCAGTGTCTCTTCTGGAATTTTGCCTGAGCAAGTAAATCAAATGCTTGGTAAACACACTGATGTCACTGTCCCTAGCCATGGAGATTTAGAACTTTTTCAAAACCCCTTTCTCTCTGTGGCCCCACTTGTTTCTCGCTGCAGCCTTTTATTTTTCTGGAGTTGGCTGTGGTTCTCCCTCATGCTCCAGGCCAGGCTCTGTGGGCTGGACAGGTATGGCTAGTTAATCCTGCCAGACGAGGTCAGCTCTGAGTTAATGAGTACAGCCTCTCTTTCTCCCCTCCAGAGCATGGATTTCCTTTAATGCTTTTCTTAAGTTTGAGGAGACAAAAATATATGCCTGAAAAAGGATTACTGGGAAGAATTAAACACGAGTCCTTCAGCACGCACGTGTCCATTTGTTGCCTTCCAGGTTTGCTTTCTTCTCTGCCTGCGAGGCTTCTCATTCAGTATGCTGCGTTGTGTGGTTAGCTGTTCCATAGTTATGTTGAAAGTGGCTTCTCAGATGCTGCTTGAGTCCTGGGGAATGTCACCATCCAATGACAGTCTAGCTGAGAGATGCTAGCACGCCCACCCCTTCTTCCCCCCACAGATCCATATCTCATCTGGCTGTGCACAAAAAGCAACTGATAACTCCTGTTATCAGCACTAGGTGGGGTGGGAGGTTTTGGGGGATGGTCAGCATTTTCTGGTTTCGATTACCATGCAAGTATTTTAAATCTGCAGCTCTGGCAAACTGATAACCTCCACAACTATATCATCAGAGCCCTCATTAATGGAATCATTTTCTAATTTGAACATCTTGTTTGTCCTTCCTCTCATTTCTTAGTGAACTTGTCAGTCTTCCCCAGCCCTTCACTGGTTGAGTTGTGCAAGTTTGGAGTCTTTTGCTTTTCAGGAATAGGCTCTGCTCTCAGTGACCGTTTCTGTGTCTTGAACTTTGTGGCGAGTGGAGCTTATTTGGGAGTTATAGGGTCTGCAGTTGATGGAGACGTTGAGGAGGATTGAATGCCAGGTATTTTAAAGTGGCCTTGAATTAACTGTTTTCTGGCATCTTTCTCAAATCGATCCATGGGTTATCATGGCCTTTGGAGGCACCTCCCATCTGAATGCTTGCCATCCATCAGCTGAGTGACTGTTGACCTTTGCTCCCTATGTCCTCCTGTGGGCTGGCTGGGGAAGATCACTTCTCAGAGGCACATGGCAGGATGGTCTAGAGAGTTGGTTGGGCCCAGGGAATAGATTCTCTGTCCAGTGATGACCTCATCAACTTCTCCCCAGTAGTTGCCTAAGACCTGGGAATTGTGGACAGCTACCTGGATATCCCCACATTCTCTTGCCTGTTAACTACATCTCTTTACTATCTCTCTGGCCAGACCACCCCCTTTCACTCCCAGTGGAGGTCCAGTGATCTGATTTGGTTGGGGTCCTCAGCAGCTCTCACCTGGATCACCGCAGGACCATGAAGGAATCTTCTGCCAGGGCCCCTTTCCCATCACTTCTGCCAGAACAATCTTCCCAAGGCAGGATTTGGAATATCTGTTTCCTTATTTACACCCCCAGTGGCTCTCCACTGCTCATAGTTCAAAGCCCATGCTCTTTTTTTTTTTTTTTTTTTTTTTTGAGACAGCGTCTGGCTCTGTCGCCCAGGCTGGAGTGCAGTGGTGCGATCTCGGCTCACTGCAAGCTCCGCCTCCTGGGTTCACGCCATTCTCCTGCCTCAGCCTCTCAAGTAGCTGGGACTACAGGAGCCCGCCACCGCTCCCGGCTAATTTTTTGTATTTTTAGTAGAGACGGGGTTTCACTGTGTTAGCCAGGATGGTCTCGATCTCCTGACCTCATGATCCACCCGCCTCGGCCTCCCAAAGTGCTGGGATTACAGGCGTGAGCCACCATGCCCGGCCAAGCCCATGCTCTTTAGTAGAGCACCCTATCCCTGCCCTGGCCTGGCCCCTGTCTGCTGCTTCCTCTTGGTCTTCCTCTACTTTCATGGACCCTACCACCCATCAATGTCAAACTGCTGCAGTACTCTGGACCTCCAGCTCCTCATGCAGCTCTGCATAGATTCGAGCTGCTCTCTGCTGAGGTCCTATGTCAAGTCCTCCCCACCCCACCATGATCTAGCAGAAATACCTACTCATCCTAATTAAAACTGGGCACAAGCCACCTCTCTTGTGTGAAGCCTTTCCTGACGCCCATGGAACACCTAGCTCAGTGCATCTTTCACAGTGCCACGCTTTGCCGCCTCTGTTTACTTATCTATCTCTGCCTCCTAGACTGTAAAGATTGGGTCTTGTAGCTCATCAGCCCAGTACAGTGTCCAGCAAAGAGGAGACACCATATATATTTTTGGAATGAATGAAACAGAAGCTTAGAGTCAGAGATTGTGGGTTTGGATGCCAACTCTGTATCCCACTGACAATTTTTCCGAGCCTCAGTTTGCTCATCTCATCAGTAAAATGGGGAATGTACACTTCCCTCACAGGGTGGCTGTGAGATTAAAGTAAGAAGACACCTTTGGAAATGCTAGTTTGCTGCAGATTTGGCTAGTACCTGGAATTCAGCAGGCACTCAGTCCTTATTTCCTGTTTCAGGTGATAACCAGAGAGAAAGCCTCTACTTCAGGAGACTACATCTCATTGTGCCTTTTGTCTTCTTCCAAAGAGGCTTCTCTGATCTTGCCCCTAATTAGGAGGGCGTGCCTGGAGAGCCCCTTAACAGCATCTGGGCAGGGCTTGCCACCAGGGGGCAGAGGCTTTTGAACCATCACTGCTTTGTCAGAGCCTGTAGCGAATGTTCAAAGCCCAAATCTTGTTCCAAATCCCATTCCCTCCAGGACCCTTGCCTTCAGTGGGGATTTAGAAATGGCCCCATGCTGTATGTCACGTCCTTGGCTCTGTGTAAGTCAGCGACAGCCTGCATGTTAATGCCTAAACTTCTGCTTTCTCAAGATTCCTCAAACCATCTGTCATTCAGGTGCCTTCCTTGTACCCTGAAAGGATGATTTTCATCAGGGCTCACAGTCTCTGTTAATGCCTCATGAAGGCATCCAATTGGAAGAAGCAAGAGAAGAGATGCGTTAGAAGGCTTGGAAGGGATCAACATGGAATGGAAAGTTTAATAACTCAGAAAATAGGAGTTTTTAGGAAAGCGGCTAAACAGCTTTAAGAAAAAGTAAATGAGGTCAAACCTGTTCAACCAGGCCCTTGTGCATTAAGTAGCTCAAATAGAGGGCAACTGATTAACCATTTGACACTTCACACACCTGCAAAGTTGACCTGACCAGGCTGGCTCCAGCCAATTTTGCAATCATTTTCTCGCCACCCATTCCCTATTTCACATCAGCCCCCCTCCCCCACTTCAGGCTCCTTGGCCACCTCCCTCCTCTCCACTTACACAACCTGAATTCATCTGTACCAAAATATTCACCCCTCTCTGACTTCTTTTTTTGGGTTTTATGAGGCAGGTGGTCTGAGAAATTGCTTATGACTGTTGGTCCTAATTATGAAGCTAATTCATTCAGACTATGGAATACTTAGAAAACACAAAGTGCAAAGAAAAAACAATCCCTTATTACCCCACCTCCCTTTAGCGTTTTTTAAATATACTAGCCCAGTCCTTTTTCCACACATATATAGAGGTGTGTGGGTGTTTATCTTTACGAAAATACTTTCAAATCCTTTTATAGCCTTTCTCCCCTTTTACTTAGTAGTGTGCTTTCAGCATTTTTAGGTGTTCATAAATATTGTTCTCTGCAGTTTTTAAATGGTTGCATACTATTTCACCACATGGGGAGAGTGCTGTAATTGACTGATGGATTCTTTGTTTGGGGACCTTTTCCTGCTTTTGTGACCCACCCCCCTATGGTATAGTGCTCATTCTTGTACCTTCTTTTGGAAGTCCCTGAACTCTCCAGCTTGGTCTTGTGTATCTGCGAGGGCCCTGTTTCCCAGTTGTCTTCTCTGGGCTGCTGCAGAATTAGTCTCTACTTCCACAGTTCTGTTATTTTTGCATCTGTGATGCTGGCTTATCTGTGCCTCCCTAGAAAGAATGAGCAGGGCCCACTGCCTACTGCCTGGTCATAGTTATGCTCAAGAACATGGTCCTTGAATTGAATAGGGAAAATGTCCAATCCAGGGCTACCCACTGATGAGAGCCAAGCACAGGAGCCTGAGCCACCAGCAATGAAAGTCAAAGCTGAGGGGGAAGGAGCGGCCATCCATTATTATCATACGTAACACGTGCTTGGGAAAACCCCCAGAAGCAGTGTCAGTGCTCTCAGTATTTATTTTTAGTTACGTGTAGATGTTCATGCTTTATGAGTATGCTAGACATATTTCAGGGTGCCTGCCACCCACACTCTTGGTGGGGAATGGTTTGGGGGCCCTTCACAGTCCCTGTTGCCCAAAGTGGTTATATGCTGGGTAATGGAATACAGATGCCCATCTGGTCAAGGTCACCTAGATCTGAGTGTGTTGGGGAAATGCACATTGTAAATGACCCCAAAATCTACAACTCTGGGGGCCTGGTTAAAAAAAAAAGTCTCCCAGCCAGTCAGATTGCTTTCTGGGGAATTTGCGCTGAGAACCACAGTGGGGAGTGCAGCAGCAACAGGCATGTGTAAGCTGAGTATTTGGAGCACAGAAACTATGGCTGAGTAAAGGAACTTTGTCCCTGAAGAGTGGCGGGAGCTGTCCTGAGGAGGGTGGTCTAAGTCACAAAGGTTTTCCAGTTCTGGTCCTTGCAAGGCATAGCTGTGCTGTGATCCTCACTCATGGGTTGCCCTGAAATCCCACAGTGTCTTTTTGTATCCTTTCTCCATCCTCTCCACTTCTGCCCACACACTGGAGCTAGTTATTGGGGCTCTGCTTATTGCGATTATCCAGCTATCATCCAAGAGGATGGCACATTGGCTAGTGCTTCCACTGCTGAGAGGGTCACAGCAGTGCCTTGGGCAGAGTCAGGAGAAGAGGAATATTCCTGTTTTGTACCGGAGTGCTTTCCAGGGTGAAGAGCTGAAGGGGCTGCTCTGAGTAGGACACGGCTCTGAGGTTCCTTTGGAGACCCCAATTCACTGCCTGGGCATTCCTAGCTAGGCAGCCCCATTTTCTAGTTTTGTGTCTCCATGGCCTAGTGTTGGGAGACAGAAGGTGGGGACACTGTGTTGAAGGACACAGCAGACTGACTTATCATGGGCTTCCTGAAGCCAGGGCCACCCCTTTGTATCCAGGTCTAGTTCTGATGCCACTTGAAAAAGCCCCCCAAGTGCTTTTGCTGTTGGCGCCCCGCATCCCTCTGCTGCCTGGTAGCTGACATCCTGACGCTGCCTGCAGATGCGCTCCCGGCCTGTTGTCAGCAGGGCCCTGGGCTTAGCAGTCCTCTTCCTGAAGCTGTGAGAGCATTGAGAGGCGCACTGCTGGGGCCCTGCCAGCTCCAGGAGGAGGTGCAGGCAGTGCTGAGTGTGGCAGGAGCTGTGGAAGTTATTCCAGTCCTCTTTAGGAGAGGGTGGTGGTGGCGGCCAGTAGAGGGACTGTTTGAAATCCAGCAGACACCTTTCTCCCAGACTGAAAATCTGGGGACCAGACTGAGAGTCTGGAGAAACTGGGGTATCCTAGGTCCAGAAATGAAGCGTAAAATAATAGCAACAGTAATTGCTGTGAAATGTATGCTGTGAGAAGGAATGAGGCACTTACTGGTTCGAGTGATGGTCCTTTTACTGGAACTCACTCTAAGCTGCGGTTCACTGAGCCTCTGGACTTCTCAGAGGGAGTGTTGCCACGAAGCTGCCCTCTTTAAAAAAAAATGCCCAACACTCAGCCTATTTCTGTTATCTCCAAAACCGGACGGAAAGAAAGAGCGGTCAGAGTAATTACAGGGAGAACATTTACAGGCAAGTAATCTGATCTTGCCTTTTAATTTTTTTCCCCTCTAGAAAATAGAAGGCAAATACTAGCACTTATATTTACTTATAAGCATTTCTATTAGATGCTGCCTTGATTCTAGGTTGGGCTGAAAAAAGTGTCTATTCCTGTGGCTGTGGGCATGGCTGGCCTAGGGCAGGCTGCAGGGCTCCCTCGCTGCCTTTCTTTTTGGATGCTGCTTCTGTGCTGTCTTTCGCATGAGAGTGAGGGGGAATGCAGGTGAGAGGGTGGCAGGACTCAGGTGCTATCCCTACCTTTTCTGGGAGGAGTGGAGGATGGAGTCAAAGAAATGAGCGATAGGAGAGGAGGAGCAGAATAGAAGGGCGGGAAGTGGGGTCTTTTGGGCTTTCCTGGTTCCAAGCATGGCATAGGGTGAAATAGCCATGGACATCCTGAAAGTGATAAGGTCTTCCCTGGGGTTTCAATGGTCATGGATAAGAGAAGCTGGGGATTGTACAAATTCAGGTGGGGAAAGGATAAGCAGTAGAAGGCATGGGCTTGTTGGTTATAGAAAAAAAAAGTATAAATAACCTAAATATTCATTAATATTGGAATAAATAAAATGTGGTGTAATCCTATGATGGAATACTGTGCAGCTATATAAAGAGGAAAAATGGGAACTATATTTGATCTCAAAAACTTTGAGGAGGAAAACTGAGGATCATAACTCAATGAAAGGGACGATAATGTTTATGTAAAAAATGCTGAAAAATAATGTGTATTTTTCAGTGGTTACATATATCTGGATATAAAAGCATTTTTTTTTTAAGTCTGGAGAGCTCTATCCTTAAATCACAGTAGTGCTAATCTCTGGAAAAATGAGGGGAAGCAGGGTTAGTGGTAGTAGTCAGAAGAGATAAAAGACTTAAAATACTGTAATTTTTAAAATATTTAAGTAAATATTCTAATCTAAGTAAATAGTAGCATGTTTAAAATATTTTTGAGTTATGGTTTAGCAGTCCTCTAAGGAAGCAGCTTCAACATTTAGTAATGAGGGAATTAGGCAGCAGCTTAGAAGCAGCCACCCATCCCTGGGGCTCAGTAGCTAAATGTCTCAACCTAGGACAATCAGGCAGTCTAGTGACACAGCAGTGCAGACATCAGAGAGATCAGTCAGGTTGGGATGAAATGAATTACTGGGTTTGCAGTCCTTTTGGATGGTTCTGTAGCTGGCAGTTACATCTTCTTAGAAGTAGTATCAATAATTTAACATTCATTAATCATCATCTTTAGACCAGCTCTATTTTAGGTACCACTGGGGATTCAGATAAGAGAAAGAATGAAAGAGTGAATGAATGATATTTTTGTCCTTGGATTTAAAACCAGGCCAGGCCCTCATCTTGTCGCATTTGACTGTGAATTTGGTCTGTCTGCTTCCAGTCCTGCCCTCTGCTCTGTCCTCCACCTGCCACCAGAGTGATAATTCGAAAGCGTAAATCTGATCCGTCTTCTTCCTTACCTCTGTTAGGCTCTTTCTCAACTTCCCCAGTCCCAGAGGAGGTGTTTGACTTTATTAATGTGCCTTTCGGTGCCCTTTTCCGCCTGGCACTGATGTGCCCTCCAGTCATGTGACAAAACGACCTCCGCAAACTTCTTGCTAATCCTGGAATGCACTGCAGTGTTTTCACGTGGTATATATTTCCCTTGTGCTTTGGGACCCAATTCAGATGTCACTGCTTTTTTGAAGGCTTTTTGAATGCTTTCACTTTCTGAAAGGGCTTAACCTTGCACTTTGCACCTCACTGCTATTGTATACCATTAAAATGATTAGTTATGTGTATTTATTTTAGGATTGTCAGCTTAGGACAACTTGTCAACTATGTCTTATCAATCTCTCCCTCACAGTTTCTGTCCTAGTATCCATCATAATAGGTACTGAAAAAAATGTTGATTGAAGCCATAGCATATGTTCTTGTTACCTTTCTATGTAACAAATGTTTCCAAACCTCAGTGGCTTAAAACAACAATTTTGTTATGCTCACAGAATCTGTGGGTCGAGAATTTAGAGGCACAGCAGGCATGGCTGGAAGTTCCAAGGCTGGGGGCAGCTCACAGTGGAGGCTTGTTCACTCACATGGTGGCAGGTGGAGCTGGGTGCTGATTGGCTCATTCACTCACATTGTGGCAGGTGGACCTGGCTGGAGCCAGCTCTGGACTGGAGCACCTGCCCAGGGCCTCTCCATGTGCCTTGGGCCCCCTCACAGCATGGCCTCAGGACCGTTGGCTGTCTTATGTGGTGGTTCAGGACACCCTGAGTGAAATGGAAGCTACATCACTTTCCATGACCTAGGATTGGAAGCCACACAGTGACTTCCTGCCCAGATACACAGAGAAGGGAATTATTCTAAACTCCACCTCTTGATGGGAGTGTGTGGCATGGTCACATTGCAAAAGAGCATGTGGGAAGGAGATATTGTTACTGCTGTGTCTGGAGAATACAACCTGCCACGGTGTGTGGGAGAAATTAGTTCCACAGCTAGAGTTAATATCACTACTATTGCTACTACTGCAACTAGTGGCTAAACATTTATTGAGCACTTATTGTGTGCCAGGAATTAAGTTTTAAATGTAGCAACTCATTTAATCCTTCCATAACGCTGTGACAATTATACCACTTTACAGATGAGGAAACTGAGGTGCAGAGAGGTTAAGTAACCAGCCCAAGATCTCACAGCTACTGCCCATGCTGTGGGAAGTCAGTGAAGGCGAAGACTTAGGAATTCGATCCAAACTTTAGGTTTGCTGCTGGATTGTGACAGTGCATTTATCACATGGGAATTGATGGCTGTTTCAAGAGCCATTTTTTTTTTTTTTTTGAGACAAGATCTCGCTCTGTCACCCAGGCTGGAGTGCAGTGGCACAATCATTGTTCACGGCAGCCTCGGCCTCCCAGGCTCGAGGGATCCTCAGGGACCTTTTTTTTGTTTTTTTTTTAGATAGAGTCTTTCTCTGTTGCCCAGCCCACAGTGCAATGACATGATCTCGGCTCACTGCAACCTCCACCTGCTGGGTTCAAGCGATTCTCCTGCCTCAGCCTCCGGAGTAGCTGGGATTACAGGCGCACATCACCATGCTGGGCTAAATTTTTGTATTTTCAGTAGGGACAGGGTTTCACCATATTGGCCAGGCTGGTCTCGAACTCCTGACCTCAGGTGATCCACCTGCCTCGCCCTCCCAAAGTGCTGGGATTATAGGCATGAGCCACTGTGCCTGGCCTCAAGGGACATTTTTGATGAAAGTATGGATCCAGATAAGGTCCTTGCACCTGTGGGCTTGGGAAGCTGAACCTCGAGCTGTCCTGGTTTTATGGTTCCACTTGTGCCATCTGGACCTTGGTTAGACTGTCCCTTGATGGCAGTGACATTGACCGAATGGGCTGGAGTGCAGTGGTGCGATCTCGGCTTGCTGCAACCTCCATCTCCCAGGTTCAAGCAATTCTCCTGCCTCAGCCTCCTGATAGCGTGTGCCATCACACCCGGCTAATTTTTGTATTTTTAGTAGAGCTGGGGATTCACCATGTTGGCCAGGCTGGTCTCGAACCCCTAACCTCAAGTGATCCATCTGCCTTGGCCTCCCAAAGTGCTGGGATTACAGGCATGAGCCACCGTGCCTGGCCAGTGCAAGTGTGTTTAGCCAGCTTCATTTACTCCCTAACTCCTTGCCTCAGATTCTGCATCCGTAAAGTGAGGTCACTAGGAGTATTGACCTCAGAGGGCTGTTGCAAGGTTAAAGCTGGTTATACAAGCAGAGTACTTGGAACAGTGTCAGTTACCTGGCTGGGGCTCAGTAAGTGCTGGCTGTCCTTATTGGAAAGGTTCAAGTGTTGTGTTTTCCTGTCACCTGATCTGGAAAGAGGTCAAACAAAGGATCTTTTAGCCCATGCCACTTCCTGTCCTTCCTTGGCCGAAGGCTGACAGGTAAGAATCCCCAGAAGTTGTCACCGATGTGCCTGTGGAAGTGGCCTTCCCGATTGCTTTCTCTCTGGAGCCTTTAAGTTCCATGAAGCACTTAGTTGGCCTGGACTCCACCAATTCAGCATGCTGTGGCAGCTCAGTTCAGTTCCCATTTTTAACTTGGGACTGCATAGATTCCCCATCATTTCCTTTAGGACCAGGTGGGCAAGAAGATCCAGTCAGTGCTTTATTACTTCTCACTGATATTCACAGAGCACATTTAGTGTGAGCCATGGAATAAGAAAACTCTTAGTCACATTCTGTGTCATGAGAAGTTTACTTAACCTTGAAAACCATTTCCTTGTCTGGTAAATGTGGCTGTAATGAAATCGACCCCATTCACTGTTGTGAGGATTAAATGAGATGATGTATGCAGAGAAACTAGGACAGTGCCTGGGAAAGTGCTACTCATTATGATCATTTGTCTTCAGTTTAGAACAATATATACTTGCTTATTTAAAAAAAGGAGATAATAGAGAAAAGGTATTGAGAAAAATAGGAGAGGAGAAAATCACTCAAATTCTCACCATTCAGCGATTCAGCCCAGTATCATCAATGTTTTGTTTGGTTGTTTTTGTAGGTGTAGGATTTTTTTTTTTTAATGTAATTTTACTGCATATGCAGTTTTGCATTTTTTACCCAAACTTAATGTTCTTTTTAATGTTCTTGTACTTACAAAGATTTATCCTGTTTATATATTGATATCTCACCTTGGCAGAAATGAGATAAAATTTTAAAATATTCATTTGGTGGCTTTCACAGTATTATTTGATCTCTAGGGTCTCCTGTGAGTTTGCTACATGGTATGTTGTATTACTTTCATCTTATAGATGAAGAAAGATACTAGTGTGGCTGAGTCGCATGCAGAATTTGGAGGAGCATGGTGCTGAATGAGCTTTGATGATTGTAGAGGCCATAACTGGAAAAGTAGATGTAAAATGGTGAGGTCGATCCCTCTGACACTTTCACATGCTCAGTCACGCATCTTGAACATATAAGTTGGATCCTGTGCCTAGAGAGGTAGGTTTCTGAGCCAAGGCATATTCCAAAAATTGCATGAGAAGCTGGCTTTCCCAGACACAGTGACCCCTCCCTGCTCACTAACTCCTGAGTCATACCTCCTGCCCCTAGCCAGGTTTATCTAGGACTTGAGCACAAAGAAAAAGTGGGAGCATCTTTGAACAAGAAATATCTTGAAAAACTAGTTAAGTGGTATCATGTATTTGTGGGATGGGTGATTTCAAAACCCAATCTAAAAGGACAGGACCTTGCTCATTGACAATTTATTGTCTGATGCAATGTTTCTTAATCTTTTTGGGTCTTGAATTCCTTTGAGAATCTTTTGAAGTTTATGGACTCTTTTCCCAGAAGAACACACTCATGTGTATGTAACACAATTTTGCATTCAATCTTAGGGACTGCAGGTGTCTACATTAGTTATATATTGATGTAAAAAAAAAAGCCCCAAACTTAAGGCTTAAAGGAACAATAGATGTTTATTATCTCACAGTTTCTGTGGTTCAGAAAGTCAGTAACATCTTAACTGGATACTTCTGACTCGGAGTCTCCCAGGAGGTTGCAGTCAAGATGTTGTTGGGGGGAAAGGGGCAGGTTCAGTGGCTCATGCCTGTGATCCCTACACTCTGGGAAGCAAAGCCAGGAGGATTACTTGAGCCCAGGAGTTTGAGACCAGCCTGGGCAACACAGTGAGACCCTATGTATTAGTCAGTTCTCACATTGCTATAAATACATGAGACTGGAGAATTTATAAAGAAAAGAGGTTTAATTGTCTCACAGTTCCACAGGCTGTTCAGGGAGCATAATGCTGGCATCTGCTCGGCTTCTGGGGCAACCACAGGAAACTTTCAATCATGGTGGAAGGTGAAGGGGAAGCAGGCGCGCCTTACGTGGCCAAAGCAGGAGCAAGAGAGAGAGGGGGGAGGTGCCACACACTTTTAAACAATTAGATACTGTGAGAACTCTAACAAGCACAGCACCAAAAGGGTGAAGCTAAATCATTCATGAAAGATCCATTCCTGTGATCCGGTCACCTCCCACCAGGCCCCACCTCTAACATTGGGGATTATAATTGAACATGAGATTTAGGTGGGTACAGAGACCCCAACCATATCATCCCGTCTCTATAAGAAATAAAAAATTTAGCCAGGCATGGTGGTGTGTGCTGGTGGTCCCAGATACTCAGGAGGCTGATGTGGGAGGATCACTTGAGCCTCGGAGGTCAAGGCTGCAGTGAGCTATGATTGCACCACTGCACTCTAGCCTGGGTGACAGAGTGAGACCCTGTCTCAACAACAACAAAAAGATGCCTGGGGTTGACATTATCTGAAGGCTTGACTGAGTTGACTGTGGCTGGAGAATCTACTTCCAGTCACATGCTAGCAAGTTAGTGCTAGCTGTTGGCAGGAGGCCTCATGTGGTCTTCCCCATATGGCTGCTTTGATGTCCTCATAACATCATGCTTGTCTTTTTATGACCTAGCCCTGGAAGTCACATTCCACCATTTGTGCATTTCCTATTGGTCACGTAGGTCAGTCCTATTTAGTGCATAGGGCAAGGTCTGAGAGGGGAGTAGTGCTGACTGCCCATGCCCTCTCCTGGTGCACGCCGCTTCCAGCACCCAGAAGCTCTCCTAACTCCATTATTTAGGGTTTTCATATGGGATTTCATTACATGGGTATGACTGATCAAATCACTGACCAATGCTGATTGGATCAATCTGCAGTCCCCTTCTTGTCCTTGGAGGTCTAAGGCTGGGGCGGAAAACTCCACAACTCTAAGCGTGGCCAGCTCCTTCCTTGAAACTGCCTCCGTGCTCACCTTCAGTCACCTCGTTAGCATAAACTCTGGGATGGCCAAAAGGGGCTTCTTATAAATAACAAAAGGTACTCCCATTGCTTAGGAAGTTCCAAGGGGTTTAGGAGCTCAGTGCCAGGAACTGGGGACAAAGACCAAATATGTATATATATATAAATACTACAGTAGTGAATTTTATATAGCAAACATGCATTATTTTTATTTTTGGCTAAAATTTTTTTCTAGTTATAAAACTGGTACATACTCATTGCAGAGGACTGGGGGAAGGAGTAAAATATTAAGAAAAAAATAAAAATCACTTGCCATCCTGTCACCTAGTATTTTCTTTCTAGTTCTTTTCATGCAGTTATATATAACATTTTGATCTTTCTTTCTATGTTACAGAAGTCATATTTGCTTATTGCAGAGTAATCCAAAGAGTACAGAATGTCTAAAGTTAAAAAAGTTATTTAAAAAAAAAAGATCCTTGCCTGGGAGGAACTTTCTATTGTAGGTTGGGAGGGGAGAGAGAGGGGCTGTGGGTCAGAGGATGCCCTGGTCAGGTTTGGGAGCCTGTGTCTCTTTGGAGGCAGCAGAGGTCTGCACAGCAGGGTATTACTATTATAGGGGAATGGTGGGGTGGGATGTGTGGAAGGGGAATTAAACTGCCAAGAAGAAAACAATTATTTTTATGTTGAGAAGCATTATTTTCAGGGGTCAGAAGCCCTTTGTGGGGCAGAGGGAAATTAAGGAGGTATTTAATAAACAGGTGCAGCTGAATGTGTGTGGTTAAAGTGCAATCCAGTAGTTATTTGTCTGGATTGTTTATAACCTGCTTCCAGCCTAGACAAGTTGATTTGACCCTGCTGTCCTGGCTCATTCAGGCCACTTAACACTGTTTACCATTGGGTGGGGAGGACGTGCATGATCCGCTGGCCGAGTGCCTTTGTAAGGTCTGTAAATAGGATGCATTCTGGTTAAACTCGTTATTGCCTCACAAATGCTAGTATCTGATGGGTCTCAGATGTTTTCTTTTGCACTGGGGAAGACTGGAGGAGAATGAAGCTTTCTTGAACCAGTGATTGGGTCTCTACCAAAGAGAGAAACTTAAAGCTAGTGAGAGCCTTAAGATATTTCATTTGAGCACTTGGCTGGCACCATGTAGGTAGAGACACTTTAAAGTAACAGTGCTTTGCTACACCTGATTTGAATCATCTGTGGAGCTTCAAAAAAAAATCCTAATTAATCCTAAGACCAGTTATGTCAGGTGGGGTCCAGGCACTGTTAGTTCTTTAAAGCTCCCCAGGTGATTCCAGTGTAGGTCCAGGATTGAGAAGCAGTCCTTAAAGATGCTGGTGTACCCTGACTTGCCTCTAGCCTTCTTTGCAGGAGATGTATGGGGGTTGGTTGTAGTTGCGCTGTCATAGAACACCGCAATTCAAAGGATACCTAATGTTATGAATGTAGTTAAATTGTTTGCAAAATGTTCTGTGTTTCAGGAATACTGCAATCATTTGATTAAAATGTCACCATATTTGTGTGTGTATACAGTCATGGGTCACTTAATGATGGGGACATGTTTTAAGAAGTGCATCATTCGGCAATTTCATTCTTGTGTGGACATCATAGGGTGTACTTCAACAAACCTAGATGGGATATATATTTTCATTTATATATTTTATTATGGAAAATGAAATGTCCCAGCACTGTTACTGAATATCAGTCATTTCCCCTACTTGATCTGCCATGCCAACATTAAGTGCCATATATTAGATCTCTATATATGCTCCATTATAATCTTACAGGATCACTGTTGCACATGTGTTTCCTCATTGATTGAAATGTTATTCAGTGCATGACTGTACATATAGTAAAAATGTTATGCATCATATTTTAACATACTGATATTACTAATGAGTTGTCCTCATGGTTACTTTAAATATCATAATTAATGCCATCAACCAGAATATATCAAATAAATTCAGATACCACTTGTTCTGTTTATTTCCTTCCCCTGCCAATTTTGTATTTTTCCTGATTCTGCTGAAGCCAAGATGGGGTTCTGTGTAAGATTTTGTTTGTGAGGAAAGGTTCTGCATGAATTAAAGTTTTGCAAGCCATGGGCATTTCATTGTATGGGCCGTTTTTGAGGTCTGTCATCTTGCAGATTAGATTAGCTTACACTGAGGCACAGTCCCCTGCTGGGCTGGGCAGAGAGCTGCACTCCACTAGTATTGAGCTGTCCCGGCTGTTCACCAGCTGGATCCACTTCAGATAGGCATAGCCGGGGCAGCCGCCATTCCCATTTGTGGGGGAAAAGGGAAGCTATCACAAGAATGGGCTGCAGCTGTGGGAGGAGGTGGGCAGCCCAGCGATGGTGTCATTGTCAAGGGGCCATTGAAATGTCCTTAAGCAGTCATTGGCCAAATCCTGTCCTCTATGGATCCAGAGCCACAGAATGTTCCAGCAGAAATATGTCTTAGCCAGCAGCTCTTTATTGAGGACTGATTGTGGGCTAGGCTCTGTGGTAGGGTCTTTACAGATGTTATTAAATCTTCTCAATAACCCTATGAGACAGGCATTATTATCCCCATCTTACTGATGAGAAAACCAAGGCTTAGAGAGGTTAAGCAGCTTATCCAAGATCACAGTTAATAAGTGACAAAGCCAGCATCGGAACCCATGCTAGTCCTCTCCAAGGCCTTCTTAGAAATCATGTGATAGATGAGAAGATCAAGGTCTGGAGAAGAAAAGCAAGTTGTCTGAGATGACACAACCAGCTCTAATTGGTGGCAAAGCTGCGCCTGTAACTCACCTGCGCTTTTCACAACCTGCAGTACGTGACCACTGCCGAAATGAAGAGGCAGGGTTGTGCCCCCTCCCGCCTTCTGAGTGGCTCAGGCACAATCAGTGTTGAGTTGGCGTGAAATGAGAAATTAAACTCACCATGCCACTTTAAGAAGAACATGGAGAAGGCAGGCAGAAGTGACCTTGGAGAACAGTATCTGAGCCAGAAGGCAGGAGGTCAGCGGGGGAGTCTTGAGTGGGAAACTCAAGGGTAGCCTGACTGTCCTTGTCACAGGTTTAGCTGGGCACTGTTAGTTCCCCCCTTTGTCAGTTTGTGGGAATCTGGGCATCAGGGATCTGTTTCAGCCCTTCACATTTGTGTTTGGGTGTGCTCAGCTTAAAACGATAGCAGCCTGCAGGAGCTTAGCTCTGCCTCCATTTATGGAGGGAAGAGAAACTAAGGAATGCCCCTTGGGGTGGTGTTGGGGAGCAGCTACATGGGAAATTGAAGGGTGCAGCACCAGTAAAAAGGTGCTCCCAGGACTCCCTCCCACCAGCGCTCAGACCAAGGAAGAAGCATTTAATTTCAGCCAGATTTCTAGATGGTTGCTTTTATTTGTTTTCATCTGAATTTGTGCCAAGGATTCAACTTTTCCTGCTCATTTTATTAAAAACTTCATACACAGCATTAATAAATAGATATAAAACTGCCATATAAATGACAAACAGAGGGGCTAAATGAAATTCCCAAGGGTCAGCTGTTGAATAAGTAACAAAAGCACATCTTGGCATGATCAAATTCCCATATATGCAAATTAGGGACAGTGCTTTACCACAGAGTGTTTTAATTAATATTTATAAATCACAAAGCGCCTTTGAAAGGGCCAGTAAGCTGTTTATATTATTATCATGTCACACAAATAACAAACCCTTTGGAGATTGCTGGCTACTTTGCATTTTGGTCTGAGAAGTAAGTAAGCATGTTGTGTGTGTTTCTCTCCCTCGTAGGTGTGGTGTCAGCACAGCGGCAGGTCACCGTTCAGGAAGGACCCTTGTACCGCACGGAGGGCTCCCACATCACTATCTGGTGCAATGTGAGTGGCTACCAGGGACCTTCTGAGCAGAATTTCCAGTGGTCCATTTACCTGCCTTCGTCGCCAGAGCGAGAGGTGCAGATCGTCAGCACCATGGACTCTTCCTTCCCCTATGCCATCTACACCCAGCGCGTCCGCGGAGGGAAGATCTTCATAGAAAGAGTCCAGGGGAACTCAACCCTATTGCACATCACAGATCTTCAGGCCCGGGATGCCGGGGAGTATGAATGCCACACACCCAGCACTGATAAGCAATACTTTGGGAGTTACAGTGCAAAGATGAACCTAGTGGGTAAGGAGAAGCTGTCTTCACGTTGCCAGCGTCTGGCCTGACTCAGTTCTTTAGTAGCGTAATTTTGCTTTATGCCATGCATTTGACTTTAAAAAAAATCCCAAAACTCCCAACATATTTTAGGGGTCAACAGATAGCACAAGGAAACTAAATTTCTGTGTTCACTTCTAAATAATAGGTGGTTGAGGGTGAAACTTTAAAAAGGTCTAATGCAGATGTTAAGAATTTCATAAGTTAACTAACCCTGTAACTGGTGAAAAGGGATATGAAAATATAAGGCAAGGATGTTTGTGGTTGATGATCTGAATGACAAGGAAGATGAGACGTATGACATCAGTTGGAAGAGAGGAGAAACCTCTCAGAAGGATAGGCCTTTGGGCAGCTCTGAGACCCACGGGGCACTGCTGAAGCAGGAAGCACATGTGGCTGTGGGTCCTTGCTCAGACCTTGTACATTGAAGGTCCTTTGGCTCCATGCGTAAGGAACTATGAACTGGCTGTCTCCCTTGTTGCTCCTTAATGCTGAAGGAAACATGAGGAAGAGGGATGCAGGAGCTTCCATTGTGGGCAGCACTGGTCATAGTGTTTGCCAGTGTCAAAGGGTTAACCATTATCAAGGCTGTTCTGTTTTTCTGCCTATCTTAATGTCCAGTTTTTATTATCACAACTAAGCAGTGGGTGTTGCTAGTTCTTTTATTAATACACATACTATCATTTGTTTATTTTTACTTTCTCTAACTAGTCTGTGTCCCAGCAGGAGACCTTTTTTTTTTCGTGTGTGTGTGTGTGTGTGTATGTGTGTATGTGTGATGGAGCTTCGCTCTTGTTGCCCAGGCTGGAGTGCAATGGTGCGATCTTGGCTCACTGCAACCTCCACCTCCCGGGTTCAAGCAATTCTTCTGCCTCAGCCTCCCGAGTAGCTGGGATTACAGGCATGCACTACCATGCCTGGCTAATTTTGTATTTTTAGTAGAGACGGGGTTTCTCCATGTTGGTCAGGCTGGTCTCGAACTCCCGACCTCAGGTGATCCGCCTCCCTCACCCTCCCAAAGTGTTGGGATTATAGGTGTGAGCCACCGCACTTGGCCGTTCCCAGCAGGAGACCCGTAAGACCCAAGCCTTGGGTGAGAACAGGGAGAAAACACATACTAGTTGTGACTAGGGTACTCTCATCAGACAGAAAGGTGGTGCTATTTAATCTCCAGAAAGGTGCAAGCAAGGATCAGGGTATGATTCTGACCAAGGGATCACGGAGAAAATCTCTTCTCTTGCCTGAATCTCTCCAGACTGTGGCTTCCTTCCAGTGAGGACCCCTTTGATCGATGAATTATGCGAAAATTAAACCCACTAAAAATAGGGTATGATGATTATTTTTTCTACCAAAAATGGTTTTTTAAAAAAATCATCTTCCTAGGGCTGCATTGCTGAAGTAAGTTACAGGATGGGGATGTGGGAAGGAAAGAAAGGATGTTGTATAGAAATGTAAAACTAAAAGTTCCAGGAGGCATTTCCATTACAGGATCAGTCAGAAGTGAAGTTAAAGTATCTCAGAGAAGTGCCAGAATCAACAGCAAATGTTATTTGACCTATAAGACAATTGTTTAAAGACAGTATTTTCAGGGAGTTTATTTATTATGTAATATGAAATACACCCCATGTTTTATCCAAGTGTTATTAAAATACCAGACAGGTAAGTGTAAGCACCAAAATAATGCATTTCCAAATCCAAACAGAAAACTTTCTGTTTATGTGCATTTGGGGCTGTCTGTGGCCTTGAATCGATGGTTCAAGGATGACTGTTAGGGGCGCAGTGCAGTGACGCCTGCGTGGAATGGGAGCTTAGCCCTGGGAGTCTCAGATTCTGTGGCTTTGTGACTGCACTCTCAGGACATTTCTGTGTTGCAGTGATCCCAGACTCCCTGCAGACCACTGCCATGCCCCAGACTCTGCACAGAGTGGAGCAGGACCCGCTGGAGCTCACTTGTGAGGTGGCCTCAGAGACCATTCAGCACAGCCACCTGTCTGTGGCCTGGCTCCGGCAGAAAGTTGGCGAGAAGCCCGTGGAGGTCATCTCCCTGAGCCGAGATTTCATGCTTCACTCCAGCAGCGAATATGCCCAGAGGCAGAGCCTGGGGGAGGTGCGGCTGGACAAGCTGGGGAGGACCACCTTCCGCCTCACCATCTTCCACCTGCAGCCTTCTGACCAGGGCGAATTCTACTGCGAGGCCGCCGAGTGGATCCAGGATCCGGATGGGTCGTGGTATGCTATGACCCGAAAGCGTTCCGAGGGAGCCGTGGTCAACGTCCAGCCAACTGGTCAGTCCCTCTGAGCCTCTTGTCCTGTCCTTTACTTGGTGGTGAAGGCTGTCAGATACTGGGAGAATGTGGAGACTCCTTCTTTGGGCACCTCTACCAGGACAGCAGGTTTTCATGTGAAGTTAAAGCCGGTCTTGTGTGCGGCTGGAGGGAGCTGAGGGATGTGTGGGACATAGGTATCCTAAGACCTGAGTCACAGGCAGGTGCCACACAGACTGAGTCCTGCTTAGAGACATGCTTTCTTTGACCTACATGGTGTTTATACTTTTTTGAATTAGAAACTCATTTTAAAAATTGGGAGATTTCTGAGAAACCATTTGTATCTTAAAAGTCTGGGCTTTCATTCCCATTAGGCACAGTTGCTGCCCCGTTTAATGATGTTGCCTTCCTCAGGTACCCATCTGGTTTCATTTGCAGAAGCCATTTGAGATAATGAGACTTCCATCCAAGGTCTAACATTATGAACTAGAGAAATTTTGGCTTAAATTATTATTTTTTATCTAATAATAGTCTTTGGTGATATTTTTTAATTTCCAAAATGCTTTATCACATATTACTTCACCATCCCCCAGACGTTCTGTGAGGTGAGTAGGTGGTAGTACTCCTATTTTGCAGGTGAAGATGCTGAATGCAGATTACTTTATGTTGGGGCTCAAGAGGAGTCATAGGGCATGTTGATGAGGCCAGTCTGAGAGTACCAAGTTCCACTGTAGATGTTTTCTTAAGTGAAGGCCTGGAAGGGGTCCTGAGGAGGTTGCATGATGTCTTTAGAGCTGAGGCAAAATGATGGTGGCACAGCCAGCTGAAACCCTCCCTGGCTTCTCTTGGTATCTCCTGTGGCCCCAGACTCTACTCCCCAGTCTCCTGAGCCCACCAGGCTCCAGGCCAGAGCTGACAGCTGTTGCTGGCTGCCTCTGCTGGGCTGAGGGCAGGTTCTCACATGGGCCTTCAGATCCCCCAGCTTTGGTTGGAGCATGGTTGTTGTGCCATCACTAAGTTGGCGATGAGTGGCCTGAAAGCCTTTCCTTGTGCGGAAGCTCACTTCTGGTGAGGACTGTGGTGGTTCTGGTGAGTGAGTGTGGCTTGTGGGAAATGACCTGGTGAGTTGCAGTACAGGTGGGGTCCTTCGTCAGGACCTGTCTCTTGGGCTCCCTGTTCCATTTGCTGCAGTCAGTTGTCTGGGTCTTTGCATACTTTCTCTGCCATTCTAGAGTAATGCTTCAGACTCAGCTAACAGTATACATTTTGGGGCTTCGTCCCAGAAGTCTTCAATTGGAGGCTCCTGGGATGGGACCTGGGAAGCTGGATTTCCGGCACGCTTCCCAGGTGATTCTTCTGCTATCTACATTTTTTTCAAGCAAAGCTTCTAGGGCAGAAGCAATTCTCTGGACATCACTTTAATAAGTCATCTAATGGATGTGAAATCTTTTACCGTAGGGGTTGGTAGGGATAGGGAGCACTTTATCTGCTCTGTAGGACATTTAGCAGCTTCTGGATCTTTCAATATTAAAAAATCTATCCAAGGGGCTTTATTTTATATTTATCCTTTCCCTTCCTGGATAGTTTTAAGATCAACTTCAAAAATTTGGGCCAAATTTTGAGTCTTAATGCTTTTAAATTAGGTTGCATCAGTTAATCTTCTTTATTTTAATCTTACCAATTTGGAATTAGAACTTTTTGAATTTACCCTGAAAATGTATCTAGACTAAGCCAGCAAAAGGAAAACTAAGTGAAAAAAAAGTTGATGACTTCACCCTGCATTCCTGTGCTGTTTAGGTTCAGCAGTTGCATCTCCAACTCTACCCTTCTTAGTTTATTTCAGTAAACATGTAGCCAGTCTCCACAGCATTGAAGGTGTGATGGTGATAGGCATTAAGGGCTTCAAAGATGACTAGCACTGGTCCCTGCACTTAGGCAGACCTGAGAGCCAATGGACAAGTAAAATGTGCTAAGTGCATTGATAGCATTTGTATAGAGTGCTCTGGGAATACCGGAAATAGGAAGTGTTCTTGCAACCACAGTTATCTCTGAATGGGATGGTTGATAAGACAAATCCAGGAACACCAATAAGTTTCTTGAGTTGAACTGAGTCTGGAAGCTTGAGGAGTCAGCAGGAGGAGAAGCATAAAAGTGCAAAAGTGTTTGATATGTTTGCCAAGCAGAAAGGAGTCAAGTATGACTAGTTCCGGATGTTGAGTTCCAGATGTGTGTGATGAGAGAGGAAAGGGACCCCGAAGCCCCAAATGCAGTGATATAGAGCCGGGGCTTGACTCTGTGAGCCAAGAGTTTTCAAGCTGTTCTTGGAACCCTGGAAGCCCCTCAAAGGTGCCTAGGAGGTTAGACATGGGTGTGTGTTGGTGTTCATGTGCACGTATGTGCACCCAGGAGTGCAGGGAGAAGGCATGCGAGGGCCTGGGTGGTCCCCTCTTGCTTCAACTATGTTGGGCAGCAGAAGATTTTGTATGAATAAAAAGTCCCCTTCCTTTGTCCTCTTCTTAATAAAGTTTGAAAACCTCTGCTGCAGACAGTTGGAGAGGAGGTAGAGATTTTTAAGCAGGGAGTAACACAATCAGATCAGGGTTTCAGAAAGAAAAACCCATGGAGGCCACCTGGAGGTTGATTAAATCTGTTGAGTCTGAAGCCAAGAGACCAGGTAGAAAAGAGCTAATAAGAGCTAAGGCTAGGTCAGTGGGTGCCAGAGGCAAAAGAATAAAGAGCAAGTGGAAGGAGGGGTCCAACTGTCTAGAAGTCCAGGGGCTAGGACTGGGGCTCTGGGGGTTCCTTGAACTGTGGGAGGGAAGGAACAATAATGAGGACATGCGGGACTTTTGCATTTGTGGCAGCATTGGCTGCCTTTTGTTTTTGTAAATTCTAATGAAAGAGCCCATCCATCAGGTAGACTCTGATAGAGATGCTCAGTATGCGAAACACCCAGTGGGTCCTCAGACACAGGGGTCTGGGGCTCAGAGACCGAGCCTGAGAGTGATCAGGGCCCTGGAAGAGCCCATGGGGTAAAAATGGGAAAGGACCTGGGAGAACAGCAGCAGTAAGAGGTGACCAGAGAAGCAGGTGAGAGAGTGGAACAGAGTGGGCAGGCCAGCAAGAAGAAGAGCAGGAGAGAAGGGATCATGGAGCAGGCTCAGAGGCCTCAACCTGCTTGAGGAAAGCCTTTGGTTAGGATGGGGGTAGGGGTAGGGTGGATCATTTGTGACATTTGCTAAGTCAGTGAAGCCTAATTTCAGTGAGATGAAGTGGAAGGGGTATTGGAAAAAGCACAGGTCAGTTTCTAGAGATGTAATTGACTGGGCATAACCAAGGGCAGAAACGGGGGTGATGTGGGTAAATCTTGTGTCTTCAACCTGGGAACATGAAGGTGTCACCAAGGCATGGGGGGATTCCCTTGAGATGAGAAGAGTCTTTGGCCGCCGAAAGAAGAAAGCCAGAGTTACAGCCAGGCTAACCTGGAGCAACGGAAAGGTCTGAGGTCTAGGGTACCCCTTGCACAGCTCCAGTGGTGTTTATGTGGAAGGAGTGCTTTTCTGTCATTGATGTTGGGTTATAAATGACTAACTGGGTTGACCTGAGAGATAATATCCAGCAGATAACACGGGGACTGTCCCATATGGGTGTGTTCATCCAGGCAGATGGTGGCAGAGTGAAATGTGCTTCCTTCAATCCATGCCTCTTAAGACTGGTCTCTTGGGAGCTAGAAGCTGTGACAGCAGCTACTTCATTGGAGGGGAGGCCCTGGAGTTGATGATGTGGTTTTCCCTGTCAGGAAGTTTGGCTGCTAGAGGAAGTAGTTAGGTCACTGGAAAGAAGGGGTATTTGCAGCAGGACACTGGCCTATATCGGGGGGAGGGGCTGGAGAGCCTGAGGAGCGGGAGGGGTAAAGCTGAGCTGGGGCTGGAAAAGAAGAATGTGGATGCTGCTTATGCATGATTCTTATGTTTTCTTGGGGAAACAGAAACCTCATCTGCTTGAAGAGTGCCTAGGACGGGATGAATGGGCAAGATCTTGAAGATAGTGGGAAAGGCTAGACATGCCAGTCTAGGGAAGGCAGGCAAGGTCAGAGCTAATGAATCTACATGGAATTCAAACGTCTCTGCCATGGGATTTTTTCCACCTCGGTGTTCTTTTTAGAGGAACAGAGCTAGAACTGGGCAGTGGTCACAGCTCCAGTCTCTAACCCTTAACTCCGTTTTCTTCCCCCTGACTTCTGCCGTGGGTGCCTATGAGATACGATAGCTGTCTAATGAGATTAATAGCCACTGTACACTGGTACACAGGTTGTGATGATGCTGTTAGTGGTAATGAGCCCCTCTTTGGTCACCCCCTCATGCCTGGTTAAGCACCCAACTCAACAAAAATTAGCTGGATATGGTGGCTACTCCGGAGGCTGAGGTGGGAGGATGGCTGGAGCCTGGGAAGTCGAGGCTGCAGTGAGCCACGATCATGCCACTACACTCCAGCCTGGGCAACAGAACGAGACCCTGTCACAGTAAATAAGTAAATAAATAAAAATTAAAAAAACACCTAGATCTTAGGAGGCTGCTTGGGTTTAGTAATCATTTCAGAGGCTGTCTGGCTTTCAGCAGAAGTAGGTACTTTTCCTACTAAAGTACCTACTAAGTACTTACTCAGTGGGAAAGTACCTACTAAGGTTTAACCAGGCGTGAGTACTTAGTAGGTACTTTCCCACTAAAGTAGGTACTTTCCTACTAAAGTAAGTACTTAGTAGGTACTTCACTGGGAAAGTACCTACTTCCATTGAAATCTGACTAGAGATTTGATCTGACAGGTGGTAAACTAGTGAACAGACATTAGTTTTTATTTTTTCTATGTAATTCTGTTAGGGTTTGTCATACCTACATCTTATTTCTAGTATTCACATGGCGGGGGGTAGAGAGGGAATTTTAATATAGTCATCTTTGAGCATTTGTTAGGATTGGGCCAGCACCTAGGCCACTCTGTAATTTTTTCCCACAGACCTCAGTGGGGTAAGTCTTACAATATCTGCTGAAAATGTTTATAATGCTGTTGCTTAAATAGAGTTCTGGGTGCATATATCAAGGCTAGATATTTGTAATCTACCATTTGAGTGATATTAGTAGCTTCTCACTGACCTGGGGGTCTCATCTAAGACATCTAAAGCTTCAGACTGAGCCCCATTGGTCTTAACTGGGGTAACAGTTTGCTTAGACCGTCTGGGCTGAAGTAGTTTTGAATTCTCTCTGTGATATTCAGGCGTTTCTCTGGACCTTAGATAACCTGGGTCTGAGTTGGATTTTACTCTCAAGCTAAGTGCTGTGGTCCTCCCCGCAGTTAGTATTGTAAAGAAGAGGAAGGATAGTGGGAATGTGCTAATGTGGTTTAGTTGGCTGGGGCCCTCATTCACCCAGGATGTGTCTCTTTTCTTACTTGTTCTCTCAGACAAAGAATTCACTGTTCGGCTGGAGACAGAGAAGCGGCTGCACACGGTGGGCGAGCCGGTGGAGTTCAGATGCATCCTGGAGGCTCAGAATGTTCCCGACCGTTACTTTGCTGTCTCCTGGGCCTTCAACAGCTCGCTCATCGCCACCATGGGTCCTAACGCTGTGCCTGTCCTCAACAGCGAATTTGCTCACCGGGAAGCCAGGGGACAGCTTAAGGTGGCCAAAGAGAGCGACAGTGTCTTTGTGCTGAAGATCTACCACCTCCGCCAGGAAGATAGCGGGAAATACAACTGCCGGGTGACTGAGCGAGAGAAAACCGTGACCGGGGAATTCATTGATAAGGAGAGCAAGCGTCCCAAGAACATCCCCATCATAGTCCTCCCCCTCAGTAAGTAGAGAGATGTGCTGCTTTCTTCTCCTTTGGCTCAGCATCATTTAGGAGAGGTAGGGGGAGAGAGAATAGCGTGGTGAAGGTGAGGGGAGGCAGATGGAACCCTCGAGGTTAATGCAGAGCTGGGGGAAAAACCATTGAGCCTCTCTTCCCTGTTGTAGCCCACCTGCATACATGTAGCAGGCTCCCCATAGCAGAGGATCAGGATCAGGGGTGTCCAGAATCAGGGCAGTCTAGGGCTGGGCATAGGCCTATCTGATTGCTAGCAGCCCTGTGCATACACAAGCAGTGCCAGCTCAGCTTGGAGGGAAACCAGGAATCCCAGAAAGCTGTTTGCTCTTGTGTGGGAATCAAGTCCCAGAAGAAGTGGGTAGATGCCTGCCTTGAAATCTCACTTAAGGAGAGTTGGTCTTTTATGGGAGGATTTTAAATCATAAAGTGCATTATTAAGGATTTGCCATCTGGGTTTTTCAGGTATAAAGGCTGGCATTTCCCTAAATGGCTTTTCCCTGTTGAAATTGTGTTTCTAAAAGTCGGTGGATGGGACCTCTCACATCTTCCTGGAGCATAGCCTTTTAAGCTTAGCTGATTTCTGAGGCTGCCTCAGTGGGCTCCCCAGCCTTCATGTAGACTGGCCTTGTGTGGGTGGGTAGTGGCCATTGCTAGGGATTCCAGAAACTACTGGTGTTTGCTTGTGTTGTGTTTAAACATTCATAGTATCAAGATATTCTTATTAATCTCATTCTCCCATAGTTCTGTTTTTAGTAAAGAGAATAAAAACCTATAATGCTCTGATTTTAAACAAGTGGTAAAGTTTTAAGACTAACCTTTAACCTTGTCTCAGCTGCTCAAACTATTCTTTCTCTGAGCCTTGTAATAATTTCCTTTACTTTTTATTTATATGTTTTAATATTTAAAATATTTCTCTTCAAGTGTGATATTTCTCTTCAAGTAGCCACAGCGGTCCTCTTGTCAGTCTTTTCTTCTTTTCTCATCAACTGGATTATTTTCTTTTTATGCTTATTATTATTTTGTTAAAAACCATGCACACACATACCTAATTATCTTGAAATTCTTTTGTTTCTTAGCTTTTTCCGCCCTGCAATGCCTAGCATGGTGCTTTGCATAGAGTAGGTGCTCGCTGAATACTGTACAACTGAAATTATTGAATTGAATGCCCACTGTCTTTACTATTTTCCTGTCAGTCTGTGCTTGCCTTAACCACGGACTCTACTTTTAAATCTGCAACTAATTCCTCATTGTTTTCTAAGGATCAAGTGAAGGGCAGCCACGCTGTTTACTTCCTATATTTTTTGTACTAAGATTTCCCCCAACCCCTTCTGAGAACTTGTTTGATGATCTGTGGCCTGCTATATTGCTTTTCCAGCAGATAACTGGGTAGTTAAAGTCCCCCAGCACCACCAGCTCCTGTCCCAAGGCCACTTGGGTAAGTCTGCCGAAGAACAACAACAATCACATCGGTAATGGTGACAATGCCTTGGATTTTAATGGCGCTTTTCCTCCTAAGAGACCAAAGTGCTTCTGCATATATCATCTCCTTCTCCGCTCCCACCTCTCAAATCCTCGTAGAGGCCAATATGATATCCATCTAATGAATGAAGAAATCAGAGCACCACACAGGAAGTGACAGAGCTGATTGTTCAGTTAGTGGTTGAGCTTGCATTGCATTAGGAAATATTTGCTTCTAACTCCACACCCACCGCCCTGCGCTTAGCCTGTGCTACACCGTCAACTTCCTGATTTGAAATTTCATTTGTGAATGTGTACTCAGATTTTTATTAGTTCTGTCCTAGTTTTCACTTAATCCAGAGAGTTTAAAATTGTCGGCTGCCTTTTCTCAGGCCTGGAAATTCTTGTAAATAGTGTTAGTGGGCAGTGAGGCACCAGGTCTGTAGTTGCCTTTGCCTCAGCTGCTATAATAAAATAGCATTTCTTCTTGTAGCCCCACATTCTAACTATGTGGGTTTCCAGGCTTGCTCAAGCAACAGACACCACCAAACAGTAGCCCTTTCAATAAATGAGCCAGGACTTGGATAAGCGTCCACTGGGATGACAGTAGGGGATGAGAGTGAGGTCCTGCAAGTCATTCTTCTGCTTAATACAAGTGAAAGGATTTTCTTCCTTGATGCTGCAGTTGCCCTTTTAATCCCTTATTTTGAATTGATAACAGTGGGGATGAGTCTTTAATCTAAAGAGGAATATTGTTGTTATTAATGATGATGAAAAATAAGTACCTCATCTGATCCTCTCAATGTCATGCCCTAAGAAGTAGGCACTATTAGTATCTCCATTTTGCACATGAGAAATTGGAGCTTTGGTAGGTTAAGGAAGAACCACAGGATTACAGAGTTAGGAAGTCTCCAAATCCATCCCCTTAACCATTAGTGCTATAGATGGTGACTGTTCAGGAGCCTGATCATCTCTATGAATCATCCTGGTATGAGTCCTGGGGGAGGTTGCCCTCCTAGGAAAATTGCTATTCCCTGCCCCATCCAGACCTTTTATTTTTCACATAAAACAAGCAAATCCAGAATGGATAGCAGGCATCCTCACTATAATAAGAGCTACATGTGGAGGCTCAGTGCTCGTCTTTGTTTCTGCTTGTTGGGGAAATAAAGGAGAGAAAAGATTTGATTCAAATGCATTGTTATGTGTATGTGTGTGTTTTCTCTTGGTAATTGGGTGTGCCTCTTAAAATCTGGGATTTGATTTAATTAATTGGTTTAAAATTATTGCATGTATTTAATGTGGGTGGTACCCAAAAATTGGAGCCAAATTAGTTACTTTGTGTTCTTTAATACTTACAGACCTTCTGAACTCAATATAGATAATTATACAAAATACTACATGTATAATTAAAACATATTAGGCTATCTGTGATGTTTATAAAAACAAAGAGTTATGTGGAATAGTAAAATTAATCATGATCATGATGACCAGTTTTTGAAAACCTACTATGTGTTAGGTGAATCTATATGCATCATCTCATTTACTTTTTAATATTTAAAGAATTCTACAGTTAAAGGTGGCTCTCTACCTGTCTTACAGAAGAAGAGGCTGAGGCATGTCGAGTTTAAATAATTTGATTGAGTGAATTCAGATAGTTAAGTGAGCAGCAGAGGCTAGATGAGACAGGGAAGGGAGTGGAATCCTTATCCCAAACTTTTGATTGGCCAAATGTTTCTAGAAAGAGAGCAAAGGAGCCCCAGGGCTGACTGGACAGGCGGGAGAGTGGTGGATGACGAGCTGCTGGCTTTGTTTTGTTCCTGTGTGTTAATGAAAGAATGAAAGCCCGCTCCTCACACACTCTGCAAAACTAGACCATCTGTGCTCCCTTATTACCCACACTTAAGCACACGTTATCGTCCCAATACTTACTGTTGGTTTTTTTCCCAGTATTTCCTAAATTGTCCTGAAGGACTCAAATGGCACATTATGGATATTCAGCTTTTATTTGACTGCTGTAGTACCGAATGGTAGGAAGAGTGAAGTGAAGTAGGATTTTGGAGTTACTCTTCTTGCTGAAAATTCAACTTGAAAAACCCTGAACTCCAGCTGAATAGATTACCCAATAAATTGTTTTATGCCCTAAACATCATGCCACTATGTTGTATTTCTTAGGTTCTTATTCAGGCTCAGGTCTTAGAACCTCGTTATCACAGTTCTCTGCACATGGCAAAGAACATCCTAGATTATCAGATCTAAAACCACAGGGAGCAAAGCCCAGAACCAGCCAGGGCTTGCAGCAACTAGGGTCAGAGTGTTTTTGACCCTCTGAGGCTCACCGTACCTGAATATGATTCCATTTGCACCCCTTCTCCTGTTTCCTCTGTGGGGAGGGCGCTGTGGAGACCATAAAGCCTCCAGGGTGTTTCTCTCTCCCTCTTCCTAGAGAGCAGCATCTCCGTGGAGGTGGCCAGCAATGCCAGCGTCATCCTTGAGGGCGAGGACCTGCGCTTCTCCTGCAGTGTCCGCACGGCAGGCAGGCCGCAGGGTCGCTTCTCTGTCATCTGGCAGCTTGTGGACAGGCAGAACCGCCGCAGCAATATCATGTGGCTAGACCGGGATGGCACCGTGCAGCCAGGCTCGTCCTACTGGGAGCGCAGCAGCTTTGGGGGCGTCCAGATGGAGCAGGTGCAGCCCAACTCGTTCAGCCTGGGCATCTTCAACAGCAGGAAGGAGGACGAGGGCCAGTATGAATGCCATGTGACTGAATGGGTGCGGGCAGTGGATGGCGAGTGGCAGATTGTTGGGGAGCGCCGGGCCAGCACTCCCATCTCCATCACAGCTCTTGGTGAGTGAGCGGTGGGACTGGCAGTGGGTCTGGCATGGAGACAGCTTCAGTGTCAAACACCTTATCCTGACTTTTCTCAGTCAGAGTTTTAGCAGGAAACTATGGCCAGTCTTTTACCTATAGAGTTTGAAGTACTTTCCTTTATGTCTATTTTATTTCTTATAAGGGTTTAATTAATTAAGATAGTGCTAGCAGGGACTGAGGGACCCACAGTGGATGATGGGGCTCCTGAGGGATAGCAATAGCTGGGAGCTGTGACTACTCCTAGTCTGGCTGGGAGAGAGTGATGTTATCAGAACTCTATCCAGGTTAGTGAAGCCACCCAGCCATAGTGGTGGCCCCAGGTGGAGGAGCATGGCCACTGCCAGCCTGGCCTTAAAGAGAGCAGAGTGGCTGAGCACTGTGTGGCATGTCTTTCCTGCCCTGCTGCCCAGGGGCCAGCCTTCCTGAAAGAGAGCAGAGAAGGGTATAAAATCATCTGTTGTCATTTATTTAGCATTTACTATGTTCCTGCCTGATCCTTAACACTTAAGCTTAGTTGTCCCATTGAATCCCCACCTAGCCAAGTGACAGACACTTTCATTTTATGGAGGAAACTGAGACTGAGACACATTAAATACTTTGCCTAAGGCTAGAAGTTTCTACTACCTGACGGGGCCCATACCTAACAAAGCTATTCCCTCATTAGCGTGGAATGAAAAGATACCTTGAGATTTGCTAAAACCAAGGAAGATTAGATTTGCTTCTCATGGGGTAAAGAGGCTTCTATCAACATTTATCTGCCTGGATATAATCAGTCTATTAGATTTTAAACGACCAGTCTGTGACTTTGCTGGGAAAGAAACTTGTTATATCAGGTCTTCCTGTTTATCAGGAGACATCGGTTGTCCTCAGCAACTTTATGTCCCACTCCCTGGGACTGTGTCACCACCTTCCTTGCAGGTTGGGATGGTGGTGCTTTTGGATACTTCCAGTAAAGATGGCAGCCCCAAGTGGTTTTTGTCCTTAACAGAGTCCTCCATTTTCTTACCCCTCTGAGATTAGAATTACATTTATTTTCTAAAGCTTAATCCTAAAGATTGACCTGCTTTTTGCAGTAATTATACAGCTCAGATTTCTGTCTTAGAAACTTCCTCCAGTGATTGCGTTTCCTGATCAGCTCAGTTCCTGTATCCATACTCAGCACCTGTGTGAACCCAGTGAGATGGAACTTGGGGGACAACTTTTGGATGTCCAGTACTGGTGTGTTTTTTTTTTTTTTAACCATCCTGGAAGGTTAGGAATGTCCAATGAGTGATTAGAGTTAGTGAGGATTGTTTCTCTAGAAGTAATTTATGTTATCAGGTTATCCCCTGAGTTTTTTCTTACTCACCATATGTCTGGTGGTTCTCACAGCCAGGGGCACTGAGGGGCTCTGCCCTGGGATCTGGAGGCCAGCACTGTTCACCTGATCTCCACCACTGAGATACCTCTGGCTAGAGCCATAATCAGGTGGCCCAAAGGACTGAACAAGGAAGAATGGGAGGGCACTCTAGACTAATTAAGGTTGTCTTTTCAGTCTAAAGTTAACAATGACACACATGAATTTTCATATCAGTATAATTAGATGCGGGTCCCATCTAATTACAGTGGGTCATTATGGCTGTTCGGTTAGAGCAGCTTGGGTGCTCTGTGACCATGGCATGTGCCCGTGTCAGGACTAGACAAAGTCATTTGCTTGGGGAAGCTCTCTCCCCTTCAGGTGTGAGGCCAGGAGCACCTGGTGTGGGTCCTGTCCCTGAGGTTCTGTCCTACACCACCCTCATGCAACACCTACTACACACAGGTGCACAGCGACTGTCACAGGCGCTTCATGTTTAAGGATGGGCCTCCGTGTCATAAACTTTTTTAAAGGGTATATAGAGATAGCTTATGAAATCCAAATCAAAGGTCCAGAGTTTTCAGCAAATTGTACCTACCTATTTGCCAACTTAACCTCACCATAGAAAGCCAAAAGATTCATCCTGTGGCCAGTCTTTCACATTACAGAGTTTAAAGTACTTTTTTTAAATTTCTATTTTATTTTTAACAAAATATTTAACAAAATATAGTATATCTCATGTGCCAGGTACTATTTGTAATATTTATAAACACTGATTTATTTAATCTTCACAGAGACTCATTTTACAGATTGGAAAACAGAGGCAGAGAGAAGTTAAGTAACTTTAATGTCACTCAGCTGGGAAGTATCAAAGTCTTGGCTGCTGGCTCCAGAGTCTAGACCTTTAACCACTGTGTTATGCTTTCCATGGGTAAAGCAACCTAAAAAGGCCCCTGGAATCAGTTACATGTGGTTGGAGACTAACTCTGTCATTGACTTACTAAATGCTTGATATTGGGCAATTTATCTAACCTCTCTCTGCATCAGTTTCTACATCTGCAGGAAGAGATGACAAGCCTGCCTGTTCTACAAGGTTGTTTTGGGGATTCAGTGGAGCATGATGAGAGCAAAGCAGTTGGCACCATGCTTGCACCTAGATAGTGCTCAATAAATACTGGCTACTGTTAGCTTTATGATTGTGATCAATGTATGAATATTAAACAGTATTTCCAGGCTGAAGGAGCTCTGAGGTACTCATATTGAGGAGTCAGTATTAGGGCTTAGCAGTGCTGCCCATTCAATAAGGAATATTGAGAGACCCACAGCCGCTGAGCCTGCAGAACCCTGCATTTAGGATAATTGTCCCACCCCACTGGAGGTCCCCACCTGCTCTGTTTTTGGATTTCATGAGGGACGTGAGAAAGGGACTGGAGGCCGACTCCATCTGCTTCCCTTCTCGGCACCAGTGCGCTAAGGGACCAGGAAAAGTGGTGTTGGGGCTGTGTGGTTGTGTTTTCCTCCTGTGCAATGGAGGAAATTGGCTTTGGGGTTTTCTTTTCCTGTTCTCTCATGGAATCTCAAGATTTCTAGGAGCAACCCTGCCTACATGCAATCAGTCCCTGAGAGGATTGTGATGTCTAATTCCAGGGGAGGAGCAAATGCACGAGGATCTCACTGGGAAGGGTTAGGCTAGTGCTGCTCAGGGGGAATTGTGGTGGGCCTTTCTTTGGAGTCTTGGAAACTCTTGGACTGGGCCTCAGCAGGATACTAAAAGCAACACTAGCCTGAGAGCTCAAAAGGGGCTCCGAGAGCCTCTGTCCCACACTGCTTGCTTTGCCAGCTGCCCCATTGCTGATGTCATACTGCCCTGAGAAAGCCACATGCCTCCTCTGGTTGAATCTCTCTGCTTTCTCTCCAGAAATGGGCTTCGCAGTCACAGCCATCTCCCGGACACCGGGGGTGACCTACAGCGACTCCTTTGACTTGCAGTGTATCATCAAACCCCACTACCCTGCCTGGGTCCCCGTGTCGGTGACATGGCGGTTCCAGCCGGTGGGCACGGTGGAGTTCCATGACTTGGTGACCTTCACCCGGGACGGAGGGGTCCAGTGGGGGGACAGGTCCTCCAGCTTCCGAACCCGAACTGCCATCGAGAAGGCTGAGTCCAGCAACAACGTCCGCCTAAGCATCAGCCGAGCCAGTGACACGGAAGCAGGCAAGTACCAGTGTGTGGCAGAGCTGTGGCGGAAGAACTACAACAACACCTGGACGCGACTGGCGGAGAGGACCTCCAACCTGCTGGAGATCAGGGTGCTGCAGCCAGGTGAGTGCTGCGGACCTGTGGGCTATGTGCCCATGCTGCCTGAGCAGACGTGAGGGAAAAAGAAAGGTGTGCGTGGAGCCCTTAGCGTCACTTCCCCCTTTCCCAGCTCTTCATTTAGACACATTGCAAATCAATAGGAAGTTTTAAGAATCGTGCAGTGGACACTTGTATTTCCTTTCCTTGATAGCCAGTTGTTGTCTGACGGCATTTGTTTTCTTCCTCTGTGTGTATGTTTGTTGTTGTTTTTGAGCCATTGGAGGGAAAGCTGTGGACATTGGGACACTTCCCCCTAAGTACTTCAGCATGTAACTCCTAAGAACCTACCCACCCACTGCACCATCATCACACCCTTGGGGTTTTACGTTAGTGTAGTCCTACCACCTACATTTCCCCAGTTGTCCCAGTCATGCCCTTTATTTTTCCCTTTCAGATTAGGATCCAACCAGGGATCACACATCACATTTGTTATCCTGTCTCTTTAGACTCCTTTAATCTAGAACAATTCCCTAACCTGTGTGTTTGTGTGTGTGTGTGTGTGTGTGTGTGTGTATATGTATGTGTCTGTAGACATGGACATTTGTGAAATGCACAGGCCAATTGTTTTAAAGAAAGCCCTTTTCTTTACTTAACCTCATCTCCTATAATCCTCATACAATTATGTGGAAGTGATATCATTGTCTCCTGTTCATAGACAAGGAAATTCTGAGTAAAGAGGGAGGGTAATAGGCACCTATTGAGCATCTTCTTTGCATGAGGCGCTGAAGGTCAGTTACTTTATTAGAATTGCACAACAACCCCAGGAAAGATTTAAGTGACTAGCTTAAGGTCACTAGGCTCCACCTAGTGAATGGTGGAGCCAGGATTTGAACCCCGGTTGTCTTTCTCCCACAATGTTGCCTGCACCCAGGCCCTGTCCAGTTGTATGGGCCCTGAATTTGAGCTCCTTTCTCTATGGAGGCTGAGTCTGTCTCAAAGCGGATCATAAGGATGCATTAATTTGGGGAGCATTAGTCAGTGGGGCTTTCTGCAAACACTCTCGCCTTCATCAGGCTCTTCAGCTGACACGTGGGAGGAGTTAAGTACATGCAGCTCTTATGGTTTTCCTGCATCTGTCCTTGTCTCCTGCCAGGTTAGAAGCTGGTGGAGGGTGGAGCCCAGGCAGTAGGCTCCCGTGTTCCTTCCCTCGCCCAGCCCATGCCTCGGCTGGAACAGACACCTGTGCAGGCAAGGGCAAGGGTTTGACTTTGCAAAGATGGCTGGAACGCCTTGCCAAAGGGATTTTTCTGCCCACTAACAGCCATGGTTAGTGCCTGACCTAGTCTGCCTGACTGCTTTAGGTGGCCACAGTGTCGTTTTCAGCAACGTGAGGTTAAATAATGGTAACCTTTGGGTTTCTCCTTCACCTCTTCTAACCCCATAACAGAGTTCTGTTCTGTACCAGATTTGGAACAAGTGAGTTGTATAAATGACGAGACTGTTCCCTTGGCCAATGACAGCCTAAACTTCGACTGACAAGAGGCTCAGGGAAGAGGCTGTTTTGCTTAAATGGATTTTCAGGTTAATGGAAGGTTAAGCAGAGACCCCATTTTATGTGAACCCTTGTTGTGGAAAATGTCGAGGTACCCACTTGCCTGCATTATTGAGTGGGACATTAGGATTGTAATTGCACCTTTTTTTTTTGTCCCCTCTGGCTCTCAAGGTCAGTTTTCTGAGCAGCATTGCCCATCACATGGTTCTGCAGCTGTAGAAGGTAGAGGAGTTGCTGACCTCAAGACCTTGTCTGACATTGCCTTTTTGAATACATCCCTAGTATTTGCCTGTTTCTGGTACTACTTGGAATCTAAGACTGGAGTGCCTAAGGGAAGAATACAGAATTAGTTCATTGAAGGTTCTAATTATTTGGATTAGTTTATGGTGTTACTAAAGGCAGACAGGGAAAAATATGTATGAAGTACCTCTTGGATGCCAGGTTTCTGCTTAGTGCTTTACTCATGTTTTCTTTTTAAATTTATCCAACAACCTAATAATGTAGGTGTTTGTATCCCTATTTTGCTAATGAGGAAACCAAGGCTCAAAGTGGTTGGGAATCTTGATGGAGGCAAGCCAGCTGGTTAAGTGGCAAAACTGAGATTTGAACTGAGATTGGAGCCCAGGTATCTCTGACTTCCATAGAGCAAATGTTTTCCTTTATACCATAATTGCCTCCTGGGTAAAGTAGCTGGAGGGTTGGGAGACCCCAGATCTGCTCTGAGGTCGTCTTTGTGTCTTGGGTGTCTTGAGTTGGTTTCTGTTGTGTTTTCACTGTAAAGTGAGAATGAACAGTGGTTGGCAGAGGAGACTTATGAGTATCACTGTACTTGGGCTGTTAAGAGGCCTCTACTTAAAGGTGCACAGTAATATACTTTTATGGCCCTTTGGAGGCTAGGAAGAGCAAAGGTGGGTGCTTGAGGCCGTGCAGGACTCCCAGAGGGCAGCTGAGGCACCAGGAGAGTGCATCCCCTTAAGTGTTACTGTCTCTCCTCTATTAAATATTTATGCATTTAGCACTTAATATTTTCCAGAGAGCTTCATATGAGTTTTTACTCTTTCCTATATACTTTGGTGCTGGTGCATTCATTTTGGGGAAATAGAAGTGGAAAAATACATGAGAGCTGACTGTGCGCTGGAGACTGTTGGACACTTGGTGTATATTACCTCACTTAATCTTCACTGCAACCCTGGGAGGAACATATTGCTTTCCCATTTTATAAATGAAGTAACAGAGGCTCTGAGAGATTCTCACTTCCTCAAATTAAACACCTAGTGAATGGGGGAAGTTGGGATTTGAATCCAGGTGTGCCTTGTTAAAGAGTAATTGCGGTAGGGAGACTTTGACCTTTTAAAGGCTATGTAATCAGAGATTATTCTTTCAGCATTCAGTTAATCGTGTCCTTTACAGAAGAATTTTCTCCTTGTAGATTGATGATGTGGAGGAGTTATAGCACTAGTGTTACTGGTAGTAACAACAGTAGCAGCTAATATTCACTGAGCATTTCTTGTAAACCACTGTGAATGCTTTGGTTCCTCGTTTCTTAATCCATGCAGTGCTGTGAGGGGGACCGTTTTACCCAACTTCACAGATGAGGACACTGACACAGAAGTTACATAAATTGCCCAGTGTGCCATAGTAAGTGGCAGAGCCAGGATTCAAGTCCAGACAGGCAGTTTGGCTCCAGAGTCCAAGTTCCTAATTTTATTATTATATGTTCTAGACAAGTGTTTTTCTTCTCAGGAATCCTCTTTGGTACTGTATACTTGTATTTAATGTTTCCTCTCTCTGGTTAACCACCCCTGATTTCCTAATCCCCTTTAGCAAATCCTTAAATTTGTTTTTTGGAAGTTGGGGTCATAAGACATTGGTAGAGGTTCCTCAAGACACAGTTTGCTGATGGTGTAGAAGTTTTATCTTGTGCCTCTTTTAACTCCTGATTCTTCCAGCTTCTGCCACAAGGTGGCTCTAAGACTTGCGGATACCAGAGCTCCGAACCAGCGCTGTCCTCTCTTCTTTTGCTCTCCCTGCGTACCTTGCCCCTCAAAACATAGATTCTTAGCCCTGCTCTGGTGTCTTCCATAGAAATGTCCCCTGCTACCCCCGTTTTAAAGAATATTGTGTTAAATATTCTTATTCCATCAGAATCAAATAGGAACCCAGGGACTGTTGACTCACTCATGCTGGTCTGTTTACCATCAGCCTTCCACTGCTGTGATATCATTTATCGCAGCAAGCTTCTTTGTGGTCTGTGCCCCAGACTCGTCCCTGCTGGAGCCACCTGCTGATCCTGCCCCCATATCAGTATTCATCAGAATCTCTGGTTGGATGGCACAGTTGACTTGTGGATCTGTTATTTGACCATTCCCTGTGTGTGCTTCCTGTTGCATATGCATATCCCCAACAGAATCTTCAAGGAATGCCATCACTGTCAACGTTGCCATTGATCTAGCTTAGTCTGATCCCCATTGATCACATAGTGTGACCCCTCAAGGGGTGCTTAGGCAAGACTTTCAGCCAGTTCACATGTTTGATTATTAGCTCTTAATCAGTTCTTTTCTCTTTTAATTGTGAAGCATAATTGCCTTGCTTCCTTCTGATTTTCTTTAGCTCAAAACACCCTCCAATTACATATCCTTAAATACAGAAGCAGTAAGGGAAATGTTAGCACTCATTTTCCAAATGTTTATGACAATATCTTGGTTTGGCTATTAAATATTGTACATTAAAATTGACAAAGCCATAAACAAGCTTCCATGAGGACAGCCTCTAGTGGTGGAAAGCCGACTTGTCAGAGGGTGTATTCTGCTGGGATTTTACTGATGGGCAGTCAGGATGAATATTTAATACCCTCTGGATGTTGCCAAATCGGTTTTCTTCTATTTCTTATTGCTGACCCGGCAGATTGGGATAGCAGAGGGCTTTTCTTTGACTTCCATGAGTCCAGAGCATGTGAACACTGGCTCTCCTTTCACATTCTGAGGGATGGCTGCCCCATCCCTCAGAGGACTGGCCTCTGCCTTCTTTCAGGGGAGTCTGGGGTTCTCCTTCTTCCATCCCAGGTGGCTTCTGCCTGTTGTCTGTGCCAAGATAGAATGGGTGTCAGTGCAAGAGCCCTAAGAGGAGAGCTCAGCCCCTCCCAGATCCCTCAGGCCTGTTGTCATGGTAACACCGGGGCACTTGTTATTGGCATCAAGGAGCCAGGGTCACTGCCCTACCTGCAGACAGGTAAGGCAGGGTAGGGCACATCTGGGTAACCTTCATTAGCTATTTCCACCTGCAGACTCTTGCTGCTTTCCCCTTGCCCCTCCCTCCCTGTCTCTCTGCATGCATTGAGCACCTACTAAGTGCCAGGTTGCCATGCTGGTGAGGCTGCTGAGATGGGTGTGTCACGTTCCTGCCTTGCGGGCTCTGTGGGAGGCAGCAGGCCTAGGGACAAAGGAGAGCAGAAAAGCGTTACAGGTGTGGAGGCAGAGCCAGCACAGGGCATGAACGGGGGCAGGGGGCGTGAGGAGGGAATGGGGTAGGGGTGAGGGTGGGAGGTTGGGAAGGAGGAGTGGAGCATTTCAGGCTCAGAGAAGAGTGTGAATAAATATAGTCACGGAGGGTGGGAGCAGCATGCTTATCTTGAGATGACTAAAGCATGGGGTCTGGGGAGGGTTCACCCCCAGGCAAGCTGGCAGGGATCAAGAAGTCCCTTTTGTACATGGGAGCATGGGGTGAGGGTGGGCATATGTAATAGCTAAAAGCAAGGACAGACCAGACGGCCTGGGTTTGAATTCCAGCTCTACCACTAAGCCAGCTGTGTGACCTTGGGCAAGTGTCTTTATAAAATTGGGAATAATATTTATTTCATAGGATTGGTGAGGACCAAATAGTTAATATTTATAAAGTGCTTAGAATAGTGCTGAGCACATAGGACCAGATGAAAGTTTGCTAAATAAATGAGAATATCCTAAACTCAGAAATTAGGACTTTAGCTCATACCCAGATCATATACTCCATTTTTGTAATAATTTATAATGTTCCCTTTACCCAGAAATGAAATTCATATACAATATAACATTCCTAATCATATCTTTAAAATTTGCTATATTGTCCTAGTTGTGGGATAAAGAAAGTTTTTTTTAAAAAAAGTAGTTCATAGTAAAATAATGAGTTTCAGTGCGTAAATGCTCAGGACAGCTATGCTAGGAGGCACAGTCACAGTCAACGCTGTCTCTAAATGCACACTGACAGTCACTGTATCAGACTTGGCACCATGAGCAGGACTGCCATCCTGACAGGGTTTCTGAAGTCCTGAGTAACTCTTGCTACAATTCTGAACAAAACAAAGGAAAATCCTCTCTTGACTGACCTGGCATATTTTAAAACCATGCAAAATAAAAGTATTGTGATTATAGTAAAACGAAAGTAGGTTCTAGGCCCAGAGGCATAATTTTTGCCCATATGAATGTCATTCGAAAGTCACACAGGACACGAGGCAGAGTTTTGTTGCATGGAGTTGTCCCAGATACAATTTTACATCTTTAATGGCTTTATTCCATTGAATATATACCCCTCCCCAAATCAATATGGCAACCAGAGACCTGCTTGCAATTAGCTGCCTTATTGAGAACTGCTGTCACGGGCTGTGGGGTGGGCAGCCGTGGGCAGTAGCATGCCCCATTTGCCATTTAGGGAAATCCCCTGGCTGTGGCTAGGCTGAGAGGGAGGGAGTGTCATATGCAGGCCAATTACAAGAGCCTGAGAAAGAGATCATTGAGGGCCCAAATAGGGAATGGTCATGTGGAGAGAGCAGGGAGCCAAGGGGTGTTAAGGACAGAGGGACTCAGGGGTAGTAACAGTTTGACTGGCAGGCGCCTGTGCCACTGGCTTCCCATGCAGCTCACCCTGCATTCTTTCCTTGTCTCTCATCTGACTTGCTTCTCTCCACTTGAAACATCTCCTGCCGCAGCCACTGGCCGCCTCTATCTCTAGCATTACTGTCTGTTGTCTTTAATAAAGAGCAGTGTCTTCCTCCCTCAGTGCCCATCTCTTTGCACGTGCCACTCTGGCTGCTGCTCACAGCACTGCACAGAAACCACCTTCTCCAGACTTACCGGCAACCACCTCAGCAGCACGGCTGTTGCTTCTCAAACTTGAATGTGCATCAGAATCAATTGGAGGGCTCATGAGACTGCAGGTTGCTGAGCCTTACTCGCAGTTTTTCTGACTTAGCAGGGGCTGGCAGATTCCCAGGTGATGCTGATCTGCAGATCCATGGCGTGCACCCTGAGGGCCACAGGTGGTCAGGATCAAGTACAAGCTGCAGGCCCCTTGCAGTGTGGCCGAAGCTTACCTTTCTAACCTCATCCACTACACCTGAGCACTTGCTCCTCCTTGAATAGAGTGCACAGGGTAGTTGTCATCTTTTTCCTCTTGTCCCCTCTCTCTGGCGTGCCCTTTGATTCTCCTTCTCTGCTTGTTTCTCAGGGCCTAGCTCAGGGGCCATATACCTTTTGAAATGTTCTCTTTTCTATCAAAATCAGAATTGCCCCTCCTTTTGAAAAGTAACCACATTTATTCAACCATTCATTGATTAGTTTAACAATGATTGGGTCAGAGTCCCTGCCCTGCATATGCTTAGAATTTTGTAAGAAAGAGAAGATTTTAAGAATTACCTTCGTTGTAAGGCAGCAGTAACACAGCTATAGTAGAGCGTAAGGGAATCCTTTATTGAAGAAATAAATGAGTTTTGAGTGAGAAGAGCACGCACAGAGTGGAATCCGAAGGGAGGGTAGGCTGGCTGAGAAAGCTGCTGCTGGTCTCCGCTGCGAAGTTCTTCCCTCTTCCTGATGTCTCACCTTGAAACCACCCTATCCTGGCCTGTAACAAACACAACAGCCTCTCCTACCATACAAAACACAGATCTTCCAAGTTTTAATCACAAGCCTGGGAAGGAAACTCTCCAGTTGCAGAAAGAAAGGGCCACTCCCTCAAAGCAGGGCCTGGCCTCTGGGGGCTGCTGTGAAGGCAGCTGCTGGCGTGAGCTGGAGCAACTCTCGGACCCTCTTCCTGTCTCTTGCTGGATTCTTTCTTCCTCCTGCCAATTCACTGTTGGGGGTTAACCAAGCCTCACTCTTTTCTTTCACGTCTGCATTTATGGCCTCTCAAAGCCCATTCACTCACACGGCCAAGTCCAGGGTTTCTCAGGCTTGAAGCTACTTGTGAATCACCTGGGGATCTTGTTAAAGTGCAGATTCTGACTTACTGGGTCTGGGGTGGGGCCTGAGAGTCTGCATTTCTAACAAGCTCCCAGTGCTGCTGGTCCGAGAACAGCACTTTGAGCAGGAAGATTGCCACTTATGCTTGACAACTCCCATTCTAAGTGTTGAACTTTGAACTTGGGACAAGGCACAGAAACCAAAAAGGAATGAGAATAGCTAAAATTCACTGGGTGTTTGTTATATCCCAGGTTCTGTGCTAAACTCTTTTTATAGACCATTGCTTTTAGTCTGCACAAAACTCCTAATGGAGATAGAGACATTGTTCTTATTTTGCAGATGAAAACACCTGTGGTCTCTAAGTGGGCAGGGCTCTCCTAGCTCTGTGGAGGAAGGTGGTGCACGCAAGCTGTACACCGCCCAGGGCAGGGCTCTGGCAGGACATGGGAGGGCTCCCTAATTATATGTGGAGATTCCAGTCTCCCCTGTGCCTCAGGAAAGGTCCTACCTGCCCTGGAGATGTGGGAGGAAATCCAGAGCATAGAATAGGAGCTGACCCCTTGCCCACCTGTCAGACGTGCACCAAATTTAAAAAATGCCTCTCTTTCAAGCTTCTCAACACTTCACAATATTTTGACATGGGAAGGAAAAAAAATGGAAATGCTTTGAAACATTTCTCTTCCTTGAATTCATGTTCTCAGACCATGTGACTGAATAGAAGTTTAGTCATAGGATTCCAGTTTAACATATGCAGTTACTATAGCAATTGAGGTTTCCTTAGTAACAGTTGCAAAAATAATCCGGCCCCAATTAATAATACATTTTAAAGCTCTTTCTACTCCATGCTGAACAACCCAGTTTTTTTGGCCAAGAACCAGATAATTCAGGTGGTGTCATTTGCACTGATATAGATATCATTTGCATGCGGTGAATTGGGTTGGAAAGGAATGAAAAGGGAGCCGGTTGTTTCAAGTATTATAGGAATCCAATCTGAAAAGTCGACTGGCAAGCGAATGCAAATCTAGTTTCCAGAGCTTGGGAGCTTAATGGTAAACCCTGTCCTGGATTCCTAGTGTGCCCTAGAGGACTTTCTGCATTTGAAGAAGGGAGAAGGCAGAAGATTGGACTTGCTAACAAAAAAGATGAACCCGGGAGGGTGGGGCCGTGGCACACAGGATTTCTCTCTAAGTGGTGCCTGGTGTGTTCTTGATGGCGTGAGAAGGTCTGTGGGTTTGTGAATTCAACAAGTCTTCCTGGAGAGAATGTCCGATTTACTGCGGGAGATGCTCCGCAGTGTTGCTCAGTCATGGCATTGGGAATTGGACTTTGCCACACCTTGGCTTGCTAAATCCTTCCATCCATTCAGAACATTTGTCTGTGTGTTACAGGGAGACCAAGTGGCAGTCTGTGGCTTTCACAAGTTTTGGTTCTGTGATGCATGGGACTCAATCAACCCTTGATGCTGCCAAACCAAGCTTAAGCCAGCTGGCAGGCCAGGGTCATGACCAGTGGGCTGGGTCCTGGGTCTGGATGCAGTTCCTGGGGTTGAGCTGGACTAAAGAGACAAGAGTCTGACCAGTAGAGTGCTGGAGCCTGGCCAGGCATCCCTGCCCTGCCCCTGCCCCTGCCCTCCACACAAGCTCGGTTGGAGGAGGCCTAGGTTGCTGTCCCTGGGTGGAATCTGCACCTTGCCCCTGCTTTCTTTCTCAGCTGGGAAGTGGTTTGGTCCCTGTGGCGGAAAAACTAAGTGTGAAGAGAGTGGTGGAGGTGGAACAATTCTTGTACTATTAGTTCCCTAAGAGGAACTTAGAATTGTTTTTTTGTTTTTTTTTTTTCATTTTTAGTAGCGGGAAAGGCTTGGGTAGGGGAATGCAGAGCCGAGGTTAATGATGATGGGGTGGGTGAGATCTCAAATCACCTTCCTAAGATGGATTTCATTAGACCTTGGCTTCTTGCCACTGGCAAGGTGAACATCGTCATTAATTAGCTGCTGGGGAGGCGCTCCACAGGCTGCCCTCTTGTCTGTTTTTGGAGCAGGACAGTGAGGAGAAGGGAGGATTGTAGTTGGCTTTGCCTTGTCCCGTGGTTTACTGTCTTCTCAGCCTTCTCTCTCACTCCCCCAGAGGAAGCCCCCTCTCCCCCCGCCCGCAGCATCCTCTAATTACCTGTTGCCGTGTTTCTCCAACGTGCTCTCATTCGCTCACCCACTCGTTCACCTATTTCAGCAAACACTGATCAAATGCTTTCCTGGCCCAGGTGCTGTGCTAGGCTCTGGGGGTGCAGCGATAAGAATGTCCGCTAGGCAGTCCACCCCATGAGGGCTGGGACTCCGGCTTACTCTTCAGGGCATCCCCAGCACTTAGCATCCTGTGGGAAACCGAGTGGGCACTCCGTAAATACTGGCTGATTGAGTGGAAGGAGTTTGATCCCTGCCCTGGGGGAGCTCACCATCTAGGATATGGGAGAGAGATGTGAGGACACACAGCCCAGAGATATATAGAGGGTGCTGAGGAAGGGTATGGAGCCCAGGGGGACGGGAATGAGGGATAAGTGGAGAGAAGGGTCAGGGTGGGAGGTGGCAGAAGGAGACAGGCAGAGAGGACAGCAAGGGCAAAGGCCAGGGCTCAGGGAAACTGCACCAGGGGCATGCGCCTGTGGAGGGTGCCTGAGGGTGAGTCGTGAGAGATGAGTCAGGACACTTGGGTGAAGGCCAGATCCTGAAGGGACTTTGTGCTGTGAAAAGGAATTGTTTCTCTCTGGCCCGTAGGTAGTTCAGAGCCATTAAACTTTTCAAGCAGAGACCTGATATAGCTAGATTTGTATTTCAGCAGGATCACCCTTGGAGGCCCTGTGATGGTGGGCTGTGCAGGCAGTGGATAGGGGAGAGATGGTGAAGGCCTAAGCCAGGCGCATGGCAAGGAGGAGACAGGGAAGGATGTTTAGCGGTGGCCTGGGCTCCGTGCTGCCTTCCTCACACTGAAGCCAGTCGGTGTTAAATCCCCCAGGAACTGTGCTGGAGGAAACCTGGCTCAGAGCCTGGAGGTGGATGGGCCACGTTTCTGGGAGTCTGTGGTGATTCCTGTGTTCCCCTTTCCTTTGCAGTGACAAAGCTGCAGGTGAGCAAATCGAAGAGGACCCTCACCCTGGTGGAAAACAAGCCCATTCAGTTGAACTGCTCAGTCAAGTCTCAGACTAGCCAGAACTCCCACTTTGCGGTGCTCTGGTATGTCCACAAGCCCTCGGATGCCGATGGCAAGCTTATCCTGAAGACCACCCACAACTCCGCCTTTGAATACGGTACTTACGCCGAGGAGGAGGGCCTGAGAGCCAGGCTCCAGTTTGAGAGGCATGTGTCGGGGGGCCTGTTCAGCCTCACCGTCCAGAGAGCCGAGGTCAGCGACAGCGGCAGCTACTACTGCCACGTGGAGGAGTGGCTGCTGAGCCCCAACTACGCCTGGTACAAGCTGGCAGAGGAGGTTTCTGGGCGCACAGAAGTCACTGTGAAACAGCCAGGTAAGGCCGCAGGGCACGGCTGTCCTGGGCCAGTGGGTTTAGTGCAGAGACTGCCTGGGGGTGGGTGGGGATCTGTGGGGCTGGTGTGGAGAGACTGTCTGCAAGGTGCATGCTGAGTATGGGTGCAGGTACACGGACCATCACCCTAGCACACTGCAATCCCATCCATTTTACCTGCAGTGGGTCCTGATGCTGACGGCAGACTCATGGAAGCATCCTTGACTCTGCTTCTGTGGATACCATCTTCACCAAGGAGCAGGGCAGCTGTGGTTAGCAAAATGTGGCAAGGCAGGGTTCATGGCAGCTCCTGAATCTTCTTCTGGGTTTGCAGTTTGCACCCTGAATCTTGGGCTGACACCAGCTCCACACCCAGAGTTCCTACCTAGAAGGCATTTTCTGGTTTTATGCATCTGCATCCCCCTTCTTCCTTAGCTCCCAGCCCGCCCAGACAAGCCTTTCCTATCTCCAAACTGAATCATTCCTCCTCTGGCCCTTCCTTGATCCCATGGTGTAGCCCTTATTCCTCTCCCTCACAGGTGGCACTCAACCTCTGCCAGAATGCTTCCAGGGAGGGAGAGCTATTCAGTCCGCAAGCCTCAGTTCCATTTTTGGGCAGCTCTGATTGTTAAAAAGTTCACTTTCCTGTAATTTCCCTTTTTAGATCTGCCCCTGGAACAACCAAAGAGAAGTCTGCGTCATTTCCTTTCAAATACATGAAATGTATGCCCCTTCTCTGTTAAAGATCTCTAGTCCTTTCAACTTCTCACATAGTGTAGCCTGAAGGGCCTCTCCACCCCTCATTCTCACATCCCTGCAATTCGTTGTTGTCACTGCCTGTCCTTCTTGATGGGCCATGGGGGGTGCTGTGTTGCCACCCAGAGCCTCATCTCCGTGCCTTCGCTTGTGCTGCCCTCATTGTCTGAAATGTGTTTTTCCTGCTGCTTCTCCCTTGTCTTCACTCCATCCCTAAGACTTCATTCAGCACCACCTCCAAGAAGCCTACCCTGATTTCTCCCATACCAGTAGGGGTCCCTTCTAAAACACATAGCCTAATAATGGTTTGCATTTCTTCTGTACTACTCTGTAAGCATGTTGAGGACAGGGCTGTGTCTTATATCTTCAGCCACTGGCATGGTACTTTTAGTAAATATTGGTTGAATAAGGAATAAATGGTTGCTTTCCTTGATCACCCTAAGGCCTTTGTACTTATTGTTCTGTCAGCCTGGAACATGTTGGCCATAGATATTCATTTGTCTTGCTCTTCCGTGAAGGGGGATTCCTAGCTCATTTTAACTTAAATGTAGCCCCCTCATCACTCTAGATTTCCTTTCCCCGGCCCTTTCACAACACATATCACCACCTGACATTCTGTTAATTTACTTATTCATATATAAGTAATTATGAAGTATTTACTTATAATTGACTTATCAGTTACTATGTCTTATTATTTTTATACTAGAATACATATATATATACACACACACACATTTGTTTTCTATCTCTTCTACTAGAATTGAAGCCTCCTGAGTAAGCATAGGGACTTGGTTTTCTTCACTATTGCTTGTCTCCTAAGGAGGCCTATTCAGTAAGCCAGTGGAACCCGATACCAAACTCCACATGTGGCCTGTGCCCTGCTGAATGCAGTGAGTCTGTTCCCCTCCTTTGCCTGAGGTTATTATATTTCCAGAGATTCTCACTGGCCTCTCGGTGGCATTTTCTGCTAACCTCTGCTGGTGCATTAAACAGGAAGCTCTGGTCTGAAGTGATTCCCATTGGCATTTTCGGTGACATATGTCCTGACTTCAGGCCAGTCCCTGGGGCTTTTGAACATTGAAGGTTGTCATTAGGCCCACCAGTGTTCTTTTGGTTCCTATTTTTCATCTGTTTTCAGTTCTGATTATTTTCTCTACTGAAAGAACATGATCACCCCCACCACTCTGCATTTCCACTCTAGTCATCACCATTTTTTCCTTTCCTCATTTGTACTGAAACCAAGAGATTCTTGGAGGATCCTAAATTTATTGAGGGGATTTCCCTCTCTGAGACTACAATCAAGCTAAGTGGGACAGTGCGGAAGGACTAGAAGGACCCCCCTCAACACATTTAGTGAAGTCTCTGTTACAGTGAACTTTAACACCGTAAACATGGAACTCAGAGGACACCGAGTAAAACAGCTTTCCTCGTTTCTTTCTTTGTGTTGTTTTCTTTCTTCTTTTTTCTCTGCTTCTAGTTCTTTCCTTTTCCCTGCTGAGAAAGCCTACACTTACAGAGCTTTTGGAAAATACATACACACACACACACACAAAAATCCCCCCCAAAAAAACAAAACTCAACAAAGAAAATAACCTTTCAACCCTGAGACAACCAGAGTCAATATCTTCTTTTACATATGTATTTTTTGGATGGGGAGGGAGAAAGGGAGAATGGTTATTTAAAATATATTTTGTTATTTTATATTTTCTGACTTTTTAATTACAAAAGTAATCATGAATGTTGTAAAACATTCAGGCAGTATTGAAGTGTGTAGAAAGTAATGAGTGAAAGTGCCCAACCTCCCCTCCTCTGATGTCACTCAGAAGTCTCATTCCTGAGGTGCTATTGTGCATTCATAGTGTCACAGCTTCTAGATACCTCTGGTCCTGATAGACTCATTTGGGCCCTTGTGAAATTACAAGCATGCCATCGGGGCATGCTGTCATTAAAGACATTTTTCTACTGGAGGAGACTCTGCTTGGCTGAGTTTTCAAAGCACCCAGTTCCATCAGTAGCAATCTTTTCTTTTTCTTTTTCTTTTTCTTTTTTTTGAGACAGTCTCACTCTGTTGCACAGGCTGGAGTGTGCAATGGCACGATCTTAGCTCACTGCAACCTTCACCTCCCGAGTAGCTGGGATTACAGGCGCACACCACCACACCTGGCTAATTTTTGTATTTTTAGTAGAGATGGGGTTTCATTGTGTTGGCCAGGCTGGTCTCAAACTCCTGGCCTCAAGCGATCCACCCACCTCGGCGTCCCAAAGTGCTGGGATTACAGGCGTGAGCCACCTTGTCTGGCAGTCTTTTCTTTACTGATGTCATATCAGTTCCATTCCCAACCTGAGAAGGAACCTGTGTGGGTTTTTGTAAGGATGTTGGACTACAATTCGTAGGGCTAACACATGAACAGATTAAACTGGCTTTCCCCTGCAGTTCTTTTGTAGTTGGTGGCCCAGCATTTTCTAGCCACCATATGATCAGTTTTAAAAGTTTACTCTTGCTTTTCAGAGGTTTCTCACCATCCCCTTCCCCCGCCCTTCCCAGCCACCTGCCCCGGCCAGCGACATGTTTTGTGGTCCGTTGTCATTTGGATGTGCAGTCTCTACAGCTTGTGCTTGTCCTCCTGTGAGCATCAGAACTGATGAGGGCTACGACTTTGGGACAGCTGTTATTGTAACATTGAGCTCCTTGAAACCCAGGCATTCCGACACACGATCAAGGAACTCAGAATGTTTAGGGAGCCACATCTGAGAAACGTTTCTCCTAATGGAGTGTGTGCTGCCGTCCTTCTGTATTTGGAAGGCATCCATTCACCTACCCTGGGAAAGGGTGCGTACGAATTGCTTGTTGTCCTTTTGTCGCTGACGTCTCTTCCTTACTGTTCCAGACAGCCGCCTGAGGCTCAGCCAAGCCCAGGGGAACCTGTCGGTTCTGGAGACCCGGCAGGTACAGCTGGAGTGTGTGGTTCTCAACCGCACCAGCATAACCTCCCAGCTCATGGTGGAATGGTTTGTATGGAAGCCCAACCACCCTGAGCGGGAGACTGTGGCCCGCTTGAGCCGTGACGCCACCTTCCACTATGGAGAGCAGGCAGCCAAGAACAATCTGAAGGGGCGGCTGCATTTGGAGAGTCCTTCCCCCGGCGTGTACCGTCTCTTCATCCAGAACGTGGCTGTGCAGGACAGCGGGACCTACAGCTGCCATGTGGAGGAGTGGCTGCCCAGCCCCAGTGGCATGTGGTATAAGCGGGCAGAGGACACCGCTGGGCAGACAGCTCTGACAGTCATGCGACCAGGTGAGGGTCCACGTCCCCAAGCTTCCACTCCCTCTGGTGTTTCCCATTTAAGTATACTGTTTTATGCACTGGATAAAATTAGTTTATTAATAAATTATTTGCAGTTAAATATATGAGTGTCTACATGTATATGCATTTATATTCAAAATTGCCTGAATTTTTTTTCTTGTGAATGGAAAATTGCACGTCTGGCTTTGGCCTAAGGTGATTTGATTTCTTAAATAGAATAAAATCTGGCCATTAATTATTCCAGGTCATAGAATATTTCCTTTTTCCAGATTTGGAACAAAGGGCAGATATGACAAAAATCTTGAAACAATAACCATGTTGTTGAGAAAATTCAGCTTGTGGATTTTCAGTGGAAAGTAATCGATTTACATGCTTTAAATAGAAAACAATGAATTGTGTGCAGCCTTCACTCTGTCACTTCCCAATACTTTTTTTTTTTTGAAACGGAGTCTCACTCTGTCACCCAGGCTGGAGTGCAGAGTGCAGTGGTGCGATCTCGGCTCACTGCAACCTCCGCCTCCCAGATTCAAGTGATTCTCCTGCCTCAGTCTCCCAAGTAGCTGGGACTACAGGCTCATGCCACCACACCCGGCTAATTTGTGTATTTTTAGTAGAGACGGGGTTTCATCATGTTGGCCAAGCTGGTCTCGATCTCCTGACCTCGTGACCCCCACCACCGCCTCGGCTTTTCAAAGTGGTGGGATTACAGGTGTGAGCTACTGTGCCTGGTCCCAATAATTTTATTAGTACTAATAACTATTCTGTGTGGCCTTTTGTTTTTCTTGTCTTTATTGCTGTTTCTAAATATCTAAATGCATGTAATTACTAGGTATAATTGTTGTTGCACATTTAAACACATAATCAAAGCTACGATGTGCAGGATTCCCATGTCCTTTGCAACATCACAGCATCATCCATTCATATTAGAATGAAAAGTCGATGGTTCCTGTAAGGACCTGGAGGAGAAGTGAATTCGTGACCCCATCAGTATCTTGTTTGTTTTCTGAGCATCCTGACATTCACATTTGTGGCCTTGGGCACTACTGGAAGTTTTCACCATGTCTTCATGTCTGAGTAGAGCAGCTCATTTCGTTGGTGGAATATTGCATCTCCAGGGTGGTGCCAGGTCTCTTATGTCATGGAACATGCTTCAGGGAGGCACTGCAGCCTTGGTTATAGGAAATGGGCAGTATCTCACTCGCCTGTGTCTTGCCTAAACTGCAGGGAACATTGCCTCCACTTTGAGTTAACTCCTATTTTTCCGTGAGCTTTTACTTATTTATATTTTTTGCTTTTTACCTTGCCTAGAAATGGCTGCATGTCTTTTCCCGAAGGTGAAATTGTAGAGAATGGCAGCTGAGTGCCCCCACTCCCTCAACTCCCTCCCATTCTGCAGGTCAGCACACTGAGGCTCCCAGATGGAGTGGGAGGAGACAGATGTTTATTGAGTACAGCTACATCCCAGCCACAGTTAGGAGACTTATGTTCAGTCTTCACAATAACTCTGAGTGGTAGGTTTTACTCATGAGGGACCAAAGCATGGAGCGAATCACCACCCAGCCAGCAGGTGCAGGCAGAGTGACCACCCAGGCTTCCCTCCTGCCACACTGTGTGCTTCCAACATGGACCTGAACCGTTAGCCTTGTGTCTGCCTCCTGTTCAACCCTGTGAGCAAGCCTGGATCAATCTGCCTTCCCGTCCCTTTGTCCATCTGTCCCTGATTGCATAAGTTGATTGTACTAATTACAAAACATTGGAAAACAGAAAAGTATAATTTTGAAAAGAAAGGTTAGCCATAATCTCACGGCCTACAAATATCTACTATTAATAATTTGGTGTATATTTTTTGGTCTTTGCCTCATGTCTTCATATTTCCTCTGTCTGTAAACAAACTCAGGATCTTACTGTTTTATGTGATCTTTTTTCCCACTCAACTTTCTTTTATGAGCGTTTTCCCATGTCTGTGAAAGCATTTCATAGCCACCATTTTTACTGGTTTCATAACATTCATTGTGCAGACGTACTTCAAAGATTTTTTTCGGAGGGATACGTTAAACACATGGAAGACTTGAAATAATATAGCTCTAAAAGTATTGTTAGGAAAATAATCACCTTCCACTGCTGAGAGTTGACATTCACAATAATCTGAAATACATGGAATGAAGGGCTCCCATCCTCACTAAGATTGCAGATGAGTCGATTAGTAGTTGTGTTGGGCTCACACAACTGGGGAAGGGAGAAAACCACAATCATCACACACAGGCCAGGAATTGGCGGTCACAGTGAGATCCAGGGGAGCTGTTAGTGTCACGCAGACAGCAGGGGCAGAGGTCGGCATCTTTCCATGGCTTATACTTGGAAAAGAAGAGAGTATTTAAGTCCAAACAGGGAGGAGGGTTGGCATATTCTAGAAGGGGGCAGATTCAGGGAACTAAATTGGTAGAGAAACATGTTAAGGGGAGAGAGATTGTGGGAAGGTGGAAATTAATTTCTGTCGAAAAACTTGTATTGAGTCATTTATGCAGACAAGGCATTTGAAGGGGCCAAGAAAAATGTTAAGCGGTTAGAAGACAAGAAAGCAAAGGGAGATTGAAGAGGGAGGAGGTGTTTCTGAGGAGCTCAACTGATGGTCTCTGGCCATCTTGCCCCTGGCCATGATAAGTTCCACTGCACATCGCCCAGGGCCACCTCCCTTGACACCTTAGCCAGTCACCAGGAGCGTGGGGATACTATGTTAGACTCTGGAGGAGAAAAGCATGGGGTGGGGGGCTCCCCTTGGTCTCTAGTAGGGCTCTCTAATGGCCTTGGAGTTACAACTGAGGAGTTGAGTGAGTTTGAGTTACCTGTGAACTGATTGAATAGTCCCCACCCGGCCATATTCTGTTCTCAAGCATGTTCTTGTCCCTGAGAGAGCTGGGCCTGCCACCTGTAGCTGGTTACTGAGCCCTCCTGTGCCAGCAGTGCACACTGAGATTCCAGATGGGTGCAGGAGGTGGGTGCAGAGGGGCTTGGCAGAGCCCCCACAAGAGCAATGGGAAGCCCAGCCTTGTGTTAACCTGTGAGCGACATGTTCACCTGTGAGCGACACTAAGCCAATTCATTGAAAGCCCAGGACAATACTTGGAAAGTGCTCCTATTTGGTCTTCATCCAAGTAGGATCTGATTTGGTATCTCTACTTCAGTTTACATTACATTGGCACCTTTCATGAACATTTCATAAGCAGAGCCAAAGGGAGGCCTTTTAGGAGTTAGGGAGTGAATTATTTGTTTAGAACATATTACAGTGAGCCAAAAAAAAAAAAAAAAAAAAAAAAAGACAGCAAAACAGATTCAAGTCTGTTGGCATCTGTGAGATGTGACTCACCTGCTTGGGGTCCCTCTCTGTGGTTACTCTGTGTCTCCCGCCTAAGCAGGGAGGACACTTTGCGTACATCCTCCTGAGACATCTGTGCTCACAGGGAAGGGCCCTTTCAGCCTTGTCGTCTGTTATCTGGCTTTAATCCTTGGAGAGATACTGATCTCCTTGGGTTCTCTGTGTTTTAGGCAATAAGCTACATGCACACAGTTTAAATTTAAGTTACTGCATGGGTGTTTTAAATTCCCAGGGCTACCATAACAAATTAGTATAAACTTGATTGTTTAAAACAAAAGAAATTTATTCTCTTACAGTTCTGCAGGCCAGAAGTCCAAAGTCAGGATGTCATCATAGCCATGCTCCCCATGAAGGCTCTAGGGAAGAATGCTTCCTGGCCTTTGCCAGTTCCTTGTGGCCACAGACATTCCCTGGTTGTGGCTGCTTCACTCCTGTTTGGGCCTCCATCATCATATGGCCACTTTCTCTCTGTCTTCTCTCCTGTGCTCATAAGGACACTAGTTATCTTAGTCTGCTCAGTTGCCATAACAAAATACTATAGACTGGGTGGCTTAAACAACATAAATGTATTTTCCTACAGTCCTAGAGGCTGGAAGTCTGAGGTCAGGGCACCAGCATGGCTAAGTTCTGGTAAGAGCTCTTCTGGCCCGCAGACGGCGCCTTCTTGCTGTGTCCTTGAATAGTCTTTCCTCGGTGCATGCACCTGGAGAGAGATCTCTCTTCTTCTTCTTATAAGACACCAATCTTACTGGATTAGGGTCTCACTCAGCCTTATGACCTCATTTAACTTTAATTACCTCCTAAAAGTCCTACCTCCAAATGTAGTCACATCGTGGGTTATGAATTCAGCATATTAATTTGGAGGGGGACCAATTCAGTTCATAGCACCAGCCACTGGATTTAGGGCCCACCCCAATCCAGCAAGACCTCCTCTTTGCTAATTACGTCTGCAAAGTTGCTATTTCCAAATAATCACATTCTGAGGTTCCAGGTGGACATGCATTTTGGAGGGACACTATTCAGCCACTACAAGGGGTTACAGTGAAAATAAACACCTCTTCCCCCCGGGATTCCCATAAGGAACCACACTACCAGCTTCTTATGAATTCTTCCACAGATATTTTATGCAGATATAAACAGATATGTATGTCAAAATAAAATATGTTTTCTGCATACAATGACATGGACAGTAACATTGTTCTGTACTCTTAACAATTTTTCTTGGATCAACTTCCACCTGTAGCACTGCCTATGCCTTTTCAATAGGTGCATAATATCTTATAGTATGGATGTTACTATCATGTGTTTAATGATGGACATTTAGTTTATTTTGAGCAAATAAATTTAAACAACCCCTTCCCTGTTTGTCCCTTGTCATTCCCCAGATGCTTCCCTGCAGGTGGACACAGTGGTCCCCAATGCCACGGTCTCTGAGAAGGCAGCTTTCCAGCTGGACTGTAGCATCGTGTCCCGCTCCAGCCAGGACTCCCGCTTCGCTGTGGCCTGGTATTCCCTGAGGACTAAAGCTGGGGGGAAAAGGAGCAGCCCTGGCCTGGAAGAACAGGAAGAGGAAAGGGAGGAGGAGGAGGAGGAGGACGACGACGACGACGACGACCCAACAGAGCGGACGGCCCTGCTGAGCGTGGGCCCAGATGCTGTCTTTGGCCCAGAGGGCAGTCCTTGGGAGGGCAGGCTTCGCTTCCAGAGGCTCTCCCCGGTGCTCTACCGGCTCACAGTGCTGCAGGCAAGCCCCCAAGATACAGGCAATTACTCCTGCCATGTGGAGGAGTGGCTGCCCAGCCCTCAGAAGGAATGGTACCGGCTGACGGAGGAGGAGTCAGCCCCCATCGGCATCCGTGTTCTAGATACAAGTGAGTTTCCCAAGTACAGAGGGAGGATGTCACTGTTGGTTCCAACTGTGTCTGGAAGATAAATTTGAGCTTGATTATGGGTTAATAAACAGTTTTCTTAACTGTCATGGGCATTTATTAGTAGGATTTGAGATATGGTGGGATTGGACATATTAGTTCATATAATTGACCCTTGATTACCCATGCAAAAATAGGGATAGAAATTAAAGTGATAACATACCATATAATCTTTATAATAAACTCGATGTTCTACCAGATTCAATTTTAGTAATATTTCATTATACTAGTATATTGTTAGGTGTTACTTTGTTATTTTTTAGAATATTGGAACTAGTCTTTAGCGAATTAGCAAGCGTTTCAGACTCACAAGGGAAAGGGAAAAAAATGAAGGCTGACTACCTCACTGTCATTATTTCTTTTTGTCCAGTTTCTGCGTTATTGTTATTTTGGAGGGTGCCTTGGAGGTTGAGGTGGATCTTGTATGGTTGGGAGGACCAGCCTAGAAGGGCTGTGATATTAGAGGAGAGCTGAGAGGGGATGGATTTGCAGCTGCCCAGAATGCAGTTTCCATGATCCTGAGGGACTTCCACTATGAACAGAGACTGGGGGAAGTATTGCTGGCCTGAATTATTTGTTGTAACAATGCACTCTTGGTTGGCTTGCCATCAAAATGTGGACTACATTAGACTAAAAATGGTGTTATAGTAGAATTAGCCTAGAATACAGAAAGAAAAAAAAGATTGCTGGAATTTTTAACTTCTTTTTAGTCAAAACATTTTTCAACATCATCTTGATTTGAGTTTTTAAAGTTTGGGCCACTATTTTTTTGCCTTGATCACCCCGTGCTCACATTGTGTTAGAACCATATGAAATTGGAGTTTTGCAGGTCAACAATGGTGGACTATCAGCAGTTTCATACACTTTGGAAATTGAATAACAGGCAGATTAAATGTTCTTAATAATACTGATGAGCAACAGCTATTCAGTAAAAGGGAAAGCAGGCTGCATCATACATAGACCACCCTGTGATCCACTGAATAACCCACTGCCTCAAAGCGAAAACAAAGCAGTCTAGGCAACATTTTACCTGTCCATTGTGGATGTCCCTAATTATTAAGCTTCATCGAGCACAGAGGTCACCCAGCAGCCTTATTTTACAGAGAAAACAGGGGCTCCCAGAGGCTAGGCTCCTGCCAAGGTCTAATGACTTATAGAGCAGCCCTCAACCTGTCTTGGGGCGCCTGGTTTATTCTCTTCCATATCCAGCTATAACTAATACTGTGTTCTTTGTGGCCACGGACACACTGTGGACGTTTGTAAGTGGTCCATAATGACATTTAATTGATAACATTAATCAGGTAAGTGTCATTTCTGGTAAAACTGCTCTCAGAAGCTGGCAGGAAGGGATTGTGTCATAATCCCAGAGAAGGAAGTCTGTAGCAGAACTAAGTGCAAAGGGGCATGTAAAATCCAACCATGCAGGAGGCTCCGACTGAACCAGAGCAGCTTCTTCACCATTCTAGATGCAGTTGAGTTCACAATCAATAAATTATGTTTCATTATGTGGCTTTCCAAGCAGCAATAATGGCTCTCAATGGAAAACAGAAGCATTGCTTTGTTGGAACATACAGCCGTAAATTAGGAGAGGTGTTGCGAGAAAAAGAATATAAGGGTCATCTTCCACCATTAATGGTAGCAGGGGAAAGACAAGGTGGTGTGGGAGTGTCACCGAGGAGCTTCCACTGGGTCAGGTGAGGTCTTCAAAAGGAAATGTGAGCAGTCCAGGTTCTCAGCCCTCATTGTCTTGTCTCTCTCATGATTCTTTTCAGGTCCCACCCTCCAGTCCATCATCTGCTCCAACGACGCACTCTTCTACTTCGTCTTCTTCTACCCTTTCCCCATCTTTGGCATTCTTATCATCACCATCCTTCTGGTGCGTTTCAAGAGCCGGAACTCCAGCAAGAACTCTGATGGGAAGAATGGGGTGCCTCTGCTGTGGATCAAAGAGCCACACCTCAACTACTCCCCTACTTGCCTGGAGCCCCCTGTTCTCAGTATCCATCCAGGGGCCATAGACTAAGCGGGTGATGCCCCAGCGGATGTTGGCCACGGAGGAGCTGAGGCTCTCCCTTTCTCTGTGATTGGACAGTTGACAGCACCCAAACTCTGGGGTGCATGTGTGTGGAAAGTTGTCAGACTTGAAAAGTGTTCCAAGTTCCCAGTCAGTCACAGAGACAGACTGCCTCTCGGTGGCAGTCTTGGTTGGTTAGCTATTTGCGCGCAAATGTTGTGATCCTGCCATTATAGATTTCTTGTTTCTGTTTTTAGTAATGTAGTGAGTAGCTCCAGGTGCCACATCTACTCACAGATTTATCTAGTATTCTCAGATAGATGTTACAGGGCTTCTTATTCTTTGTAATGTACTCTTTTTAAATCCCTTTAGTTTACCCTTTTTGGATTCCTTAATGTGGACGAATTTCTCTTACGTACAACTGACAGCAAAAGGAAGGGCGAACTTTCTAGTGACAAGGAATCTCTTCCAAGACTTTGTTTTTGCACATTTGAAAATGCCACCCATGGATCAAAATATACCCAAACGTTTTTTACTTTCTTAACAAGACTTAAGAATTGTGTGTAGTGTGGGCAAAATTTGTATGTTGTCTTTTCCCTCAGCTGGAGTTATTGGAACCACTTTGTAGTCAAGACGAAAGCACTGAATTTTGCTTCAAAGAACTGTGTATGTACAAGAGAAATCCTGCATAACCCCATTAGGAGTAGATGGTGCCCGGCCTATCTGTCAGGGAGGCAAAAAAGGCTTCATCCCATCCTTGCCAAAAAATAAGAAAACTGTCTTGGAGAATGGGTCAGAAGCCCCAAACGGCACACACTTTCCAAATTAAAGTGGGCAGGGGCTGCTTTTAGCAGCTGCTGACCTGCAGATTTGTCAAAGCCAGTGACTAGAGAAGGAAGGGAGAAAGGCTGGCTGTTGGCTTGCTCTGAGCTGCAAGGATGGTCTCTAACTGATTAACTGTGAGCAGGTGGGCCTGTGTCTTCAGGTGCTTTGCCAAACTCTTAAAAGAAAGTGTCCAGTGAACTTGGAAGTGGGCCCCTGAGCTGAGCACAGGGCCAAAGCAGCCATGGCAGACACCTGACGGAGGGCACGGGGCTGGCTGACACTAAGTTTGGTGGGACAGTGAGGGGTGGGAGGGGGGTTTCCAGGGCCTGGTGTTGGAGAGTGCAGAGAAATATCTACCTCCCTGGAGGTGTGAAGACTAGGTTTTTCTTCTTCCTTCCAATTAGATTTTCCTTAATTATAGTGATGTCTTCCTTATTCATTTTTCTCTCCCTGCCTCTCACTGCCATAAGAATATCAGCCTGGGGGCAGTCCAGACGCAGCCCTTTGTCATCCTTTCTGTTTGCCTAGTCTCAGCAGACTGTGATCACAAGGCATTGTCTGTGGGATTTTTCCTTTCCCTTTCTTGATCTCTCTTGTGGTTCTAGGTTGTTTGGTTGTTCATTGTTATGGTGGCTTTTTATTTTAACGCCCCTTGAGCCCCATGATGGCTGGTGTCACCCTGTTCTTTTACACTGTTGGGCCAGGTGCTGCTTGTCCTTCTTAGGGCATCATCAATTGCAAATATTTCCTTTTGCTCCCTTTATGAAGATGTTCTTATACCCTTGCTTTCCCATATTTTTCTGGCCAAGCATGCCATCTCCTTTACTCTGGGAACTTACATCCTGAATCCCAAGAGGGGGTCACAGTTTGGAAAAAGTCATCAGGGATTCTGGAACTAAGTCTGATAAAAGATTCCAGTGAAGCCCTGTTCTGAGAACGAGCAGACTGCAGGGGAGGCCATGGGATTCCCCAGGCCAGTGTCTGTGCTGATCCTTCAAGGGTCTGCAGGTATGCAGGTGGCCTGGGCTGCTCGGCAGATACTTTGCTGATTCCCAGCTGAGGGGAGCATGGTGGCGATTGCTCAGCCATTTTCTGACAGACACACAGACCTGCCTTTTCTCCCCCAAGTATACCGTACCCTCCTGTGAGACAGTGTGTGCAGGCACCACCACCTTAATCCTGCTGTTGCCTGACATGCTGATTCTCATTTATTATGCTGCATCAACACATTAGAGGTACAGGAGCGGCTCAGTCATGAAAAAAGAAGGTCTTTTGCCCCATTTCTTTATTTCAGAGATGTGGGCTTTCAGTGGGAATTTGCTGACTCCTACTTTATAGGCTGAGTCAATGAGGGAAGATGACTGGCGTTTCCTCTGTCTAAATGGGAGGTTGCCAGAGCGCTGGCTGGGACTAGGATGTGTAACTAAGATTTCAGTTTGAAATCTTAGATTTCAGTTCACGGCGATAAAGAAGTAGGTGCTGCACACAAATATGTAAAGCAATTGTAGGAAATTTGAAAGGAAAAAAAGAAACCGAAGCCAGTATTTTAATAATTGCTTTTTCTGTGTATTTTGTATTGGGCTGGGGGATAGCATCAAAGGTTGAACTTTTTGAGCTTTCTATGAAAAACCCCAGGACCTTCTTTCTTTGGCCATTTCTATGGAAATGCGATGTCAGATGGATGGTAATGGTGCCCTCCAGTGGCTGTGAGACCTCATTGCGCATTGTCTACTGGAGCTTTAGTCTTCTGAGACGGAGGAAAACTGCTGAATACTCTGGATTCATCTATGTCTACAATGTTGCATTTATGAAAAACTACACTGTGCTAGGCGCATTCTAGGACATGAATATGACCACACCCTCTTTCACCGGGTGTTTCTGTAGCAAGTTTTCATATTCTTTTCAAACAATGGTTTCTCTGCGTTAATTATTGAGGAAAAAAAAAGATGGGGTAAGAAAACTACCCATGCATGATGTAGAGAGCTGTTGATTTGTTTCTGTTTTTTTAAAGGAAAACTATTTGTAAGATGTTGCACTAAAACATTTTATATACACTTCAGAGACCTGTAGTAAATTATGTTGAAAATACGGCTGTTTACATTTACTGCAGTCTTCTATCCTTCTTTCCCCTTACTAACCAGCCCCCTTCCTCTGTGGAACTGTGCTGTGGGAGCCTACAGTTCTGCCCTTGGCATTGGCCTGCTAGGCTCAAGGTCTGTGAATTGCAGTCTTTATTATTACACCCCATAACCTTCAAATGATAAAAACACCTCTTCCTCAAGACACTTCACTGCCATCTGCTGCAACATATAGTAAATAGACACCTCCACCCCGATGATCAAGGCTATGCTACCTCTAGAGCTGTGCAACACACAACACACCTAGCCCCTGAAAGCCAGGTTCAGAATGTAGATCTTATAACCTGTAGCGTTTTTGTTGGGGGGTGGGGTGGGGGTAGAAGCCGGATGAGAAGGAGAGCAGGAACACAGGATGGCCTTCTCTAGGGCCTCTGCGGCAAGTCCACACCATCCTTTTCCAACTATGAAGTGCTGCCCTGGCCATGAAATGCAGCGGGGATTTCCCAGAATGGTGATAAAAGCAGGAGTTGTGCATTCTAGTTAAGTGAGACTGCACAGCGCACTGGTCTCTGTTTCCTCTTCCAGTGTTGGGAGGGGTTTACATCTGCAAATTGAGAAGAATGTTAGAATGATTAAAACCATAGCAGTGATACGTGATTAGTCAGAACCCATCTATAATTCTTTAAAATTCATAGAATATGCAAAAAGGAACTAGATAGTAAGAAGCAGAGGGAGACACTTCTTTTTTTCTTCTTTTTCTAAATCCAAGACTTTCAAAAGCTTTCGTGTGTGCTTTCCTCTGCTCCCAGAACCATTGGCTGCATCCTTATCAACTCCTTGCAGCTGCTGGCTTGGCCAGGAGTTGAAAATGTGACTGCCTCTCCCTTGGGTACCCATAATGGTTCCATGTTAAGTCTTATGTATAATTTTTCCTAATTTTTTTCTAATGTTCTTTTTCTGCCAGGGTATGTTTTAAAAAGGGAAATAGAGTATTATGGAATAAGATTACCCTTCTATGTCCTTCGTGCAAATCCAACCAGTATTTATATAAATGAATGTATGTTCCCTCATGAGGCATGCAATGAAAATGACAATTTGCATTTATGCAGGATTGAGCAGTGTTTTGCTCACTACATTCTGGGATTCCTAAGCTTTGTGGGAGTAGTTCCAAAGGTTTGGCAGAAACGAGAGTCAAGACACCAGAGAGTGGCATGCTAGGAAGAACAGCCCCGGCCTCTTCAGCTGCCCTCTTTTCTTACTTTCTCATCCATGATTATCTACAGTGACAAGAAGATAAAACTGGACCTTGCAATACTAGTCACAGCATGAAAAATACATCCACCCCTCCTTTTGATAGCAGGTTCTCAGTATGTAAAGGGAATCTTTTTGGCTGCCTGCTTAACGCATTGCAGGTCCAGCATTCCTGAGCTGCTTTTGATTCATAAAATTAACCAGGCATTTGAGGGCTTCTAAAAGTGCTTGATGGACAGCATTTCTCTCAATGAAAGAGCAGGCACTGCTCCTTGGTCAAAGGAGAGTCCAACCAAGGAAGCCTAATGAGTTATTCCTCACCCAATACCTGGAGACCATGACCTGGGGGTGAGGGGCTTCCCCAGCCCCATGTGACTGGGCTGTTCTTTCCTCAGCCCTGCTCTTAAGGGGCTTAACAGCTCTTGCTGGCAGTCCAAATGGCTGCATAGCTGTCAGTCCAAAAGTCCCATTATCATATCCCGTTCCTGTATGAAGGGATAAGAGTAGAGGCATTGGACATGGCCTCAGCTGGACTCCAAGTTCTGCCCTTTACTGTGTGCCCTGAGTAATTTACCTTCCCCAGGCATCAGTTTCCTCATTTGCAAAAACAACAGCAGCAGTAAGACTAAGTTAATCCAAGCAATGCACTTCACACAGGGCCTGCTCAATAGATGTTTGCTGTCATATCACTTCCCAGCTCAAAAACTTTCTGTGGCTCCCCAGTGTCTGAAGGTCTAACCCCATCCTGCCTTTCTAAGTTGGCCTGAGTTCCTACCAGCCCAGGGCAGAGAACACTTGATTTCCTCATATTTTATGTTACACACTGCCCCTGCCTTGTGTTCCCAGTATCTACAGATGGTAGGGAATATCTCGAGATAGCAGGTTTGTGGTAGAGGGCATTGGTCCCAGAAGTTTCACTGATAGAGATACCTTTTAAGATTTTATGGCTAACTTAAGAAATAATTCATGTCTCTTTGCAATATGGTTCAAGTGTCTTGAGTGACTTCGAGTCCCCACCTGGGGATAATGGAGGTGAAGCAGCAAGAAAGCACATTCCCACTCAGTTTCACAACCTGCACCATGTATGTGTTGGTGGTTATTTGGGCAGCAGGGAGTCCTGTTCATGGAAATGGATTCCTGCTCACATAATAACTAAGAGTTCTGTGAACTCCCTCAGCTGGGCAGGGGCAACTCTGGTGCTTCTGTCTGCAAGAAAGGGGACAGACAGGGAGGCTGATGTGAGGAGCTGGTTCTGGGAATAGGGTCATTTGTTCTGGGATATAGGGATGTGAGGGGAGGGCCAGCTCAATCCAGACTGATGAAGAGCGGGGAGAGTGATGAGTGCCTGCCTCAGCTTGGGCTGGATGGATGTGGGGAGGCTGGGCAGTGAGGGAGATGTGGATCTGACATCTCAGCCTGAGGGAAAGTCCCGGTTGAGATGGGGGAAGACAGAAAAAGAGGAATCTGAGAAGGGAGAAACCAAAGGCTGGAAATCCCAGCTCCGGGGATAAGGGAGTATGGGGACGGGGGAGGCCTGCCTCAGGTAACCCTACGCCTAACAGTTGTCTAAAATGCTCCCTTTCCTTGTCATGTTTGAGGAAAAGTGGTTCAAAGAGGCCGTCTGATGCGGGATCACACAGCGCTGAAGGGATGAGGGGCCCCGGGTGCTCCCGCCCGTCCTGCTGCCTCCTCCGGTGGCTCTCTGGGAGCCACAGCCCCGTCTAGCCACGGAGGGGCCTACAGCACGCCCCAAACGCTAAGGGGAAGCGCGGGAGGTGCGGTAGGAAGGCAGAGAAACCTGGTTTTTAAAACCAAGCCATTTTCAAGGAAAGAATTTCTTACTTTAAAACCTTGGTTTTTAAAACCAAGCCATTTTCAAGGAAAGAATTTCTTACTTAAAAATAGCGTATGGAATGGCGGCGGAATGACGGGAGGGACCGAGCTGGGGGACTGGACGGCGCCCCGGGGACACAGGAAGGAGGCGCGCAGAGCCGAGGCCAGAGGCGCGCCCGGGGAGTGGAAGCGCGAAGACAAACGCGGCGCCGCGGAGGGTGGGGGAGGAAGGGCCGGGGCGGGCCGCCGGCTGCCAGCCCAGGGCGGGGCGGAGCCCTACTTCTGGCCGACCGCGTAGGCGGTGCTTGAACTTAGGGCTGCTTGTGGCTGGGCACTCGCGCAGAGGCCGGCCCGACGAGCCATGGTTGCTGGGAGCGACGCGGGGCGGGCCCTGGGGGTCCTCAGCGTGGTCTGCCTGCTGCACTGCTTTGGTGAGTGAAGCCTGCCCCAGGGGCCCCGCGCCGGCCGGCGGGTACTGGGCAGCACCCAGGCTGGGTGGACGCGCCGGGCTCGAGGCGGTTGCCGATCAGAGACGGGTGGGGACGGGTCGCTGTGGGCCGGGAACAACTCAGCCGTGGGAGCCTTTTCAGGAAGAGAAAGTTGTTATTTCATCGCCAGTGTCCCTCATGGAGTCAGCAAGGAACTGTGTGGCCTTAGGGAAGGACGGGCTCCGGCCCGCTAGCCTCTCCTGCGGGGCCTGCGCCCCCCCGCCGGCCCCCTCCCGAGCTCCAGTGACCAAGTTCCTTCCTGGGCTTCCCCAGTAACGTCGCTGAGCGCTTCAGCGGACTGCAAAATTTTTCCCAGCCGTGAACGCGCCCGGGACGGGGAGCGGGCGCGGATGCCACCTGCTCGAGGGCGACGCCTGCTGCCCTCCCCGCGCGGTGCCGTCCCCGCCCGCGCGGCGTCCGCCGTATCAGCAGAGAGGACTTTTCAGAATCGCCCCACAGCGAGGAGCGGGTAGGCAACTAGGAAGCCCAGTCGGCAGCGGCCTCACGTTGGGATTCCTAAGTGGTGCGACTCCTGCTCCTTTTTCCTCCCCTCAAATCCTAAAAACTAGTATCAGAACTGGTTCCATCCTCTCCGTGTGTTGTCAGCCAAGTCGTCACAACAACCTCAGGAAATAGGTCCCCTTCTTCCCATTTTGCCTCCCCATCCTCCTTCACCCTCCACACATTGGCCCCAGTCAGGCCATAGCAAAACCCCGGGAGTACAGCAGTAACCTCCCAGCGAGTTCAACTGTACTTGAGGGGTTCTCATGGCTGGCTCCTGCACCCCACTGCCAGCCCTCCAGCCCGTCCGTCCGTTTGCTCAGCGTCCGCTGCCTGCCCGGGAGGTGCGCGTGTGCATCTATGGAAGACAGCCAAGGGGGAGGGGTTGAGATAGACTCAAAAGTACCCGCACGATCAGATAAGTCAGTGTTGTAAGAGGCCTGGGCTGGGCGTGGTGGCTTACACCTGTCATCCTAGCACTTTGGGAGGCTGAGGCAGGTGGATCACTTGAGGCCAGGAATCGGAGACCAGCAGGGCCAACACGGTGAAAGATCGGCTCTACAAAAAATACAAAAATTAGCTGAGCGTGGTGGCGCATACCTATAGTCCCAGCTACTCGGAAGGCTGAGGTGGGAGAATCACCTGAGTCCCGGAGGCAGAGGATGCAGTGAGCTGTGATTGTGCCACTGAACTCCAGCCTGGGTGACAGAATATGACCTGTCTCAAAAAAAAAAAAAAAAAAAAAAGGTGAGCTGTGAGGGTACAGAGGGAAGAAGAAGGCAGTCTCTTTTGTGAAATCAAGTGTCTTTTGTGAAGCAGTCTTCATGGGAGGGAGGATATTTGAGCCCAGCCTTCAAGGACTGGTGATGTGTGGACATGTGATAATGTGGGAAAAGATTGCTGAGTGTCCCCTTAGGGAGTCTGGATTCTCTGAGCTGAGAGAGCTTCTCCTGGGCCTTACAGGATCAGGACCATGCGCCTGGGAAGAAGAATCTGTTAGCAACAAAGAGGAAGGCTGCAGTCAGGAGGAATTGGAGGCAGGGAGGCCAGAAGGCCAGGGTGGACTACCATCACAGGGCCCAAATAGCTCTGGGGAGTTCATGTGCGGGTGGCTGGGGAAAAGAAGAGATACAAACAGGGATTAATTGAATGGATGGGGTAACTCTCCTCCAGGCAAGCTGGTCCCTCATTCCCTGGCACCTTGGGTCACTGCTGCCTGTACCTGTGTTCTCCCTTCCACTGCAAACCCAGTTTGCCCAAGCTCCACCTCCAACAGATTATTTGAACTGTCCCTTCCTGGTGATCTCTCTCACCTAATTCATGTATTCATTCAGAAGTCATTTGATTCAGCAAACATGTATTTATAAACTGCTCTGCATAGGCCTTAAACTAAAGACAAGACTGAATGGGTATATCCCCTTTTGGGGACCCAAGCCTGCCTCATTAGGGAAGCTGCAAATGCAGTGATTAACAGCATCAGCTCTGGGGTCAGATGCCTAGCTTTGGATCCTGGCCCCACTCCTCACCTGAGTCATGAACTTGTGTGAGTTCCCTAACTTCTCTTCACTTCAGTACCTTCACTTTTGAAGAGAGTACCACTCACATGAGGGAAAGGAGAATAATAAACCCACTTCATAGAATTACTGGGAACATCAGTCATGCAATAAATATTTACTGAGTGTCAATTATATGTTAAGCACTGCACAATGGACGGGGGATACAGCAAGCTATGCACAGTTCCCTGCCTTTGTGAAGCTCACCTTATAGTGAGGGAGAGAGACAGTAAGTAAATGAGTAAAAACATGGATGCTGGATGGTGATAAAGTAAACATTTACTAGTACAGAGATGAGTAAAGCAAAGAAAGGGGTGATGGAAGTCGTTAATACTTCAGTTTAGGGTTTTTTTTGAAATTTTAGAACAATTAAAATCTTTAGGACAGTTGCAAAATTAGTACAGTGAACATTTGCGTACTTTCTCCTTGAATCACCAGTTAACTGTCACATTAGTTTTCTTTGTTATTTTTGCCATCTGTTATTTTTGCCAAACCATTTGAGAGTTTCAGATCTCATGACACCTCACCTGTAATTCTTTATCATATGTCTCATAAGAACAAGAGCATTCTCCAACAAGTCACAGAATCATCATAATCTGGAAATGTGGCATTGATACAATACTGTTTCCTGGTAGAGAACCCAGAAGCCAGTCCTGCACCACATACTTCATTTGATAATCATGCCTTTTTAACCCCCTTTAACCTAAAACTGTTGCTTTTTTTTTTTTTTTTTTTTGGTACTTTAAGACATCATCATTTTTGAAGTGTCTGGGCTAGTTGCTTTACCGAATGTCCCTTTGGATGTGGATTGCCTGCTTGTTTCCTCATGATCAGATTCTGGTTGTAACTCTTTGTAGCAGGAATACTTCATAGCTATGTTGGGTCCTTCTCAGTGTGTCACATCAGGAAGATGTGGTCTGTTTGTCACATTATTGGAGATGTTAACTTTGACATTTGGTTAAAGTGAAGTTTACCAGATTTCTCCATTGTAGAGGCACCATTTTACCTTTGTAAGTAATAAATGATGTGTTAAGTGATGTTTTGAGGTTGAGTGAATATCCTGTTCTCCAGCCATTGTTCATTCAGTGGTTTTAGTATCCTATGGTGATTCTTCCCAGAATCCATTATCACTAAAATATTTTATTTTATTTTTTGAGACAGGGTCTCACTGTGTCACCCAGGCTGGAGTACAGGGGTGCTATCACAGCTAACTCCAGCCTCGACCTCTGAGGCTCAAGCAATTCTGCCACCTCAGCCTTCTGAGTAGCCAGGACTACAGGTGCATGCCACCATGCTTGGCTAATTTTTTTTTAGTTTTTGTAGAAACAGGGTTTCCCTATGTTGCCCAGACTGGTCTTAAACTCCTGGGCTCAAGTGATCCTCCCTCCTTGGCCTACCGAAGTGTTGGGATTACAGGCATGAACCACCACATCCAGCCACTAAAATATTTTCAAATGGTAATTTTCTTCCCCCACCCTTGTCCCTTTCTTCTCCCTCCCTCCCTTCCTTCCATCCTTCCTCTCTCCCCTCCCCTCCCTCCCTCCCCTCCCCTCCCTTTCCCTCCCCTCCCCCTCCCTTCCTGTCCCTTCCCTTCCCTTCCCTTCCCTTCCCTTCTTTCCTTCTTTGTTTCATTGCCTTTTCTCTTTTCTTTTGAGACACAGTCTCACTCTGTTGCCCAGGCTAGAGTATAGTGACACAATTATGGCTCACTGCAGCCTTGATCTCCCAGACTCAAGCGATCCTCCCACCTCAGTTTCCAAATAGCTGGGACTACAGGGACATGCCTTCACGTCCACCTAATTTTTTTGTATTTTTTATAGAGACGGGGTTTTGCCATGTTGCCCAGGCTGGTCTTGAACTCCTGGGCTCAAGCAATCCTCCCAAGTCAGTTTCCCAAAGTGTCGGGATTATAGGCATGAGCCACCCAGCAATTTTCTCTTCTGTTTCTCTCTATATATATATTTATTAGTTTACATTGTTCAGTAATGGATAGCTTTTGCACACACATCCTCCCTTTTTTTCTTTTATTTTAGAAGGTTATGTGGACTCATGGATTCTTTTTTAAATATGGCATTCCTGTCATCCATTTTGATGCTCGGCAACCCCACATTTGACAAGTGGGAACACCTTCAAGCTTCAGAGTCCTTTTGCTCTGTTTGTTCCTGTTTGATTTTAAACACTTCCTTACTTTCTGGCACAGAAAGATGTTCTGGACTCATCTTGTAGTGTTCCTGCCTCAGCCTTCGAATCATTAGGTTCCCTGGTTTCTTTTAGTGAGAGATGGTATTTAGAAATCAAGTTCTGGGTGCAAAGTGTGCCCACAGGTACCAGAGTCATTGCTTCTCAGCCTTGTCAGTTTTCAAAGTTAAGAAATAGAGTTTTTACAAAGTCAGGAGTTCACCCTGATACTTCTAACACTAATAATCTTGCTGCTTAGTTCTTCTGCCTCTTCTGCTCTTCCATATTTGCATCTCCTTACTCCCACAGTGAGAACTCTGTTCTTAGTAGCATCAGTATATTTTCCTAATCTACATTAAACCCCAAATCATTTTACAGTTGCTATACCAATCTACTACCAACTACAAACTTACTAAATACAGTTAAAGATTTCTTTACAGTTCCTTTTATTTTTCATTACAGTCTCCAACTTAGCAATGGTTCGACTTAAGATTTTTCAACTCTACAATGAGTTTTTCAAGATATAACTCCATAATAAGAAATATCTGTATATCCCAGTGAATATGCAATACTATATTCAAAAGTTACTTGGATTCTGGCCGGGTGCAGTGACTCATGACTGTAATCCCAGCACTTTGGGAGGCCAAGGCGGGCGGATCACAAGGTCAGGAGATTGAGACCATCCTGGCTAACGCAGTGAAACCCTGTCTCTACTAAAACAAAAAATTAGCTGGGCATGGTGGCACACGCCTGTAATTCCAGCTACCTAGGAGGCTGAGGCAGGAGAATGGCCTGAACCAGGAGGCAGAGACTGCAGTGAGCCAAGATTACAACACTGCACTCCAGCCTGGGTGACGGAGTGAGACTCTGTCTCAAAAAAAAAAAACAAAAAAACAAAACAAAACAAAAAAAAGTTATTTGGATTCTTTTTTTTTTTTCTAACTACCCTTCTTAAACAAGGTAACACTCTATGTATTTTTTTGTATCTCATTTTTGTCACTTAACCATACATCTGGAAAATCATTCCCTATCACTTCATAGAGATCCACCTCATTCTTTTTCACAGCTGTACAGTCCCTCATAGGGTGGCTATATGGTAGTTCATTCAGCTACCCTCTGCTGGTTAGTATTACATAGTGTGGTCAGGGAGGGTCTCTTTAATAGGGTGACAATTGATCATACACTTAAGGAAGTGAGAGATAGGCCACAAGGCTATCTGGGGGAGTGATATTCCAGGTCTACTACTCAGGACCCTGAGATAGGCTTCAAGCGTTTAAGAAACTTCAAGGATACCATTGTGGTGGAGAGTGGTAGAAAATGAAGTTATAAAAGTAGTCAGGGTTGGATCCTGTAGATAAAGTTTTTAGGGCCTTTTAAATATTTTGGCCTTTTTGCTTTCAGTGACTGGAAAGTTTTGAAGGATTTTGAACAGGAGTGAAATTATGATGACTTGGATGTTTAAAAGAATTATTCTGGCTGCTGGATGAATAGTCTGTAGAGGAGAGAAAAGGAAGAGCAGGGAGGTTGGTTAGGCTGCAGGGGCAATGCAGGAAAGGAATCACTGGGGGTGGGAGATATCTGGATGTGTTTTGAAGGTGGAGCTGGCAGGATTTGGTGTGGGCTTGCATTAGTGGAATGACATGTGGATAGGGCCTGGATAGTGCTGGGCAAGTAGCAAGAACTCAAAAGTATGAACTTGGCTGAGAGTGGTGGTGCATGCCTGTAATCCTAGCACTGAGAGGCTGAGGTGGGCAGATCTTTTGAGCCCAGGAGTTCGAGACCATCCTAAGCAACATGCTGAAACCCCATGATATGGTTTGGCTCTGTGTTCCCACCCAAATCTTACGTTGAATTGTAATAATCCCCATATGTCAAGGGCAGGGCTAGGTGGAGATAATTGAATCATAAGGGCAGTTTCCCCCATACTGTTCTCAGATAGTGAATAAGTCTCACAATATTTGATGATTTTATAAATGGGGATTCCCCTGCACAAGCTCTCTCTTGCCTACTGCCATGTAAGATGTGCCTTACTTCTCCTTTGCATTCTGCCATGATTGTGGGGCCTCCCTGGCCAGGTGGAACTGTGAGTTCATTGAACTTCTTTCCTTTATAAATTACCCAGTCTTGGGTATGTCTTTATTAGCAGCATGAGAATGGACTAATATAGTAAATTGGTACTGGGTAGTGGGGCACTGCTGCAAAGATACCTGAAAATGTGGAAGCAACTTTGGAACTGGGTAACAGGCAGGGATTGGAATAGTTTGGAAGACTCAGAAGAAGACAGGAAGATGTGGGAAAGTTTGGAACTTCCTAGAGACTTGTTGAATGGCTTTGACCAAATGCTGCTCATCTCAGATGGAGATGAGGAACAATTGTTGGGAACTGGAATAAAGGTGACTCTTAATATGTTTTAGCAAAGAGACTGGCAGCATTTTGCCTGTGCCCTAAAGATACGTGGAACTTTGAACTTGAGAGAAATTATTTAGGGCATCTGGTGGAAGAAATTTCTAAGCAGCAAAGCATTCAAGAGGTGGCTTGGTTGCTGTTAAAAGCATTCAGTTTTATATGTTCACAAAGATGTGGTTTGGAATTGGAACTTATGTTTAAAAGGATAGCAGGGCATAAAAGTTCAAAAAATTTGCAGCCCAATGATGCAATAGAAAAGAAAAACCCCTTTTCTGAGGAAAAATTCAAGCCAGCTGCAGAAATTTGCATTAAGTAATGAGGAGCCAAATGTTAATCACGAAGACAATGGGGAAAATGTCTCCAGGGCATATCAGAAACCTTCATGGCAGCCCCTCCTATCACAGGCCTGGAGGCCTTGGAGGGAAAAATTGTTTCATGGGCTGGACCCAGGGCCCCCCTGCTCTTTGCAGCCTCCAAACATGGAGCCCTGCATGCCAGCTGTTTTAGCTCCAGCCATGGCTAAAAGGGGCCAACATACCACTCAGGCTGTTGCTTCAGAGGGTAAGCCTTGGTGGCTTACATGTGGTGTTGGGCCTGTGGATGCACAGAAGTCAAGAATTGAGGTTTGAGAACCTCTGCCTAGATTTCAGAGGATGTATGGAAATGCCTGGATGTCCAGGCAGAAGTTTGCTGCAGGAGTGGGACCCTCATGGAGAACCTCTGCTAGGGCAGTGTGGAAGGGAAATGTGGAGTTGGAGCCCCCACACAGAGTCCCCACTGGGGCACCGCCTAGTGGAGCTGTGAGAAGAGGGCCATCATCCACCAGACCCCGGAATGGTAGATCCACCGAGAGCTTGCACCGTGTACCTGGAAAAGCCACAGACACTTAATGCCAGCTCATGAAAGCAGCCAGGAGGATGGCTGTACCCTGCAAAGCCACAGGGGAAGAGCTGCCCAAGGTTGTGGGAGCCCATCTCTTGCGTCACCTGGATGTGAGGCATGGAGTCAAAGGAGATCATTTTGGAACTTTAAGGTTTAAGACTGCCCTATTGGATTTAGGACTTGCATGGGGCCTGTAGCCCTTTTGTTTTGGACAATTTCTCCCATTTGGAATGGATATATTTACTCAGCACCTGTACCCCCATTGTATCTAGGAAGTAACTAACTTGCCTTTGATTTTACAGGCTCATAGGTGGAAGGTACTTGCCTTATCTCCGATGAGACTTTGGATTTAGACTTTTGGATTAATGCTGGAATAAGTTAAGATTTTGAGGGACTGTTGGAAGGGCATTATTGTGTTTTGAAATGTGAGGACATGAGATTTGGGAGGGGCCGGGGTGGAATGATATGGTTTGGCTGTGTCCCCACCCAAATCTCACCTTGAATTGTAATAATCCCCGTGTGTCAAGGGCAGGGCCAGGTGGAGATAATTGAATCATGAGGGCAGTTTCCTCTATACTGTTCTTGTGATAGTGAATAAGTCTCACAAGATCTGATGGTTTCATAAAGGGGAGTTCCCCTGCACACGCTCTCTCTTGCCTGCCACCATTAAGACATGACTTTGCTTCTCCTTTGCCTTCTGCCATGATTGTGAGGTTTCCCTGGCCATGTGGAACTGTGAGTCCATTGAGCCTCTTTCCTTGATAAATTACCCAGTCTCATGTATGTCATTATTAGCAGTGCGAGAATGGACTAATACACCCCATCTCTACAAAAAGTTAGCCAGGTGTGGTGGTGCACGCCTGTAGTCCCAGCTACTCAGGAGGCTGAGATGAGCCTGGCAATTGCTTGAGTCTGGGAATTTGAGGCTGCAGTGAGCCATGATGACACAACTGCATTCCAGCCTGGGTAACAGAGCAAAAAAATAAAAAATAAAAAGGTAGGAACTATTTTATTATTAACAGAGTCTGTCTTATTCTGCTGTTGTTGACATTTTACAGATCCTTTATTGCCAACTATCTGCATAACTAGATTTTAAGTTCCTTGTATGCAGAAGTCATGTATTATTTTTTAAAATTTTCCTTATATTGATCTGTTTTTTTTTAATAGTAAAGATTGTTGAATCTGAACATTAGATGACAATGTATTTGTCCAGCATTTCTCCATTTGAAATTATCTCACATTATTATGTGAGACTTGTTCATGTGCTTTGCTGGAGTTGAGACTTAGACAGTCTGTGTTTTTTTATTTAGCAAAGATAATCCAAGTTAAAATAGTGTTGTGTGTTCCTATAGGAAAACTAGGCCCAGTGTTATAACAGAGTGTAAGTAATAATAGCCACTAGGAGGTAAGTACCTGCTCTGTGCCAGGAGCTATGCTTCAGATTTGAGATGTTTTTATTTAATTGTCACACTGATTTTATTACATAGGGAACATTTAATAGGAGAACAAAGCTTAGGTAGGTTCAGTAATGTGTCCAAGTTCACACAGCAAATAAGTGGCAGAGTGAACTTGAACTTTGATTCTCTCTGAATCAGAACCTATTCCTTTATATGCTCTGTTGTATCCCTAGCCTGAGATCCACTAAGCAACTTTTTGAAGATGAGTACTACTGATTTCTTATATCCAACATGTATACATTGTCCAATGAAATTCTGCTAAAACATGGGAAATATAGGTCAGCACAATTACCAGTCATGCAAAATTGTATTTAATATCATAATTTGTAATGGTGAGGGGTGCTTCTTTGGGACATAGAATTTACAATGGCAATTTATTGACATATTTATTATTAACATTATTATATTTACATTCTCTAGGTACCCACATTTCACTCCTAGACACTTTTGCATAATCTCAATAACATCATAACATCTATAAATATTAACACTAATCCTGTAACATCACCTAACTTTTACCCGTATTCAGATTTCCCCACTTGTCACAAGAGTGTCTTTTGTTAAAAAACCCGGATCTAATCAAGTTTCACTCATTGTATTCGTTGCTATGTTTTTTTGTTTTAATTTTGATGGGCATCTTTCAGAAGTTTTAAAATAGTCTTAGAACCTCTTTTTAAGAACCAGATTTGAATAATTTATTTTATTGACCTCCTTGTCACTCTAACATTTCTTTAGTAAATACAGGCTTTGAGGGTAGGTATTGGTTTCTCTGTTTAAAAGTAGAAACTTTGCATAAATCAGCCCTTATATGTGTAAGTTTTCTGCCTTTTGGTTTCTTCTCATGCTGTTTCTGCACAAGTGCCTAAGCTTTTTTGAAGCTTTACTTGAGGGGTGACCAGAAGGTTTTACTTAAGGACACAGACCCTTAAATTCTGCAATGACAAATCTCAACTTCCATCTCAGGGTTGTAAGTGAAACCAGGATGCAGCCGTTTCTCTTTTCTCAGATAAGTTCAGGTTTGAATATAAAGTGTGACTATAAGATACAGAGACTGTCCCTAGAAAAGGAGGGGAAAACATTTTAGCAGTTCCTCTTTGGAGATAACTTTCAGTGCCTGCCCATCAGCCTCCAAGGAAAATGCTTTTTGGTTACTTTATAGGTTCTAGTGAACTTTGCTTACTTTACAATGTTCCCCAAAATGTCTGTTGAGATTAGTGCCTGAATTTCCACTGGGCTGACCAGTCTGTAGTTTCTTGAACATTTTCTTCCTATGCCAGTTAAAAATTAGAAGAAAATTGAAGTTTAACATACACATTCAGAAAAAAATAAAAAATCAGATTAATAAGAAACTAATGAGGCTGTGCCATTGTAAACTACTTGCAATAGAGTTTCCCAACGATGAACTGAGTATCTAGAAAATAACAAGGATTCTCAAGGAATTTTAGTGAAATGATCAGTACTGTATTGAAATACCTTGAATCAGACTTTGGAGAATAGATTTAAAAACACTCACAGCCTTAACCGATCTAGTAAGAACCTTATTCCCTAAAGCATACTGTGGATCTCAGCTGTATCCTATCTAAGGTGAGAACAGTCAAAGACAAATGTGGCCTTTGAGAAAGGTGGGATGTGAGTGTCTTGAAACAACAGGCTAAAGAAGTGCTCTCAAATAGAAGTATAATATGGAACATGTGAAATTAATTTTAATAATATATTTTAGTTAACCTAATATATCCATAATATTTTCATTTCGACATGTATTAGGTTGGTGCAAAAGTTATTGTGGTTTTTGCTATTTTTTTTTAATGGCAAAAACCGGCAATTACTTTTGCACTAACCTAGTAGTTACTACAAAAAAATATTAACAAGAGATTTTATGTTCCACTTTTTAATACCAGGTCTTCAGATTCTGGTGTGTATTTGATACTCAGAACACATCTCCATTTGAACTAACCATATTTCAGGTTCTCACTAGCCACTTGTAGCTGGTAGCTACTTTGATGGATTGCATAGGTCTAAAGGGAAACATCTTGAGAAAGAAGAAATAGGTTAAGTGCAAGAACAAGAATTAAAAAGGAAACTATTTTAGCATCATATTAGAAGGAAAGTACAGAAAGAAGTTGATTTAGAGAACCAACATCTTAATTCTTGATGAACTTATCGAGGAGGCAGATTGACAGCTGAGAGCAAGGTCCGGGAACCTTGCTCTGGCCTTGGGGACCGAGGGTTTGTAACCGTTGGGAGACAGGTGGCTGCAGTTTCAGTATGAAGTAGATGAGGGCAGGGAAACTGGTGGTGGTGTGGCTGAAATCAGTAAATCTCTGTCTTAAGGAAATAAGAGAAGTCACTAACTGGGACCGGCTAAGGGTGGAATCGATCAGGAAAAAAGAGGAATGGCCCCAACCAAGGCATCTGATGTTCTGGCCAACAGTGCAGGCTCTGGGGCCGACTGCCTGTGTCTGGACACCAGCTCTGCCCCTTGCTAGCTGAGTGAATGCAGTCAGCTGACCCTCTCAGTCCATTTCTTCATCTGTAGCCTGGTGCTTCGGAATCTTTGACCTTCTCTATCAACCAAGTGTCCAGCGGAGCAAACCACCTTACTTTGATAGGCGTGTTCTCAAGAAATAACTCCTTTCTCACTCTCACCCCAGATGTTCTTAGGCTCGCTCCCCTGCTTTTCTGGACTCTGCTCAGATGCCAACTTATGACTGCCCCCCATGCCATCCAACTCCTTTCCTTACCAGTACTCCTCAGCCCCCACACTCTGCTTTATTTTTCTCTATAGCACTTAACATCATCCAACATCATCCAAATAAAAGATATTTACTTTTTCATTTATTATGTTCTTCCCTCCACTGAAAAATAGACTCCAAGAGGGCTGGGATTTTGTCTGTTTTGTTCATTGCTATATCCTGCCTGCTTATTTCAGTGTCTGGCACATAGGCAGGACTCCATGAACATTTGATGAACAAATAAATGAATAATAAGAACTACCTCAGAGTTGAGTTGAGGATTAAATGAGTTAATACACAAACAGCTCTTGGAACAAGTGCTTGTCACATAGTAAGCCTGCAGTGAATCTTCGTGCTGCTGCTACTGTTAAATATTATTACTGAGGCTGAGCTGGCCTAGGGCTCCTTGGATTGGACTTGCTAAGAGCTAGGCAAGAGTCACAACTGTATGAAACTTGATTGAGTTAAAACAAACAGTGCTACTCCTCTTTATTATCTCCATGCCTGGTAAGCACATTTTCTACCCCCAAAATTGGGACTGACTAATATGAGAATATTTATGGCCTTAATAGGACAGGTTATTTGATACAATTACTAGCCTAGACATTTTAGGAGATTGGCCGCTCCTCAATACTATAAATGCATATATGGGTGTGTAGATAGAGATGTTGCTTCCCAGATTGCCACACATCCTGATACTGCAAGTAGGCATCAACTGAAAATGTGCCGTGATGTGAAGACCAAACGCAGAGAAGTGAGAGGGACAAGGCTGTGCTCAGTGACCCATATCCAGATGAGAAATCCATCTGCTCACTTGGGAGCAAAAATGCCCCAAGACCCTGCTATCTCTGGGCTTGCACGAGGCTTTAAATGAATCACCATTATGATGTCTTATATTCAGAGGGAAATACCAATATTCATATATTCAGGTACTGAAACTTTTAAGGGAATTTTTCTTTTTTCTTTCTTTTTTTTTTTTTTTTGGTCAAATGAACTTTTACTTTACCTGCTAAAATCTGCAGGCAGTGTGAGCCTTAAAATATTTTAGAGAGAGAGAGAGAAGTATCTTAAAATTACATTGTTTATTTCTAAGAACAAACTCAAGAAAACCCTTTCCTTCAAATCCCGGAAGAGTGATTAGCTTGTCTCTAAGGTATGGCATTGGCTGGGCATGGTGGCTCATGCTTGTAATCTCAGCACTTCAGAAGGCCCAGGGAGGAGGATCACTTGAGCCCACGAGTTTGAGATCAGCCTGAGCAACATAGTGAGACCTTGTTTCTACAAAAAATATAAAAATTAGCTGGGCGTGGTGGCATGCAACTGTAGTTCTAGCTACTTGGGAGGCTGAGGCAGAAGGATCACTTGAGCCCAGGAGGTTGAAGCTACAGTGAGCCACGATTGCACCACTGCACACCAACCTGGGTGACAGAATGAGACCCTGTCTCCAAAAAGAAAAAGGAAGGAAGGAAGGAAGGGGAGGGAAGGAGGGAGAGAGAGAGGGAAAGAAAGAGAAAAATAAAAAGAAAGAAAAGAAAGAAATGACATCAGTGAACCTCCTCAAACCATAGCGAGGCTGTTAAGTTTGATTGGGGCTGACATCCATGAGTGGGTACAAGTTTATCTGGTGTGGTGCCCTGCATCCTATAACACTTAGTTGGTAAAATCTACTTAAACTTGAGAGGGAACATCTCAAAAGGGACAGCTGTGGAGTTGGGAAGGTGGAGCCCGCAGGTCCTCCCATCTTGCTTTGGTGATGAGGCAGAAAGTGGGGCTGAAAAACTGAGTCTGTTTTGGTTGTATATGAGGGCTCCTGAGCCATTTTATTTTTAAGCTCCAGTTAAACTTCTTTCTCCATCTCTCCTTACGAAGTCCTCCTTCTTCAGCCAGGTTCCACAGCAATTTGGGATTTCACAAAGCCCAGGGTTTGGGGTGACTGTCAAATTTTGCTATTCTGTCAGGAAGCCTTATCTTTTGAACTACATTTAAGTTGTATTTTAATCATTTTAGTTAATTCATTCAACAGATATTTATTGAAAGTCCATATGCCAGACATATGGGGATACAGCCAAAAACAGGAACACCTTTGTCCTTGTCCTGATAGGGCTAGCCTGGCTGGGGTTACCCCTAAGCTCAGATTTGAATTAGTTGCCAACTTTCAAGAACAGGAATTTTCACACAAAATGTGAATATCTGGCTTTTTTTGAAAAATTGGGAACCTGGCAATGGTGGGCCTCTGTTTCCACATGGCAGGAGCTGAGGCACAGCTCCTGTTTCCACATGGCAGGCCCCTCCCTGTAGGCTCACTGGTGCGCAAGTCCTCACCAGTCCCTTCTGACTCACACTTGGCCCGCTGGTATCTCCTCTGTGGGTGGAATTGCTGGTCTTCGTCTAATGCGTCATTTGCCACAGTTCTGTTTCTTTGTGACTCCTTTGTTTGCTCGTTTTCTTTTTATTGTTTCTGGTCTGGCTTTTTCTTCCTTGACTGGAGTCTTGCTCTCTGAGGCCCTCTTCAGCTCTAGCATTCGATGATTTGGAAACCACAGAGCTTAGTGCCTCACCTGTAGGTTTGGAGGTGTGCTTAACTCAGTTTGACTTTCTCATTTGCAACATCTGCTGTTCCAATGCTGTCTATAGATTGTATCCTGAGAAACCCTGCATCATGTCACTATCTTTAAGAGCCTTATGCCATGTAGCAAGCTAAATAAGAAACAATGGTTAAGAGCACTGATTCTGCAGTCAGATTGTCCAGGTTCAAATCTGGCTTCATTACTTAACATTGTTGTGCCTCAGTTTCCTCACCTGCAAAATAATAAGGTTAGAAATAAAACCTTCTTAATATGTTTTTAGGATTCTGATTTTTTTTTTTTTTTTTTTTTTTTTTCTGAGATGGAGTCTTGCTCTGTCACCCAGGCTGGAGTGCAGTGGCACAGTCTTGGCCACTGCAACCTCCACCTCCCGGGTTCAAGCGATTCTCCTGCCTCAGCCTCCCATGTAACTGGGATTACAGGCGAGTGCCACCACGCCCAGCTAATTTTGTATTTTTAGTAGAGACGGGGTTTCACCATGTTGGCCAGGCTGGTCTGGAACTCCTGACCTCAAGTGATCCACCTGCCTTGGCCTCCCAAAGTGCTGGGATTACAGGCATGAGCCACTGCTCCCAGTGGTGAGTACCTATTTATAGAGCCCTTGCAACAGTGCCTGGCACAGAGCCAGGGCCATACAAGTGTTAGATTAAGTAAAAAAAAAAAGTACCAGTCAATCTGAATCTCAGGCCCTGAGTAATAATTTGCAGAGGAATTTGTGCTGGGGGTTGAGAGTTCCTTTTCATTAACCCATAGTTAACGGTGACCAGATTTTCTAAATAAGAAATCAGGATACTTCATCTATAAAACTTGGGTTCCAGTTACAACTTCAGGCCATACAAAAAGAACTATTAAAATTGAGGTGTTGATGTTTTGTAGAAACACTGCAACAGAATATTTGAGATCAGACCTGTTTTTAGATATGTGATCACTCTATACATGTAGTGCTGATTAGGTATTAGGTACCCTCATATCTTTATTTAAAAAAAATTCAAAATTCTTCAAAACAAAAAAACCTTCAAAAATTATCTGGCTAGCATAGAAAATCTTTTTAGGCGATCACTGATAAAATTTTTTCCCTCCCTCCATCTCTCTTTGCTTTTAAACAGCAAAAACTCACCCCATGCCCAGTTCTCACCCAGTTAATTCAGACAGTGTGAATACCTTGATGTTGACCTAACTCATTAAAAGAAAAAGAGAGAAAACCTTTGAAAGCCTATTCCATGTCAACCAGTGTAAAAAGACTCTCAATTTTATTCAAACCTGAAAACAATCTTTTATGGTGGGCATTATGATTTCTACTTCACAGCTGAGGAGATCTAGTGTGGGGAGGCCTTTGGGAGTTCACCCTGGGCCTTGCTGGCTTCAAAATCTGGGCACTCTCTGTTCTGCACTCTGGCATGGTTATTAGCGTCCCTACAGTCCCTTTTCTGACCACTCAGTGGTATCAGCAAAGCAACAAACTCACTGTTGACACCATTCCTTTGCTCCTATTTGTGTATTCATTCATTCATTCATTCATTCGTTCATCCATGGTTTGTGACCTTTGAGAAAAAACTCACTCCCCTTTCTTCTATTGTTCTTTTGTTCATTAGAAATTATCTTAGCAACTTACTTTAGTGTTGGCCTTGGAAGTGCAACAGAAAAGACTTTACTGTAGGAAGGAAATAATAGATATACCCATGCACACAAAGTAGAGGTAGATATTAGTTTTAGAGACAGTTCTTAACAACTCCTCCTCTTGGTTGAATAATTCTATTTAAAAAAAATTTACATAGTTTTAATATTATAATAGTAATAGGATATTTGTCTTCAAAAGTAACATATTTTTCAATGTGACCTGTATTAAGTAATAAGTAATAAATTGAAATCTCACCATCACCACAATCTCTAAAGTAACCGTGGTTACTTTAAAAACAACCACTGTTAATCATTTAGGGTGTCTCTTTCCAGTCTAAAAAAAGAGCAAGTGAGAATGCATGTACACATGTATTCATGTCTTTTTATAGTTAAAATATATATATATTTTTTGGTAGAGACAGGGTCTCACTACATTGCCCAGGCTGGTATCAAACTCCTGGGCTCAAGTGATCCTTCCACTTTGGCCTACCAAAGTGCTAGAATTGTAGGCATGAGCCACCACATCTGGCCTCTTTATTGTTTTTAAAAAGAGGAATATTCTGCATATATATTTCTATAACTTTTTATTTTTAATATTAAGAAATTTTCCAAATTCCCAATAATAAAAGGAGAATATCCTGTTTCCTTTTTTAAAATAACCACATAGTAAGCCATGGCATAATACTAAATTGTTTAACTATTAGACTAGATTATTATTTACTAGTATAGATAACTTTAAAATGAATATCATTATGCATATCTCTTTATGTAGGTTATACTATTGTTTTATTTGTTAACATCCTGAATAAATATCACCCAGATCCCAGTATTCAGTGAAACTACAGGTTCTTTTAGAGCATAAGCAAAAATAAATTGTATGCATGTGTTTTTGTATGTGTGTTTAATTCTGCTTACATTTGAATTTTCTTCCATCTTTTTCCTACTATCTGAGTAATATCACTAGTGCCTTTTATTCAGTCAAGTCTCCACATGTTGACTCTTGTCTTGGAGTTATGATGCCATCCCCCTCCTGGCCTTTCTTCTACTTCCCAGGTCTCTCTCAGTCTCCTTAGCCAGTGTTTTCCCCTCTAGCCAAGCTTTAAAGCACAGGTCCAAGCTGCCTTTTCCCACTTCATACGCTCTCCCAAGGTGATGGTCCTAATGGCCTCCATTGGAGCCACTAGAAATGTGATGACTCCCAAATCTGTATCCTTTCCTGTGAGTCCCAGACCTGTGTACTTAGCAGCTACTGGGCATCTTTGCTTGGATGTCTCACAGACCCCTCACACTGAACAGTGTCAAACTGAAAGCATGATGTTCCAGGCCAGTCTTAGTCTTCCTGCTGTGTTTCCTTTCTTAGGGAAAGACACCACAACCCACCTAGGAGGAAGTAAGAGCTGTGATTCATCCTGGCCCTCCTGGCACCTCCTCTCCTCCTCCTTTACCCCATATGCTGTCAATCATCTAGTTCTCCCAGTTTTACCTCCCTAATGTCTCTTGAACCACTTTGCCTAGCACAATGCTGCCTCTTGACCAGTCTGAAATTGCTGTCTGATGGATCTCTTGCTATCTAGTCTTACCCCTCCCATCAGTCTTCCACACCATAGCCAGAAAAGATAAACACTTTCATTATGTAAAAATATAGAAACTTTGTATGGAAGATATTCATTTAGTAAATTCAATAGGCAAAGGCTGTATTTGAAAAAAAACTATAATACAGATAAAAATATATAACATATAAGGAGCCTTTAAACTTTGAGAAGAAAAAAACAAACAATCTAATACAAAAAAAGAGGATGTGAAAAGACATTTCTCAGAAAAAGAAATCCAAATCAACAAGCAGAAGAGATGCTTAAATTTTTAAAGGTTGGGAAAATGCAAATTCAAGTATCAATGAAATGTCACTATTTGCCCAAAAATTAAACATAAAAAAAAAATTACCTAATGCTGTCAGGAGTCCAAGGAAAGGGCAACTCAGGCATTACTGATGGAGATGTAAATTGCCAAAGTCTTTTTTGTAAACAATGCAGCAACTTCTATTAAAATAAAAAAAATCTATTTACCTTTTGATGTAGCAACTCCCAGCTCCACTCTACTCCCACATAAATATGAAACCATAAATACATCAGGACATATGTACAGGATAGTTATTGCGGTGTAACTGCAATAGACAAAGCTAGCCACAAAAGGAGTGTTCATCAGTGGTGGATGGCAGATTAATTATGGTTCCCTCATGCTCTGGAATATTATGTAGTTATTAAAAAGAATAAAGTATAGCTATACCAGTTGATTTCAAGGAGATTTTATGACATATTAATGGAAAGGCGGGATGTAGAGAAGTGTGCATAAGACCATTTTTATTAAAGAATGGTAAATCCCTCAGGCACACCTCCTTTTATTGCATTTCACTTTATTGCACTTCACAGATAATGTGCTTTTTACAAATTGAAGGTTCGTGACAACCCAGCTTTAAGCAAGTCCATCAGTGCCTAACTTTATGTTTTGTCTCTCTGTTACATTTTAGTAATTCCCACAATATTTAACGCTTTTTCATTATCATATCTGTTATGGTGATCTGTGATCAGTGATCTTTGATGTTACTGTTGTCATTGTTTTGGGATGCCAAGAACCATGCGTATAAGACGGTGAACTTAATTGATAAATGCTATGTGTGTTCTGACTGCTCCACTGACTGGCTGTTCTCCCCATCTTTCTCCTTCTCCTGGCCTCCCTTGTCACCTGAGACAATGATACTGAAATTAGGCCAATTTAATAACCCTGCAATGGCTTCTAAGTGCTCAAGTGAAAAGAAGAGTTGCACTGTCTCTCACTTTAAATTAAAAACTAGAAATGATTAAGCTTAGTGAGGAAGGCATGTGAAAAGCCATGACAGGTGGCCGGGCGTGGTGGCTCACAACTGTAATCCCAGCACTTTGGGAGGCCAAGGTGGGTGGATCACCTGAGGTCAGAAGTTTGAGACCAACCTGGCCAACATGGCGAAACCCCGTCTCTACTAAAAATACAAAAATTAGCTGGGTGTGGTGGTGGGCACCTGTAATCCCAGCTGGTTGGGAGGCTGAGGCAGGAGAATCGCTTGAACCTGAAAGGCAGATGTTGCAGTGAGCCAAGATGGCACTATTGCACTCCAGTCTGGGCTACAAGAATGAAACTCTGTCTGAAGAAAAAAAAAAAAAAAGAAAGAAAGAAAAAAAAAAAGCCACGATGGGCTGAAAACTAGGCCTTTTATGCCAAAGAGTTAGTGAAGTTGTGAATTCAAAGGAAAAGTTCTTGAAGGAAATTAAAAGTGCTACTTCAGTGAACACATAAATAAGAAAGTGAAACAGCGTTATTGCAGATGGAGAAAGTTCGAGTAGTCTGCATAGAAGATCAAGCCAGCTACAACATTCCCTTAATCCAAAGCCTAATCCAGAGCAAGACCCTAACTCTCTTTAGTTCTGTGAAGGCTGAGAGAGGTGAGAAAGCTGCAGGAGAAAAGTTTGAAGCTATCAGAGGTTAGTTCATGAGATCTTAGGAAGAAAGCCATCTCCATAACATAAAACTGTGAAGTAAAGCAGCAAGTGTTGATGTAGAAGCTGCAAGAAATTATCCAGAAGATCTAAGATTACTGGTGCAGGATACATGAAACAACAGATTTTCAATGTAGACAAAACAACCTTCTACTGGAAGAAGATGCCATCTAGGACTTCCATAGCTAGACAGGAGAAGTCAACTTCAGGCTTGAAAGGACAGCTGACTCTCTTGTTGTGTGGGCTAATGCAGCTGATGACTTTAAGTTGAAGCCAGTGCTCATTTACCACTCTGAAAATTTTTAGGGCCCTTAAGAATTAGGCTAAATCTATTCTGCTTGTGCTCTATAAAATGGAACAACAGGCTGGATGACAGCACATCTGTTTACAGCATGGTTTACTGAATATTGTAAGCCCACTGTTAATACTTACTGCTTAGAAAAAAAAGATTCATTTCAGTATATTATTGCTTGTTGACAATGCACCTAATCACCCAAGAGCTCTGATGGAGATGTACAAGGAGATGAGTGTTGTTTTCATGCTTGCTAATACAACATCCATTCTGCAGCCCATGGATCAAGGAGTAATTTTGCCTTTGAAGTCTTATTATGTAGGAATACACTTGGTAAGGCTATAGCTGCCATAGATAATTATTCTTCTGATGAATCTGGGCAAAGTAAATTGACAACCTTCTGAAAGGATTCAGCATTCTAGATGTCATTAAGAATATTTGTGGTTCATGGGAGAAGATCAAAATATCAACATTAACAGGAGTTTGGAAGAATTTGATTCCAATCGTCAGGTCAAAATATCAATATTAACAGGAGTTTGGAAGAATTTGATTCCGATCCTCATGGATGACTTTGAAGGGTGGAAATAGCAAGAAAAATAGAAGTGGAGCCTGAATATGTCACTCAGTTGCCACAATCTCATGATGAAAATTGAGCCAATGAGGAGTTGCTTCTTATGGATGAGCAAAGAAAGTGGTTTCTTCAGATGGCATCTATACTCCTGGTGAAGATGCTGTGAACATTGTTTAAATGACAACAAAGGGTTAAGAGTATTACATAAATTTAGTTGATAAAGCAGCAGCAGGATTTGAGAAAATTTACTCTAATTTTGAAAGCAGTTTTACTGTGAGTAAAATTCTATCAAACAGCATTGGATGCCTCTGAGAAATATTTTGTGAAAGGAAGGGTCCATTGATGCAGCAAAACTCATCATTGTCTTCTTTTAAGAAATTGCCACAGCCATTGCAGCCTTTAGCAACCAACACCCTGATCAGTCAGCAGCCATCAACATTGAGGCAAGACCTTTCACCAGCAAAAATATTAGGACTTGCTGAAGGCTCAAATGATTGTTAGCATGTTTTTTTTTTCAGCAATAAAGTATTTTTTAATTAAATATGTACATTGTGTTTTTAGACATAATGCTATTGAACACTTTAATAGACTACAGTATAGTGTAAACATAACATTTATATGCCCTGGGAAACCAGAAAATTTGTGTGACACACTTTACTCTGATATTTACATGATTGCTGTTGTCTGGGACCAAACCCACGGTATCTTCAAGCTATACCTGTGTGTATCCATTATATGTGATACATGTTTGTATCTATTTGACTATATGAGAGAAAAATATTGAAAGATGTATTCTGATTTGTTAATGTAGATTATAGAACTGGAGATTGTTATGGGGTTAAGAGAGTGGGTAAGGCACCCAGATAAGAGGACTGAAAAAATACTTATATGATCGTTTTTCATTAGTGTAAAGTTGTATGTATGTGTCTATGTATAATTTATGTTTTAAAATACATTTTTTAAAGAAAGAGTTACTCTTATTTTGTCCCCATCCTGTTTGAAACTCTTCTATGGCTTTCTTTACTTCAATACTAGAATTGTGTTTGTTTGATGCCTTGCAAGGGCTGGCTGTGCTTGTGTATGCAGCTCGGCTTATGCTACTTTTCTCATGCCATTGCTCCTGCTTCAAGGTCTGCATAATTGTTCTCTTAATGGGGACCTGCCCTGCTCTCCTGGGCATAGTTAACTGCTGCTTGTGCCTCAGAACTTCTTTTAGGGAAGGGAACTGCCTTCCCTAACCCCTTGTTAGTTCCCTAAGTAAATGTTCTTATTGACACCTGATGCTTTTACTTAGCAGCAATTATCACAGTTGCAGTTGGGCATTGTCTAATTATTTGTGTAAATTCTGCCTCCCCTAATAGAATGTCAACTCTAAGAAGGAAGGGACGGTGTCTGTCTTGTTCTCAAGGATCTTATATAGAATAGATGCCCAATGAATATTTCCTGAGTGAATGAATAAATGAATCCCATCCTGAATGTGGGACCACGCTGTTCTGAAAGGGCACTGACCAAGGAGTCAGACAATGTGTGTTCTGGTCATTGTGCCGCCATAAACTTGCTGAGAGACATGGAGCAAGGTGATATGCCTCTTGGAGCCTGCTTTCCTACCTGTAAATGGGGTTAATAACACCTACTGCAGGTAGACATGGAGAGGGATAAAAAGGAATACAAGACAATGTGAACATATAACCAGCAGAGAGTAAGCATTCAATAAAATTGCCTTATATTTTTCTTGGTGTCTTGTCACTTCACCAGTGAAATGGGAGTAATTTGACTAAATAATTTTTAGAGTTTCTTCTAGTTCAAAATTATAGTTGACCCTTGAACAACATGGCAATTAGGGGCACCAACCCCTTGAGCAGTCAAAAATTTATGTATAACTCTTGACTCCCAAAAACTTAACTGCTAATAGCCTACCAGAAGCCTTACCAATAACATAAACAACACATATTTTCTATGTTATATGCATTGCATGTTGTATTCTTACACTAAATTAAGCTAGAGAAAAGAACTTATTAGGAAAAGCATAAGGTGTAGAAGAATGAAACTGGATCCTCATCTTTCACCTTATATAAAAATCAACTCAAGGTGGATCAAAAACTTAAATCTAAGACCTGAAGCCATAAAAATTCTAGAAGATAACATCAGAAAAACTCTTCTAGACTTTGGCTTAGGCAAAAGGTCATGACCAAGAACCCAAAAACAAATGCAACAAAAACAAAGATAAATAGATGGGGCTTAAATTAAAAAGCTTCTGTACAGCAATATAAACAATCAGCAGAGTAAACACACAACCCACAAAGTGGGAGAAAATATTCACAAACTATGTATCTGACAAAGGACCAATATCCAGAATCTATAAGGAAGTCAAACAAATCAGCAAGAAAAAAGCAAACAATCCCATCAAAAAGTGGGCCAAGGACATGAATAGACAGTTCTCAAAGGAGGATATACAAATGGCCAACAAACATATGAAAAAATGCTCAACATTACTAATTATCAGGGAAATGCAAATTGAAACCACAATGCAATACCACCTTACTCCTGCAAGAATGGCCGTAATTTAAAAATCAAAAAATAATAGATGTTGGCATGGGTGTGGTGGGAAAAGGGAACACCTGTACACTGCTGGTGGGAATGTAAACTAGTACAACCACTATGGAGATTTCTTAAGCAACTAAAAGTAGAACTACCATTTGATCCAGCAATCCCATTACTGGGTATCTACCCAGAGGAAAACAAGTCATTTTATGAAAAAGACAACACACAACATGTTGCACACAACATCTTTATAGTGGCACAACTCGCAATTGCAAAAATATGGAATCAGCATAAATGCCCATCAATCAATGAGTGGATAAAGAAAATGTGGGAGATATATATATATATGAATATGCCATAAAAAGGAACATAATAGGCCAGGCGCGGTGGCTCGTGTCTGTAATCCCAGCACTTTGGGAGGCCAAGGCGGGCAGATCACGAGGTCAGGAGATCGAGACCATCCTGGCTAACATGGTGAAACCCCGTCTTTACTAAAAATACAAAAAAAAAATTAGCCGGGCATGGTGGTGGGCGCCTGTAGTCCCAGCTACTCAGGAGGCTGAGGCAGGAGAATGGCGTGAGCCTGGGAGGTGGAACTTTTAGTGAGCCGAGATCACGCCACTGCACTCCAGCCTGGGGACAGAGCGAGACTCTGTCTCAAAAGAAAAAAAAAAAAAAAAGAACAAAATAATGGCATTCACAGCAACCTGGATGGAACTGGAGACCATTATTCTAAGTGAAGTAACTCAGGAATGGAAAACCAAACATATGTTCTAACTTACAAGTGGGAGCTAAGCTATGTAAGAATGATACAGTGAACTTTGGGGACTTGTGGAGAAGGGTGGGATGGGGATGAGGGATAAAAGACTACACACTGGGTACAGTGTACACCAGAATCTCAGAAATCACACCCAAATAACTAAAAAAAAAAAAAAAACTTATCCATGTAACCAAACATCACCTGTTCCCCCAAAACTATTGAGATAATAGTAATAAAAAAATTTAAAAAAGAAAAAAAAGCATAAGGAAGAAAATATACTTACTAAGTGAAAGTGGATCATCAAAGGTCTTCATCCTCATTATCTTCACGTTAAAGCAGGCTAAGTGGGAGGAGGGGTTGGTCTTGCTATCTCAGGGATGGCAGAGGCGGAAGAAAATCCACATGTAAGTGGACCCACACAGCTCAAACCCATGTTGTTCAAGGGTCAACTGTACTTTGATTTCTTCTGAGCTGCAGTCTCCCCTTTCTCTACCCTCACTTCCCTCCACCACTAGCTCCATTCCTGACTACTTTCTTCTACTGTTCTCAAGCCCAGGATACATCAGCTCTCCCTGGGAAAGACAAAAGACATCTTCATGCCGCCAGGGTATGGCAGTTTATCTCATACCTACTCTTTCACCACCACCCTGCCCTCTATCACTCATTGTTTCATTTACATTTATAAGACATTTTTGAGTTTCCACTATTGTGTGTGGTAGACTCTCACCCCTTGAATTCTGTACTTTTTCTTGTGCCTTCCCACATACTCTGTTGAGTGGAGGAAATAATGCATAATCGGCAAAGCAATGGAAAGATGCTGGTGTGTTTTTGAGGGCAGTTCCCCTTAATTAAGGGAGATGGGTTCTAAAAAGTCCTTGTAGATAAACAAATGGGTGATATTTGCTTCTTATCTGAAATTACTAACACAGTTGTCTACAACTGGTCATTCAGTGTTCTTGATTTCCCCTGTATTATTTCAATTACCCTAATTGCTACTAGGCAAAAACTTCAGTCAAATTTTAATTGCTCTTTAATGTTAACTTAAAATAGCTGCAGTTTTTTGTTTGTTTGTTGAGACAGGTCATGCTCTGTCACCCAGGCTGGAGTGCAGTGGCACAATCATGGCTGACTGCAATCTCTGCCTCATGGCTTCAAGTAATCCTCTTCAGCCTCCCAAGTAGCTGGGGACCACAGGTGTGTGCCATGCCCAGCTAATTTTTTGTACTTTTCGTAAAGATGGGGTTTCGCCATTTTACCCAGGTTGGTCTTGAACTCCTGAACTCAAGCAATCCAACCACCTTGGCCTCCCAAAATGCTGGACTTACAGGCATGAACCACAGGACCCAGCTGCTGTTCTCTCTTAACAAGAGACAAGTCCTAGAGCAAGATGCATTTAAACCCACTTTGGGGTATCAAAAATATCCCAATCTTGTGGTTCTAATAAATGTTTAACAACTAGGTTGGTATGGAGGTTCTGATGTGAAGCATTAGTCAGTTTCTGTGCTGTTACTAGATGTTCCCTAATAGGGCTGGGCAGAGATGCTAACAATTGGCTCATGAGGGCAGGTGGACCTGGCTCCAACCCACCACTGCACCCAATCCCTGAGTTCTTAATCTTCATCACACCCTCGACTTGCTTCCCAGCCATTGTTTCTGATCTCAGTTAATGATGCCTCTCAGTCAGCCAAGGAGACCTGACAGTCCCATCCACTTCCCCCACCCTCATCACTGAATCCTGTTGACTTCTCTCTCCAGCATCTCCTGAGTCTGTCCGCTTGTCTGTCCCCACTACAAACACCCTGCTCTGGTCTGTCCTGTCCATGGACTTCATTGCTACAGCATTGACTTTCATTATAATTTCCCTGCCTCTGTGCTGGCCCCTGTCAGCCGCTCTCTACTCTAAAGACAGTCAGCCTGCTGACACTTAAATTATGTTAGGCCAGTCTTGTTAAAAACCTTTCTGTGGCTTCCTCTCCATTAGGATCAGTCCAAACCCTTAGCGTTCCTTACTTTAGCACACATAGGCTGTGGGCTGGCCTTTGTCTGTCTTGTTCCCCACCAGCCACCCCTTGCCCTCCTCATTCTAGCTGTTAGGAATCACGTGTGTATCCTCAAGCACACCATGCTCTTTCTCCATTCAGGGCCTTCCTTTGGGGGTGCTGCTTCCTATATATCTGTATGATCATCTCTTCTTCCACTCCCCACCCACTCACCTACCCAGCCCTGCGGCCTAACTGCCTTTTATCCTTCAGTGATTTGCACGTTATGTCAGTTCCAGCATGACTTCCTTGGGGAGGCCCTAGACCAGGCAGCTCCCCTCATGCAGCCCCTGATGTAGAGCCTGCTCCCTGTCTTCTCCACACGTGAGGCTCCTGGAGGGCCTGGAACAACCCCATATTCCCAGCCCAGCCCGTACTACCTGGCAGATGGTTGGTGCTCCATGAATGTCGGGTCCATTTCTTGGATTTATGCAGGTCCCAGTTTTCTATTAAAGAGTAAGCTCCACATGGTCAAACATGTTCTTACTTCCTGTATTTTGTGTCAGCAGTTTGTCAGCTTAGCACAAAAAGTACCTGATGAATAATTTCTGCCACCAAAGTCATGTTGTTTTTTCTAACCAATTTTTTTTTCTCTCCTAGGTTTCATCAGCTGTTTTTCCCAACAAATATATGGTGTTGTGTATGGGAATGTAACTTTCCATGTACCAAGCAATGTGCCTTTAAAAGAGGTCCTATGGAAAAAACAAAAGGATAAAGTTGCAGAACTGGAAAATTCTGAATTCAGAGCTTTCTCATCTTTTAAAAATAGGGTTTATTTAGACACTGTGTCAGGTAGCCTCACTATCTACAACTTAACATCATCAGATGAAGATGAGTATGAAATGGAATCGCCAAATATTACTGATACCATGAAGTTCTTTCTTTATGTGCTTGGTGAGTATTCCATAAGTTGATTTGTTTAAAATGGCAAATTTCCATTTTTTTAGTCTGTTTTCAGAGACTAGCACAAATTAATGGTCTATGAGAAAAGAATTAGATGTTACCTGTTGTCAGGGTTTTCTCCTTTTCTGGTATAGAGGAGCTAGCTACTTTCAATTCCTTTGTCATTCCTCTGGGTGAGGAGAGAATCTAACCAAGGTGGGGAGAACAGTATCAGTTGTCTTACTAGGAATGTTTTGGAAAGAGATGTAGTGACAGCAGTTAGCTTAGAACTCTTTGGGCTCCACTGATAGATGTTACTCTATAAAGTTCCTGCTTCCCCACACAGCGGGGAGATTGTTTTTCCTCCTGCACCATTTTATTTAATTAATTTATTTATTTTGAGAAGGAGTCTCACTCTGTTACCAAGGCCAGAGTGCAGTGGCACAATCTTGGCTGACTGCAACCTCTGCCTCCCAGGTTCAAAGTGATTTTACTGTCTCAGCCTCCCAAGTAGCTGGGACTACAGGCCCGCACCACCATGCCCAGCTAATTTTTGTATTTTAGTAGAGATGGTGTTTCACTGTGTTGGCCAGGCTGGTCTCAAACTCCTGAGCTCAGGTGATCCACCCGCCTCAGCCTCCCAAAGTGCTGGGATTACACTCATGAGCCACCACACCCAGCTCCTGCACCATTTTAAACTGAAACTAGAGAGAGGGGACACATTTCTCCCTGCTTCTCACTGACACTCCTCCCTGGTCTCTAAAGCCCCTTTTGTGTTGCAGTCTTGTATAGGCCCCTGCCTCACATGCCAGTGTTTCTTGGTCATTTTAAGGCCTGCCTCATTTTCATTGTTTCTGACATTCCTGGTGTCTTGGTGGTTGCAATATTTAAATTAAAATTCTTTCAATATTGTCCTTGATCGCCTCTCCTGTAAGGATCTTTTCCTCTACGTTACCCACTACCCATGGATGTAACCGAGAACTCATCATTACCTCAATGTCAGGTGTCTCACTCTGACCACCATGCCCTGTCCTTGATGATGCTGATGCTGACAGTCCTTCACACACCTGATGTCCCTGCTGCCCTCCCTACTCAGCCTGAGTGCTGTTGTCACTCACTAGACTCAGTCCGTTGCAGACACACTTAGCTTCCTTGCTCCTTTGCTGGCTTGTCATACTCGCATGGCCAGATTACAGCTAGATTAAGTCCGCTGCTTTGCCTATTCTGTGCTCACACCCATGTGGTTGCAGAAAAATACACCACCCTACAAAGTCCTGCACTTTTAATTTCTCTAATCACTTACCTCAATTAAGTTGGTATTTCCTAGCCTGTTCACTTACCCACTCTCCTAGCAGTTACTTTTTCTCTCCTCAAATCTTGAATACCTCCTTCTCTAGACTGACTCTTCAGCTGAAGGCTTTGCTTCTTATTTCACTAAGGAGAATAAGCAATCAGAGGGCAATTTCCACAAGCTCTCACCACCTGCCTACCTTCCTACCCATACCTGAGCCTGTAGGCCCTGCTTTCTCTCCTGATATGAATGGACTTTCTGAGTTCTCACCTGAAGTTAAACTTTCCACGTGTGCCCTGGATCCCACCTCCTCTTGCCGTCCTCGGGAATATCACCCTAGTGCTTCTACCCACTCTCTCCTGATGAGAATTTCCCCCATAAGTTGATGGTTCATTTTAAGTGGCATACATATATACTGTCATTAAAACTTTCTCATGATCCCTGTACCCCTCCAGCCACCACCACCTGCTGTCTTCACTTTATAGAAAATCTCCTTGAAGAAGTTGTCCATATTCACTTATTCTGATCCCTTATATTCACTTTTAACCCACTCCAAATAGGCTTTCATCTGCACTGCTATGCCAAAACTCCTCTAGACCTCCTTGTTAATAAATCCAGTGGTTCATTCTCAGTCCATGTCATTCTTGACTTCTCAGCAGCTTTTGACATAGCTGATCACTCCCTCCTCCAAGTACTGTCTTCACTTGACATCCAGGATACCACCCTATTCATGTTTCTTTCTCTTTTTTCCTTGAGAGGGGGTTTCGCCCTTGTTGCCCAGGCTGGAATGCAATGGCGCGATCTCAGCTCACTGCAACCTATGCCTCCCGGGTTCAAGTGAATCTTCTGCCTCAGCCTCCTGAACAGTTGAGATTACAGGCATGCACCACCATGCCTGGCTAATTTTGTATTTTTAGTAGAGATGGGGTTTCACCATGTTGGTCAGGCTGGTCTTGAACTCCTGACCTCAGGTGATCCACCTGCCTTGGCCTCCCAAAGTGTTGGGATTACAGGTGTGAGCCACTGTGCCTGGCTTCACATTTCTTTCTAACACACTGACTATTCCTTTTCAGCTTCTTTTGCTAGTTTCCTTGTTTCCCCAACCTCTTAACACTGGAAACATCAAGGCTTAAGCCTTAGGTCTCTTTCCTTTTCTGTCTGCGTTCATAGCCAGTGGGTGAGCTCATCCCATGTCAGGGCTTTAAATATCATCTCAATGCTAATAATGTACAGATCTAGAGCTCTAGCCCAGAGTACCCCGCCGAGCTCCTTATGTGTATACCTGACTGCCCAGTGTACCTCTCCAGTCAGACATCTAATTGGCCTTTCAAATATCACAAGTCCAAAAGTAAGCTCATTATCTTCCCCTTAAAACCTGCTGCTCCTCCCCAAATCTTTTCCCTTTTGGTTAATGGCAGCCCCATCCTTTCAGCTGGTCAGTCTGAAACCGGGATGTCATCCTTGATACCTCTCTTTTTCTTGAATACCACATTCACTCTACCAGGAAGTTGTATTGGTTCTACCAGAATGATCTTTTTAAAACAGAAGTCAGATCATGTCACTCATCTGTGTGGAACTTTCTAATGGCCCCATCTAACTCTGTTAAAGCTAAAATGTGTAAAGCGACTTGCAAGGCTATGTGAGGTCTGACCCCTGTGGACTCTATTTAGACAAATACAGCTTGCTAAGATGTCAAAGTATCCTCTTAGAAGATTTCCTTGAAAAAGTAGAATCTTTGAAACATGGACATTGGGGATCTGATAATTTATAGATAGGGCCAACAAACAAGAGGATTGAGTCAGAATTTAGATCACACATTTTAAGAGCCCTTTTTATAGAGTTTGTAAAACTAATTCAAAACATTTGAATAAATTTCTCCTCTTAAACTTGATGAACTGTTTTAAAATAATTTAAAATATTCTAGGCCGGGCATTGTGGCTCAAGGCTATAATCCCAGCACTTTGTGAGGCTGAGGAGGGAGGGTTGCTTAAGCCCAGTAGTTCAAGACCATCCTAGGCAACATAGCAAGACTCCATCTCTACAAAAATAAAATAATTAACCAGGCATGGTGGTGCATGCCTGTAGTCCCAGCTACTCAAGAGGCTGAGGTGGGAGGATCCCTTGAGCCCAGGAGGCTGAGGCTGCAGTGAGCCATGATTGCACCTCTGCACTCCAGTCTGGGTGACAGACCAAGACCCTGCCTCAAAATAACTAGCTAAATAAATTAATTAAATAAAATATTCTATGGCACCTCAGCAAAGGTATGGTTTTGTTAGTCAGACCAACTGGATAGACCTTAGGAAGCCTGCAGAGGAGTAAAGTACAGGGGAGGTGAGTTTTGATCAGGAGGCAGTGATATTGATAGTATTGAGTGTGGGACTTAAAGTCCTGGTTTGAGAGTCTGGACATCAGCTTGTAGCAGTGGGGAGCCATTGTGTCCTATACTGGAGCAAGGAAGTGACTTGATAAAATACATTTTTGGAAGATTAATGTGATGGTGCATACTTATGATGGATTAAAGAGAGGAGATGTCAAGTTAGAAGCTACTATCATCCAGGTAGATAGAGGGTCCAAGAAAGAGTCTGCAAGATGTAGGTTTTGGTTGTAAAAAGACATAAGATGACTCTAGGTTTCACATCTGCATGATAAAATGATTGGTCATACTATTTTTTTTTTTTTTTAAGAAAAGAGGAAGTCATACTTCCTTGAGGTAATGTTAACACTTGTTTTAGTAACCTGGTAATCTTCTAGAGACACCAGACCTAATAGGAGACTTCCAGTGAGCATATTTTGGACAGGGGGATTTCCTGGCACTTCCTAAATTCAGGGCATCCACTTCCTTCTGTGTGTACATTGAGATCTGGCTTTCCTCCATACCCAAAAGTCCCCTTAAAATTTCTACTTCTGAGGTTTATTAGTCCTTTCCCATCTTTTTATGGACCTTCATCACATCTCAGATGATGATTTTTATGTAAGTAGAATTAACTGCCCTGTCCTTAACTGGGCTGGATTGATACTTGACCTTTACTAAAATTCGTGAAAATATACACATATTTCTATAAAATGTCATCAGATATGTGTAAGAAATTCTCATTTTTTACACAGCAGTGAACTCAATTCATTAATTATAAATTGACTAATTGTCTTAGGGAGGAAGTAGGCACATTTCTTGCCAGTTTAATGCTGCTTAAAGTAGAGGTATAACGAATATTTGTTAGATACAGCTGTGGTAAGTCCCACGGGCAGCAAGAAAATATGAAAGATTTATAGAAGGAAAAGATCTGAGGTGTAGAAACTGTGATCTAGGTGCTGCAGAAAGGCTTGCACACTTTTAGATGAGTTGGATAGGCACTTCTACCTTTGCCATCTGGCAACTGTTGTGTAATGAGATAGCCAGAAAGAGCTTCTACCTAGTCAAGGGAGTTCTAGCAACTTAGAAGATAATACTAACACTTCTTCATGTTTCCCCTGAAATTACTTTCATATTCTGTTTTTTTTCTTTTCTTTTCTTTTCTTTTCTTTTTTACAAACCCTGCATGTGGCACTCAGTCATATTCTGTTTGACCTTTACAGTGACCTGATACAGCATTCCCTTTCACAGATGAAAATAAGACAGTTTAGGAGTCCGTTTCTCTGTAAGTAGAACAAGAGACCTGGATGGATGCTTTCTTAAAACTCTTCCAGCTCCTAAAAGGACTGTGGCCCCAGGTCACACAGCAGGCCAAGGCTAAGGCTTGATCAAACCTCCCAACTCCTACTCAGTGACTCTTCTCATCATATCACATACCCTCCGGGGAGCCTCGGCTTCCTGGAGTTGGAAACTCACAGCCAATGGCCGTGTGCTCTATTACAGCTAGCATTTGTTAAGTACTTACTCTGTGCAGGCACTACATGTTAATTCATATGTTGATTATTATCTGTGTTAACTCATTTAATCTCATTACAGTCTGATAGAGTAAGTACTATTTGTGTCCTTATTGTAGAGAGGAGGAAACCTAGACACAAGGTGATTTAAGTAACTTGCCCAATGTCAAATGGCTCTTAGTCATGAAGCTGGGATATGCACTCAGGCAGCTGGGCTTCTGAGTCCATGCTAAACACCATACTGTACCTCTTTGGAGATAGCGGGTAGAAGAATTTACATTTTATTTGAAGACTGTCTCTCTGAATCTATCCTTCTATCCATCTGTCTCCCCATCTGTCCTGTACTGCTTGTGAGGAGCCATCTGTGTGCCTTGCATTATGTCATGTGCTGTGGTTGAAAGGTGAGTCATACCTAGTCTTTGCCCTCCAAAGATACACAGTCTCTGGGGCTGATGATGCACCTCTGTTCAGTTCAGAAAGTGCTGGATGAAAGACTAGACATTGGCAGAGCTAGATCAATACATTAGAATCTGCAACAGAACAAACAGGCCACATACATCAGAAGCACCTGGGATGGTGGGGCTCAGGAATCTGTATTTTTAACAAGCACCCTTGGTGATTCTTAGGCACCTTAAAATTTGAGAAATGCTTCAAAGGACCATTTCTAAGGAGGTAGAAAGCTTGGTTTTCTGCCCCTGAGAAATGCCCAGCCTAGTTACAGAGGCAGGCATAAGTATATGAAATACTGAGAACAGGCATTTTTGAACTATTCTGGGGATGCATGTTCCTTGGAAGTCCCCTGAGGGCTGCTATGGGGTGGGGTGGGCAAAAGGGACCAGAGGAAGTTAGGAGAGCAGGGCTCTAGGCTTTCAATTTTGAGTCAACTAGAGCAACTTCTTATCCATTGGATTGGATTGCCACTGAAGATTTAATTCTGAGAAATTCCACTGCTTAAAAGATGATTAAAAGTCTTTTTAATTAAAGAAAATCTTAAGGAAGTATGTAAGGACTTGTGTGAGCTAGATTAAACTTAAAAACTAGGAAGCCCCAAGTAGAAAGGGAAGTCAGTGTGTGACTCTGGTTTCTACCAAGGCAGGCTGGGTACTTTATTTAACTGAGCGAGAAGGAATTCAGGAGGAGGAGAAGATGGGGGAACCATTAAATGCTTTTATTTTTCAGATTATAATTGGAGCATAAGCATTAACTTGTCTTAGAAAACATCATTTTAAATGACAACATAGTATTCCATTATCTTGGTGAACCTAAATTTACTTAAATGCTCTTTTTAGTAGACGTTTATAATGTATCAATACTTTATTATCCCAGTGCTACCATGACCATTGTTGTATATTACATATGTTTTTGCATGTTTCCTCAGGCCTCTTATGATTAATTGCTGGAGGGTAGCTGAGACGCAAGAAGGCATATGAATTAACAAATAAATGACTCATAGGACAAAGTAATTAGCCTTGAGGCTTTTAAAGGGCAACAATGGCAGAATGTGACATGTTAGTGTCTTAACTCATCCTTGTAGGTCCATGCTGCCTTAGCCAATAGGAGGCACTTCCTAGAAGAAGGGTGGGAGTGAGGCCTCTGGACAGGCAGGTCTGTGACACATGCTGCTCCCTGCACTGCCTATTAACAGGTCCAGCCCAACCAATAGGCAGGGCCCGACAAGGCTCTGTGTAGCTCCACCTTTCACAAAATGTATTGAGTCAGATGTATTATGGACTTTCCTTTCACAAAATGCTTTGAGTCAGACGTGTTATGGAATTAAAATTTTTTTTTACATTTTGGAAAGGTAATACAAAGTATTTCCTCTGCATATTAAGCACCCCACTTAATTATGGGGAGCACCCTATGGGTCAAGCATAGGAACAAGTATTTACTTCATTCCTATATATTTAAAGACAAGGTCTCAGTCTGATGCAATCATAGCCCACTGTGTGTAGTGAGCTAGAGTGCACTGGCACAATTATAACTCACTGTAGCTTCAGATTCCTTGGTTCAAGCAGTTGCAAGTAGCTGAGACTACAGGCAGGAGCCATCATGGCTGGCTAATCTTTAAACTTTTTATAAAGACAGGGTCTTGCTATGTTGCCCAGGCTGGTCTTGAACTCCTGGCCTCAAGCCATCCTCCTGCCTCAGCCTCCCAAAGTGCTGGGAGTATAGCCATGAGCCACTGTGTCCTGCCAAGCACAGGAATATTTTTGTGGTGAAACGATAATGAATATTTGAAGTGAGTGAGAAAGACTCAAATCCTTGTGTTAATTCAGGTCAGGTCAGGATTTGCAGCTAAACGATTTTGCTACCAACTTGCGAAGACTCTTTTGGCTTCAGAGATTTTTTGATTTAAGAATTGAGGATAAGGGATTTGGGGCCTGTATTGGTCTGTTTTCACACTGCTATAAAGAACTACCTGAAACTGGGTAATTTATAAAGAAAAGAGGTTTAATTGACTCACAGTTCCACATGGCTGGGGAGGCCTCGGGAAACTTACAATCATGGCAGAAGGCGAAGGAGAAGCAAGCACTTTTTTCACAAGGCAGCAGGAGAGAGAGAGAACTGCCACACACTTTTAAACCAACAGATGTCATGAGAACTCACTCTCTATCACTAGAATAGCATGGGGAAACCATCCCCCATGGTACAATCACCTCCCACCAGGTCCCTCTCTCGACACATGGGAATTACAATTCAAGATGAGATTTGGGTGAGGACCCAGAGCCAAACCATATCAGGGTCTGAATTTATTCTGTTAAATTTGAACAGGTAGATCTGACCTAGCAAAAGAAAGAATTCTCGCTCCTTGATGCTCAAGGAGTTTGTCTGCTCATCCTTTCAAGCTTGTAAGGAGGTTGCGAGCTCTTCATAAATTTGCAGATGATAAGTCTAAATATTACTATTTTCTGTACTAAATATTATACTTTTTTTTCCAGAGTCTCTTCCATCTCCCACACTAACTTGTGCATTGACTAATGGAAGCATTGAAGTCCAATGCATGATACCAGAGCATTACAACAGCCATCGAGGACTTATAATGTACTCATGGGATTGTCCTATGGAGCAATGTAAACGTAACTCAACCAGTATATATTTTAAGATGGAAAATGATCTTCCACAAAAAATACAGTGTACTCTTAGCAATCCATTATTTAATACAACATCATCAATCATTTTGACAACCTGTATCCCAAGCAGCGGTGAGTAAATAACTAAATGTGTCATGGAGGCTTTCAGACCACAGATGTGGTGACTAACACAAGGTTCACAATTTTGAAATGTAAAACAAGTTACAATTTTTTTTTTTTTTTTTTTTTTTTTTTTGAGACAGAGTCTCGCTCTGTCGCCCAGGCTGGAGTGCAGTGGCGCGATCTCGGCTCACTGCAAGCTCCGCCTCCTGGGTTCACGCCATTCTCCTGCCTCAGCCTCCCGAGTAGCTGGGACTACAGGCGCCCGCCACCACGCCCGGCTAATTTTTTGTATTTTTAGTAGAGACGGGGTTTCACCGTGTTAGCCAGGATGGTCTCGATCTCCTGACCTCGTGATCCGCCCGCCTCGGCCTCCCAAAGTGCTGGGATTACAGGCGTGAGCCACCGCGCCCGGCCAACAAGTTACAATTTTTAACAGAAACCCCATTATAGATACAAAGCTAACATTATTTAGCACTTTCTGTGTTGAGCACCATTCTAATACATATGTTAATTAATTCAATCTTCACATCAATCCTCATACAACCTATAAGTTGTGTACTAGTACTTATCCCTGTTTCCTGGTGAGAAACCAACAGAGAGAGAGTTTAAGTTGTTTGCTCAAGGTAACAGCTAGTAAGTGGCAGAACCTGGCTTTGAGTAGAGGCTATCTGGCTCTAGAGCCCATGGTTTTAACTATTCACAATGCTGCTTTATAATATTGTTATAATATCATTATGTTCTGAAAGGTTACATATCTACTACAGGAACATGCATTTGATATGTTTCCTTAGGCCTAACACTAAGTTAATATCATGACAATCTGTCTTGGCTATGATTTTCTAATGTTGTTTTAGTATTATTTACATTTGTAATTTTTATTATCTGTTTTTTACATTATATCCCCAGTTTAACAAACAAAAAGGTCAGTGACTTGAAAGTGGTTTATTAAAATATAAAAGAGACGAAAATAGTAAATACTATTATTCAGAATAATATAATTGTAAATAGTGAACAGGATTCCAGGGCAAATAGAGAATATGAGTCTCTAGGGCTGGGATAAGGTGAGTCTATGAATGAAATTTTTCTGAACAAGCAGCTGAAACAGATAAGGGAAATTAGCAAATACAAGAAATATATGAAACTTGGATTTTAACTGGTGAGCCATTCTAAGTCTCCCATTTATTGTCTTTTCTGAACCCTTTCAAACAATAACTTAAAGCCATTAAAGTTATATTATTTTCAGACAAAGCAGAGTCACTTTTGGGAAAGGAAAGACATTTTTCAAGAAAAAGTAGACGTCCTCGTCAGGGTGGGCAGCGCCGCCGCGGCGGGCCTGGGGCTTGGGGCCTGGAGCGGCCCCTCCCAGCACCCGGTGCGCCCCTGCCCTGCCGCCCACTGCCCTGAAGGTCAAGTCGCTTTGTTCTGCGCTGCGGGCGGCTTCCTCGCCGGCGGCCCAGCGGAGGAGGCGTAGAGGGCGGCGAGTGGGGGCTGGCAGCTCAAATCTCCCGCTAGCCCAGCCAGCCCCGCGTACCCGGAGGGCCGCGGCGCACCCGGAGGAGCATTCAGGCTTCCCGTTTTTAAGGTGGAGACGTCCAGGACCTCTTTATTAGATGTTTAGGAATTTGAGTTTTTCCGTAGGGCGATGGTCATCGTGAGCATCTGTGGGGTCAGGCTGGGCTAACTGGGGTTTTGATTGTAAGTTTCGTGTGGACGAGGGCATGTCTGATGGGGAAGAAAGTCCTTGGCATTGCATCTCAGCTGTTGGGAGCTGTGCGGTGCGAGCCAGATGGGCGGCGTGTGCTCCCCGAGGACTGGCCTGAGTGCCTTAGCCTAGTTACTCACGGGACTTGGTTTACCAGACAAGGGGATAAAAACATTCAGATGGCAGATAACAGTTTTTCAGATGGGGTTCCTTCAGATTTCGTGGAAGCTGCTAAAAATGCAAGTAAGACGGAAAAGCTCACGGATCAGGTGATGCAGAATCCTGGAGTTTTGGCAGCTTTACAGGAGCGACTTGACAATGCCCCTCACACCCCTTCCAGCTACATCGAAACTTTACCTAAAGCAGTAAAAAGAAGAATTAATGCATTGAAACAAATTCAGGTGAGATGCGCTCATATAGAAGCCAAGTTCTATGAAGAAGTTCATGACTTGGAAAGAAAATATGCAGCATTATACCAGCCTCTCTTTGACGAGAGAAGAGAATTTATCACCGGTGATGTTGAACCAACATCTGATATGGAATCAGAATGGCACCGTGAAAATGAAGAGGAGGAGAAATTGGCTGGAGACAGGAAAAATAAAGTAGTCATAACAGAAAAAGCAGCAGCAACAGCTGAAGAGCCAAATCCCAAAGGAATTCCAGAGTTCTGGTTTACCATCTTTAGAAATGTAGATATGCTAAGTGAATTAGTCCAGGAATATGATGAACCAATCTTGAAATACCTGCAGGATATTAAAGTGAAGTTTTCTGACCCTGGACAGCCTATGTCTTTCATATTAAGAGTTCCACTTTCAACCCAATGACTGCTTTGCCAACTCAGTCCTGACAAAAACCTGCAAGATGAAATCAGAACCAGATAAGGCTGATCCCTTTTCATTTGCAGGTCCTGAGATCATGGACTGCGATGGGTGTACTATTGACTGGAAGAAAGGAAAGAATGTTACTGTCAAAACCATCAAGAAAAAGCAGAAGCGTAAGGGTCCAGGCACTGTTAGAACAATTACCAAACAAGTATCCAATGAGTCATTTTTCAACTTCTTCAATCCACTGAAAGCATCTGGGGACGGAGAATCACTGGATAAAGATTCTGAATTCGTATTAGCCTCTGATTTTGAAATTGGACACTTTTTCCGTGAGCGGACCACAGGCTGTGCTGTACTTCGCTGGGGAGGCCTTAAAGGATGATGACAATTTTGACGAAGGTGAAGAAGAAGAGGACGAATTAGAAGGTGATGAGGAGGGAGAAGATGAGGATGAGGTGGAAATTAATCCCAACAAGGAACCCAGCCAGCCGGCGGAATGCAAGCAGCAGTAGGAAGTGGAGGTGGGCGCCTGGCAGACCGGCTGTCGCGACTCCGGGCCTGTAGCGGGAGGCCTCAGTCTTTGCCGCATGCGGCACAATCCCGTCGACAGCGCTTACTCCATCTAATCGTTTTCAAGTGCATGATTTTCACTTTCACTTTTCCTTTTTCCTTATTATTTTGCTTAATGTGTACAGTGGCAACTGAAATGCATTTCAGAAATAGGAGGTTTTGTCCAATACCCTCTGCAGCCTTGGTGCCTGTAGCTCTGGACTTGCCTGGACCCTTCCCTGCGGGAGGGCCCCATAGACCCCATTGGGGTGGGGTGGGATGGGGTGGGGATCACTTGGCTAAAAGGGCCGAGGTCTGGTGATGAGGTTCCAGGGATCTAGAACCTCTCCTACCACTCCTGCAGTTGGACTGAATTCTTTCCTTTCATTTGAAGAAACCCACTCGCTGTTTTCAGCTGCTTAATCTGCTGAGTGTGCAGCCTGCATCACCTGCTGTATGCTAATCATCTCAGAAGGGCCGTGTAGAGTAGGGCCGTATTCTCCTTAGGATGTTGCTTTTTGATCTTCTTTTTTAAGGGTTGGGTCAGGGTTGTGGCACACCAGCTCAGGCGAGAGCTGCCACGGGTCACCTCATATTTATTTATCCCTTCTTGCCTGTGAGGACTGCGGCCTTTTGCTGTCGCTCGTCCTTGCCATTTCTGAACCACCCTGGTGACCTGAGCAGGAAGATGTGCCACTTCCTAGCAGGAGCAAGGGCTGTGCGGAAGAAACACTGCTTCCTGCCACCAGGGCTGAAGACGCGAGCCTGTCCTCGTGACACAGGCACCGCCCTGCTGCCGGAGTTGGGATTCGGCAGTGTTCTCCAGTGAGGGGCTGGGCTGGGAAGTCCTGCGTTTCATTTGAGCATATGAGCGTCAAGTCCTGCTTTCTCAGTAGTCCCATTGCTGGGCCCCACCATTCATCCTGTCTGAAGGTCCTGGTTGGTGTGACCGGTTGGTGGCTGGTGAGTGGGGTTTCCAAGTGGGTGACAGCGCTCTGTGGCAGCCGGGGATGGCCTTGTCCGCGCTGACCAGGCCTGTAGAGAGTGCTCAGCCTAACCTTAGAACACATTTATAACTGAATACAGTGTTTTCAATTTGTACATAATAGTTAGAATATTCTATTAAAGTTATGAAACACGGAGAAAAAAAAGAAAAAGTGCAAATGAGTCCCAATTTATAACTGATAGATTTGATTTTTGAAGACAGAGAAAAGATCAAACCCACAGAGGTGTCACTCAAAGGAGCACTGTTTGTACAAGTCACACAATTGCAAGAAGTTTTTAAAACGAGCTGCAAAGTTAAAATAGTTAAGCTTGGAGCAAACATTCCTTTATTAATTCCACCTTTTGAGTGTTACATAATACCCAAGGCATACGATATGGAAATGCAATTTGTTGTAAAAGCAGATAGTTGCTTTATAATGGGAACAACAAAAAATAAAACCAGTGTGCTTTTGCCTTTTGGTATATGTGTGCTGCATCTAACTGACAAGGGGGAAGAAGATGACCACATATAGACAGAGCAAGCAAGTTGAAATCTTGAAAAGTTTTAAGTGTTCCAAGAGACAAAATACTTGAAGGAAATAATTTCTGAGTAAGATCCCTCTATAGAATTACATGGAATATTTTAGGGGATTTTTAAAGGTTTTGCCCTTGCAAAACTTTATGTTTAACTTTATGTTTGCCATTAGAATTTGAAGACACAAAGTAAAATTACTCTTACTGAAAGTAAGATTACTTTCCCTGTAAATAGTCTGGTAAAAGATCATAAGAGGAATGATATTCCTCTTATTGATTTGAAATAAGTACTATTAATTTGAAAAAATTCTTTTAATTATTAAATAATGGTGATTTATCCTTCTTTTACATTTTCTTCCAAATTGATAGTTCACATATATACAACAGATTTTGAAAGTTTGAGGAATGTTGCTTGATAGGTCTTAGGTTTAAATCCTGGAGTAGTGTTGACATCTGAGACATATGTCTGGGCTTCTGACCCTGGTTTCTGTTAACCAAATATTGGAGGACCTTCTCCTTTTAAAATGCAAACCAGGAGCTGAACTTAATGATCTTAATGGTTCTTTTGAACAGTAACAGTCTAGGATCTTTTTTTTTCTGAGATGATTTTTGAATGCTTTTGTGTGGAACCACATGCATCATAATAGATACAAATCCATGAAAGTATAACAGTTAAATACTAGATCTTACTTTTTCAGGTTTTGATTTCTCATCTAAACTTTCCAATGCTTTATCAGTGAAGCAAACTAACTCACATTGACTAGCCTGCTCTCCTTTAGCAAACCCTTCAAATAAATGCCTCATTTGCTCCTCACCACTATCATTTTAGATTGGCCAGACAGTTGTTACTTACCTTTTAAGAATGAGGAGACAGGTAGCCGGGTGCGGTGGCTCACACCTGTAATCCCAACACTTTGGGAGGCTGAGGCGGGTGGATCACGAGGTCAGGAGATCAAGACCATCCTGGCTAACACGGTGAAACCCCGTCTGTACTAAAAATACAAAAAATTAGTCAGGTGTGTTGGTGGGCACCTGTAGTCCCAGCTACTTGGGAGGCTGAGGCAGGAGAATGGCATGAACCCGGGAGGCGGAGCTGGCAGTGAGCTGAGACCACACCACTGCACTCCAGCCTGGGTGACAGAGTGAGATTCCGTCTCAAAAAAAAAAAAAAGAATGAGGAGACAGGGTCAACCAGGTGGGGTGACTTGCCCAGGGTCACTTAAGTATTGGAGATAGAATTAAAATTTAGGTCTTTGAATTCCAGAGTGTTTTTGTATGATACCATCCTGACTCTCTATACGTTTCAAAATAAATCAAATTTTAAAGTTTTCTTTGATTTATTCATATGAATGAGCTAGAGAAACCCATACTATATAGATATACATAGTAGATATTGGTCAAATGTAACTTAATTTTTTACCTCATTATCTCATGTTTCTTGTAACATTTTGTCTAGTAGGACCTTTTTGTGGTTTGTCATCATTTTAGTCATGACATCTACTGTCATACCGTCACTGCAACCCAGAAATGGGGCGATGGGGTTACTAACTAGTTAAACACAATCTAAAGGAGAATTTTAGAGACAGTTAAGATTGAGGACAGAGTTCTTGTCCAACTCGTATTGTACTGGGGGAATGAACTAATACTTACTGAAGGCCTGCTCCACAACAAACTCCTGTAAATGATTTACATAAATGTGTCACATTTAATCCACACAACAACCCAGTGGTGTGGGTATTTATAAAGGAGGAATCTGAGGCACAGTGAGGTTAAATAACTTGACCAAATATACACATTTATTAAGAGCAAAGCCAGGATTTGACATCCAACTCCATCTGAACTCAAAGCACTGTGTCTTCCCCACTGTACTGGGAAGTAAAAGTAAGAAGATGACTCAGAGATGGAGAATTATAATCTGGAATTTGGAATTTACTTCCATTGGTTAACCGTTTGAAAATTGCAGCTCCAAGGCATTGGGAGATGGAAAGAAAGCTAGTGAGCAATTATTTCTTGCCTTTGTGTCATGCTCCTACATTTTGCTCCTCCTTATCTCCTTATCTGCGGTCAGAGTAGATAGCATGGAGGTTTTATGCCCATGCTACAGATGTTCAGAGATCTCAAGGTCAGAAAGCTGGTTTATGGCAGCACGTGAATATAGACAGACTTATACAGATTAGAAAATTGAGAAGTTGAGGGCAGGAGAAAATTCTGGATAGAAGAGAACATGGGATTGGGAGCAAGAAAACCTAGGTCCTAGACCTGATTTCATTGCTTACTGGCAGTGTGAATGTGGGGGATAATAATACTTACTTTACAAGGGCTGAGGAAATTAAATAAAATAGCATGTGGGAAAGAGTATTGATGGTTAGTCACTATAAAACTGCTAGTTGTTATTCAGGATACAGGAAGAGTTTCAAGAGAGGACATTTGGTATAACATTATATACAGCCAATGGTTTAAGGAGGACAATGTAGAAGAGGTTGTGGATTTGGCACTTAGGAGGTCATTGTTGACAGACCTTGTGAATAGATGAGGGTAGGAACCAGATTCCTGGGCTTTAAGTAAGAAGAGGGGTAGTCCAATAGGCCAGTTATATATTTGGCTGTGAAAGAGGAAAATAAAATCTGAGTACCTTTGAGAGTCAAAGGCTATTTCCAGGTAAAGAAACCCAGTGCACTTCACCATTCTCTTTTAGATAACTGCTGGGAAGAAGTAGGATGATTGTAACACCCTCCACATTGACACAGAACTCTAAATGGGAGCCTAGGGAAAGGGCACATTTTTTGAAGGGGTAGGCAAGAGGATATTCTCTAGAGTACCAGTTTCCAACTGTTGTACACATTTATGGACCAAGAACATAAAAGAAACATTGTTCAGTTCCGACCTGAAGTTATGTAGAACAAACATTGTTCTGAGTTCAACTAGATGATCTTTCTTTCATAGCTGTGTGGACATTATGTTACCTGCAGGGAGTAAGTCACTGAAGGTAGAGCCTCAAAAAAACACCCTTTGATCTTACTCCTAAGAAAAAAGAGAGAAATTGGAAAAATTCATCATAGAAACACAAAAATATGCGGAAATAGGAAAAAGGAGAAGAAGGAAAGAAATGCAACATAGGAAATAATATTATGTAGACTGAGATAAAGAATGTTAAGAATATTTGAACAAAGTTTGAACCAGATGAAATGTAACAGGCAGAAACAGAAGTAGGAGGATTTTTGGACTGATTTAAGTTGGTCTCTTGTGACTTTTATGACTTTCCACTGGGAAGAATAGTGATTAAGAATGTTCACTCTGCTTTTAAAAATTGAGAAAGAACGCTGCGTGCAGTGGCTTATGCCTATAATCCCAACACTTTGTGAGGCCAAGACGGGAGGATTGCTTGAGGCTGAGAGTTCGAGACCAGCCTGGGCAACATAGGGAGACCCTATCTCTACTAAAAATTAAAAAGTTACTGAGGTGTTGTGGCATGTGTCTGTAGTCCTAGCTACTTGGGAGACTGAGGTGGGAGGATCACTTCAGCCTGGCAGTTTAAATAAATCAGATCAGTAATTAATAATCTTCCAAAACAGAAAGCACCAGGTTCAGATGGGTTCATTGGTGAATTCTACCAGATATTTAAGGAAGAAATACTAATTCTCTATAATCTCTTTTAGAAGATAGAAGCAGAGGGCATACTTTCCAATTCATTTTATGAGGCCAGCATTATTCTTGTGCTAAAACCAAAGAACAATACAAGAAAAGAAAATTAAGACAAATATTTCTCATGAACATACATGTAGAAACCTTAAACAAAATATTAGCAAATTGGATCCAACAGCATATAGAAAGAATTATACATCATGACTAAGTGGTATTTATCTCAGGTGTGCAAGGCAGGTTCAACATATGAAAATCAATTAATGTAATCCATCACATTGACAGACTATGAAAGAAAAATCACATGATCATACCAATAGATACAGAAAAAGCATTTGACAAAATCCAACATCAATTTATGATAAAAACTCTCAGTAAACTAGGAATAGAGGGGAAACTTTTTCAACTTGTTAACAAATGCCTACAAAAAACCCTGCAGCTAACATCATCTGTAATGGTGAGAAACTTGAAGCTTTCCAACTAAGACCAAGAATAAGGAAATAATGTTCTTCTCACCACTCCTTTTCAGTATTGTACTATAAGCACTAACTAATGCCATAAGACAAGAAAAGGAAATAAAAGTTATACAGATGAGAAGAAAGAAAGAAAATTGTTTTAGTTCTCAGATGACATGAATATCTATGTATACAATCCAAACGAATTGACCAAAAACCTCCTGGAACTAATAAAAAACTATAGCACATTTGTAGGATACAAAGTTAATATACAAAAGTCAATCACTTTTCTATAACAGCAATGAACAAGTGGAATTTGAAGTTTAAAACACAACACCATTTACCTTAGCACCCCAAAAATGCAATACTTAGGTACAATAACAAAATATGTCCCAGATTTATATGAGAAAATCAACAAAACTGATGAACAAAATCAAAGAAGAACTAAATAAATGGAGAGATATTCTATGTTCATAGATAGGAAGACTCCTTATTGTGAAGATGTCAGTTATTTCCAATTTACTCTATAAATTCAGTGCAATCCCAAGCAAAATATCAGAAGTCATTTGTGGATATCAGCAAACTGATTTTAAGGTTAAATGGGCAGGCAAAAGACCAGAATAGCCAGCAAAATATTGAAGGAGAACAAAATTGTAGGACTGATACTACTCAACTTCAAGACTTACTATAAAGCTACAGTAGTCAACATAGTGTGGTACTGGTGGAAAAATAAAAGACAAATAGATCAGTGAATCGGAATAGAGAGCCCAGAAATAAACCAACATAAATATGGTCAACTGATCTTTGACAAAGGAGCAAAGGCAATACAATGGAGCAAAGATGATCTTTTCAACAAATAGTGCTGTAACAACTGGACATCCACATGCAAAAAAATGAATCTAAACACAGACCTTATGCCCTTCACAAAATTTTACTCAAAATGGACCATAGATCTAAATGTAAAATGCAAAACCATAAGACTCCTAAAACATAAGAGAAAACCTAGATAACTTTGGATATGATGACTTTTTAGATACAACACCAAAGACATGATTCATGAAAGAAAGAATTGGTAAGCTGTACTTCATTAAAATTAAAAACATTGCTCTATGAAAGACAATTTCAAGAGAATGAGAAGCCAAGCCACAGACTGGGAGAAAATATTTGCAAAAGACACATCTGATAAAAGACTGTTATCCAAAATATACAAAAAACTTTTAAAACTCAACAAGAAAAACACAAACAACCCAATTAAAAAATGAGTCAAAGATCTCATCACACACTTCTCCAAGGAAGGTATACAGATGGCAAATAGGGATATAAAAAGATACTCCTGGGCCGGGTGCGGTGGCTCACACCTGTAATCCCAGCACTTTGGGAGGCCGAGGCAGGCGGATCACCTGAGGTCAGGAGTTCAAGACCAGCCTGGCCAACATGGGGAAACCCCATTTCTACTATTTTCTATTTTGTAAAAATACAAAAATTAGCTAGGCATGTCCTATGTCAACAGGCAACAGGGAAATGGAAACTAAGACAACAATGAAATACCACTTCACGCCTATCACACTGGCCAAAATCTAGAACACTGACAGCACCAAATGCCAGTGAGGATGTGGAGCAACTCTCATTCATTGCAGGTGGGAATGCAAAATGGTACAGCCACTTTGGAAGACAGTTTGGCAGTTTCTTACAAAACTGTATGTACTCTTACCATTCAACACAACTGTCATGCTTCTTGCTATTTACCCGAAGGCATTAAAAACTTATGTTGACATAAAAACCTTCACATGGATGGTTATAGCATCTTTATTAATAATTGTCAAAACTTGGAAGCAACCAAGATGTCCTTCAGTAAGTGAATGGACAAATAAACTGTGGTACATACAGACAATAGAATATTATTCAGCACTGAAAAGAACTATCAAGCCATGAAAAGACATGGAGGAAACTTAAATGCATATTATAAGTCAAAGAATCCAATCTGAACAGGCTACATGCTATGCAAATTTTACCTATGTGACATTCTGGAAAAGGCAAAACTGTGGAGACTGTAAAAAGATTAGTAGTTGGCAGGGGATATGAATAGGTGGAACACAGAGGAGTTTGGGGGCAGTGAAAATACTCTGTATGATACTGTAACGATGTTATTATACATTTGTCCAAACCCACAGAATGTACAACTGAATGCTAATGTAAAGTGTGGATTTTTTAATGATAATGATGTATCAGAATGGTTTCATTAATTCTAAAAAATGTACCACTCTGGTGAGGGATATTGATAATGGGGAGGCTATGCATGTGTAGGGGCAGGATGTATGTACAAACTTTCTGTAACTTCTGCTCAGTTTTGTTGTGAACCTGAAACTCAAAATATTTAAAGCCAAGTGAAGCTAACTTACTAAGCCATGAATCAAGTTTGTGGAATAACCCCAAATAGAGGAACCATTCCAAGTGTTTTCAAAACATAGTAATTTGGGTGCATATTTCAAGGGGCTGCATTCTAAGGATAAAAAGAACTATAAAGAAAAAAATTGTAATGTTTTAAGTAATTATGTAGTTAGCAGTAATGCTGGTATTTGGTTACTGTTGAGTATGTATTGCAGGAAAATGCAAATGAATATTTATATTGTTGTTATTGAATATTGGGATGTTTGGCATGAAAGAAAGGAGATTCAGCTGTAAATTGATTAGGTTAAGTAAACATTGTAGCCCTGGATTTATTTAAAGGTATTAATTTGAACCATATGAAATTGCTGTTTCTCTAGTCAAAAACCATTGAATCTTGGCAGCTTAATAGGGTTCAGCATAATGCCAGCATGACCCATTAATGTATTTTGTCTCTTAGAAAATTGTGTATTTCCTGGTTCTGTCCATTGAAATGTTCTAGAAACAAGAGCCAGTCCTGTAGCAATTTGCATGCTTCTTGGTTCTTGGACCCAGATTTGAGTGACCAGTGTTACCTGGTGTGCCCAGACTTCCCAGTTTCAGCACCCGAATTTCATATCCCAGGAAACTCTTCAGTTTCAGGAAAACCAGGATGATTGGCCACCTTCACCCAGATTATGGTACCTAATTATCATTTCCCATGAAAATGAACTAGGGCCTTTGGGACAGTTGGCTGATTCCATACCTGGGGCATGGAATGCATTAAAATAAGCCTTGAGTATCTTATTTTACCACAGAACAAGAAAGCTATCAAAAAGACTTAACATGATGGTACGAACAGGACTCAGGAGCCACTCTGAAGAGGTTCCCTCTGGCCAAAAATAAGACAATTGGAACATCAATAAGAATAACAACTTCAGTAGATTGAAACACATCAGTTGTGCTCAGTTCATGCGTTCATAATGTACTAAAAACAAATTTAAAAACTCACTGGTCATCTCTAGAGAATGCTTGGGAGCTAACTCATTATTTTGAAAAACGATAAAGAAAGAGAAGAATCAAATGCTGCTTTTCCTATATAAATTGAACCTCAGAGTAACCACATTGTTGATGAGGGGCAGTTTATCTTTATGTGAAGATTGTAGTTAGTAAAGAAGGAATGATAGACTAAACCACTTTGCAAACCCTTGATGAACTTATGGCTCTAGACAATGATCTTCAGTGGCACTGACATCATGAAAAGAAAAGCAACCAGGCATCGTATGCCACCTAAGGGAAGTATACAAACACTACTTGGGGAGTATTATTGCCAAGGAATATCTGAATTTTGCTACTAAAGAAGGGAAAATGATGTTCGGGGGCACCTAGCA